>NC_000016.10:46986742-47289772 GCF_000001405.40 Homo sapiens
CTGAATCAAATTCTGAATTTATTTTTAATAATTTAACTTTTAAAGAAAGTTGCTTTAATAAAAAAATTTTGAATTTTATTCAGAAAAAGAAGGAATTAATTTCAAATTATTGCAGAACTAAAGAGCTCCTAGTGGACTATCTAGTCAGCAGCCATCAGCATCAGTACTTGCCATTTGAGCTCGAAGTCATTAGCTTTCTTCTATGATTCAGGGAAAGATACCTTGAAATCGTAAGAATAGTAGCATTGAATTACAGTTTCTAGGTCAAAGTAATGGAGACATTACTTTAGCTGTGGTTAGCTGTGAACTTGGCTGGCAGATTTTCCCTACTAAAGAAACAAGCTACTCAGGTCCAACTGGAAAAATACACAGAAATCCAGACTGTTGACCTTGGCAATGGAAGCCCTATTTTCTTCTGAAAGAAAGCACAGTAAAATCGTCTTTAGACAGATCTCAGCTGGGCATGGTGACCCATACCTGTCATCCCAGCACTTTGGGATGCTAAAGTGTGCAGATCACTTGAGTCCAGGAGTTCAAGACCAGCCTGGGCAACACAGTGAAACCCTGTCTCTTCAAAAAATACAAAAAATTAGCCAGGCATGATGGTGCACGCCTGTAGTCCCAGCTATTCAGGAGGCTGAGGTGGGAGGATCACATGAGCCCGGGAGGTCAAGGCTGCAGTGAGATGTAATGATGCCACTGCACTCCAGCCTAGTTGACAAAGTGAGACCCTGTCTAAAAAGAAAAAAAAAAAGAAAGATCTCCATGAGGGATGAAGCACAGTGAAATGATTGTAGTGTAAATCTGTCTCTCCTTGGGAAAAAGATCGCATTCTGAAATTTTCTTTCAGCAAACTAAAGCTAAGCCATTTACGTACTCTTTTCCTGCCAGATTAGTGGACTGACTAAGAGGAATGAATAGCGCTCCTTATCTAGAAAACCATTATTTAATGGTGGCCTTAAGTGAAGCAGCATGCCTCAACTTCTGCAAGAATTCCTTATGAGTTTTTGTATCTCTCTTCTCAGCAGGACTAATGAAGTTCTAAATATTAGTTGTGACTACTCTTTTAAATGCCACTCTGGGGAAGGCCACATGTTGTGGCTCTTCTTCTTTGCTGAGCGAGTCAACAACTCACATTTATTATACAATAATAAATTCCCTTTTTGCCAGGTACTGCAGAATAGGCATGGTCTCTTTCCTCCAAGCCCCATGCACAGTGAAGGTAGCTTTCAACACTGCCAATGTTTTACAGCAATTGGATTCCAGATTTGGATAGACATTATGAAGTGAGTGTGGTTTACCACTAATAAGATTTCATTGCTCTTTAGAGATGTGTGATAAACAATACTATAATTGTTAGGTTTTAAGACGGTCTGTAAGGGTATATAGATTTGTGCAGAATTTAGGTTTTTTTTTTTTTTTTTTTTTTTTTTTTTAAGAGACAGTCTTGGCCGGGCGCAGTGGCTCATGCCTGTAATCCCAGCACTTTGGGAGGCCGAGGCGGGTGGATCATGAGGTCAGGAGATCGAGACCATCCTGGCTAACACAGTGAAACCCTGTCTCTACTAAAAATACAAAAATTAGCCGGGCGTGGTGGCGGGCGCCTGTAGTCCCAGCTACTCGGGAGGCTGAGGCAGGAGAATGGCTTGAACCCGGGAGGCGGAGCTTGCAGTGAGCTGAGATTGTGCCACTGCACTCCAGCCTGGGCGACAGAGCGAGACTCTGTCTCAAAAAAAAAAAAAAAAAAAAGGCAGTCTTAGCTCCATCACCCAGGCTGGCATGCAGTGGCACAGTCATAACTCACTGCAACCTCGAACACCTGGACTCAAGTGATCCTCCTACCTCAGCCCCCGAGTAGCTAGGACTACAGGCATGTACCACCATGCCTGGCTAAAGAACTTAGGTTTTTATGTCCTGTTGTGCAGTAAATTTTTTGAGCGTGAAAATGGTTTAAAGATTCATTCTCACTTTTCTGTAAGTTTCATGGAAGTGCAAACTATTTCTCTCTTATTTCCTCTCCTTTAAAAAGTGCTTTGTACATAATAAGCAGTCAGTAAATATCTATGGATTGAATAAATGAATTCCTTGTATAAAGTATTTTTTTGTCCATTTGTTCATTCCACAAATTTATTTATTTATTTATTTTTAGACAGAGTCTCACTCTGTCGCCCAAGCTGGAGTGCAGTGGCACAATCTCAGCTCACTGCAACCTCCGTCTCCTGGGTTCAAGTGATTCTCCTGCCTCAGCCTCCCGAATAGCTGGGATTACAGGCACCTGCCACCATGCCCGGCTAATTTCTTGTATTTTAGTAGAGACAGGGTTTCACCATGTTGCCCGGGGTGGTCTTGAACTCCTGAGCTCAGGCAGTCTGCCTGCCTCGGCTTCCCAGAGTGCTGGGATTACAAGTGTGAGCCACCTCGCCCAGCCCAGGAAATTTATTAAGTTAAATATTTATATAGTTTTAGGCACTTGGTGGAAACATCAGTGAAACACATCTACATTTGATCTCTGCCCTCATGGAGTTTACCAGTAAACAATAAGTATATAATAAGTGAGATAGTGATCAATGCTAAGGGGAAAAATATCAGGAAAGAAGAATAGGAAATGTTGGGGGAGGGATATACAAGTTTATGCATGCTATTGAAATTTTAGATATGGTGGCCAGAGATCTCTCTAAGATGGGACGTTTGAGTAAAGTCCTGGAGGAAGTGAAGGAGGGAGCTTTAAAATATGTGGGGAAAGAGCATGCCAGTCTGAGTGGAAGGAACAACAGGTGAACAGACACTGAGGCAGAAGCAGCCTTCTTGTAAGTAGAGCAGGAGGCGAGGACAGAAAGGTAAGTTAAGGCAGGTCATGTAGAGCTTTCTTTTTATTTTACTTGAGACAGAGTCTCACTCTGTTACTCTGGCTGGAGTTCAGTGGCATGATCTGGGCTCCCTGCAACCTCCACCTCCATGGCTTAAGTGATTCTCCTGCCTCAGCCTCCCCAGTAGCTAGGACTCCAGGTGCGTGCCACCACACCCAACTAATTTTTTGTATTTTTAGTGGAAATGACTTTTTATTATGTTGGCCAGGCTGGTCTTGAACTCCTGACCTCAAGTGATCTGCCCACCTCGGCCTCCCAAAGTGCTAGGAAGTGTGAGCCATCGCGCCCGGACATGTAGAGCTTTCTGTGCATTGTACAGACTTTGTCTTTTACCCAGGGTGAGATGGGAAGACATTGGAGGATTTTGAGCAGTGAAGTAATGTGATGGGATAGACATTTTCAAAGGATTCTCTGACTGCTGCATTGAGAATAGATGGAAGAGCAGTAAGTGCAGAAGTTAGCAAGCTGCTACAATCATCCAGGCAAGAGATGTCCAGGGTGGTAGTGGTACAACATATTTAGCAGTGGCTGGATTCTGAATGTATTCTGAATGCAACACAGAACATAATAGCTTATAGATCTGTTGTGAAAGAAAGACAGGAGTTGAAGGGTGAGGACCAGTGTGGGCAAATGCATGTACGGTTGATATTGAGTTGTATCTGCAAACATACTCAGTATGTTGTATTGAAACACTGTTCGTATATGTAAAGCAAAAATGTAAGACTCCCTGGGAAAAGGTAGTGCAAAGTAGCATGCCCTGTTCAATGTCTTGACTTTTGTACTTGTGCAGCTTAGCACTTCCCACACTGGAATATGTGCAACTTCAGGCTCCTTATGAGTAGGGTTGTGGCTTTAGTCTTTATTTCTCTATTTCCTAGCAAAGTACCTGACACAGAGTAGACACTGAATATATGTTTGCTGAATAAATGAAGTTTTCTGAATATATTATGTTCCCAAGCATTTTCCATATATCAGTTTATTTAAAAATCCTTGTTTGCAAAACAGAAAGGTTTTTAATGTTTAAACACACACACACACACACACACACTGCAAGTGATAATAGGGTTCTGCTCAGAAACGTATGCTTCTGTGCTTTTTATTTTTTCTTTTCTTATGCTTTTAAAATACATATTATAATTCAATAATGATTTCTATTTATTTATTTATTTGAGACAGTCTCTCTCTGTCGCCCAGGCTGGAGTATGGTGGCGCAGTCTCGGCTCACTGCAACCTCTGCCTCCTAGGTTCAACAATTCTCCTGTCTCAGCCTCCTGAGTAGCTGGGATTACAGGCGCACACCACGCCCAGTTAATTCTGTATTTTTGGTAAAGATGGGGTTTCACCATGTTGGCCAGGCTAGTTTTGAACTCCTGACCTTAGGTAATCCGCCCACCTCGGCCTCCCAAAGTGCTGGGATTACAGGCCTGAGACACTGCACCTGGCCTATATTTTCTTTTTAAAAAATGTGGTCTTTTATTTGAAAATCTTCAAGCATATATGTCAAAATAGAATGCACATTTGATCACTTAAGTTATAGTAAAAAGGTCATAATGGATCTTTCTATGCTCAGTATAGATTATACTGTAACGTACTGTATACAGTAGATAGTGTGTACTGGTAATTATACTGTAATCTACTGTATATGGTAATCTATACTGTATACGGTAATGCTGGAAGCTTACAGTTCAGATTTAATCATTGCTTTCTAATACCTGCGTTATAACAGGTTCTTTTGATCTATGATTATGGAGTCATAATTTTTTTAAGCCTCATCAGAATAATGCAGATTTATTTCGAACTACCATCCCTTTCCCAAAGCTCTTGACTTTAGATTTCTTCCCATTTCAAAAGGCAAAATCTCTGGAGAACTTGCATCGAAATATATAAAAACCTCTAATTAACAAACAAGAACACAAATAACCCAATTAAAAATGGGTAAAAAATTTGAACAGATCCTTAACCAGAGAGAGTATACGGATGTCCAAATAAGTGCATAAAAAGATGCTTACATCCTTTGTCATTAGAGAGATACAAGACTGGGCTTGATGGCTCATGCCTCATATCCAGTGTTTCAGGATCTTTGGGGTGTCAGTTTAGGGTGTTGATTTTGGCTTTGGTGGTCAGGTTTCCAGAAAGAATGAGGTACACAGACAAGTGAAGAGTGAACAAGATGAACTTTATTAAGTATTATAACAGCTCAGAGGAGACCCGCAGTGTATACAGCTCCTCTCTGTAGGTAGATCATCTGTGGAGTGTTCAGTTCTCAGCAGGGAGGAGGCCCTGGAGAGGGTAGCTCCTCTCTGCAAGTGGTTGTCTCAGTGCAGTTCTCAGCAGAGAGAGGACCCTGGAAAGAGTGGCTCCTCTCTGCTGGCAGGTCATCTCTGCAGCTCTCAGCAGAGAAAGTAGCTCCTCTCTGCAGCAGGCCCTAGAGAGAGCGGCTACTCTCTGACGGCAGGTCTGCTCTACAGCTCTCAGCAGATAGGGTACTCCTCTCCTTTCTCTTCCTCTGCTGGCCCTTCTCTGCCCTGCTCTTGGCTGAGCCCAGGGCTTTTATGGACCTCAGAGGGTAGGAAGTGCATGCTGATTGGTCCATGGTTGGCCATGGGCGGGCCCAGAAGAGGCACGCAGAGTCCCCACTCTGGTCAGCTGGACTGGCAGCCCAGCCCCCAACCTTCAGGCCCTCCCTAGTCTGAAGATGGGGCCTTACCTGGGATCCACCCCCTTCCACCCAGGCCTGCCGCTGCTATTCAGGGCTCCAACCCAACCCAACCCAACTCCCTGATCAGAGCAGGTGCCGAAAAGGAAAGGGACCAGGCAGTGGAAGCAGACAGCCCAAACCTGCAGAGAAGCGGATAGGGGGCCTTCCCAGCCCGAGGGTGCAGGCTGCAGAGACTCCCCGGTCCTGCAGCTGGGACGGTGGCCGCAGCTACACCCTGGGAGCTCCCGCCCACCAACGTGGAAGTGGGGGGGATTCCTGCTTTTCCCCGGCTCCTGCCTGCTCTGTGGAGTGGGAGGCACAGGTCTGCAGCCGAGGGTCAGGCATTGCAGCTGCACAGAGGAGGGTAGACCCTGCATGCTCCTGGCCCCCTCCAAGAGCACAGGGAGGCTCGGATCCACAGCCATAGTTTGGGTGGCTGTAGCCCCACCCAGGAGTGTGGGATTCCTGCCTGCTCAGTAGAGCAGGAGGCCTGGGTCTGCAGCCTCCCTATGGGTGCCTGCAGCCGCACCCAGCGAGCTCCCACTACACCTTAGAAGGGGTGGGGCTCCCACAGGCTCCATGGAGTGTGCAGCCCCAGCTATGCCTTCCTGCTGCAGCCAGCGTGATGGCAGCAGCTACTGCCATCACTAGCACTTTGGGAGGCCAAAGCAAGTGAATCACTTGAGCCCAAGAGTTGGAGACCAGCCTGGGCAAAATGGCGAAACCCTGTCTGTACAAAAAAAAAAAAAAGCCAAGTGTGGTGGTGTACCCCTGTAATCCCAGCTACTTGAGAGACTGAGGTGGGAGGATCACCTGAGGCTGAAGTCAAGGCTGCAATATGCCTTGATTACACCACTGCACTCCAGCCTGGGCAACAGAGTGATATCCTGTCTCAAAAAAAAAAAAAAAAGAAGAAAGAAAAAAATAGAAAAATACAAGTTAAAACCACGAGATACCAGTACACACCAAAACCAAAACCGTCTCCCAAGAAATCCCCCAAAACAAAAAAGGTAAAAGAGTGACAACACCTTGGCCAGACATGGTGGCTCACGCCTGTAATCCTAGCACTTTAAGAGGCTGAGGCAGGAGGATTGCTTGAGTCCAGGAGTTTGAGACCAGGCTGGGCAACACAGCAAGACCCTGTCTCTACTAAAAATACAAAAATTAGCCAGGCCTGGTGGATGTACCTGTAGTCCCAGCTGCTCGGGGAGCTGAGGTGGGAGGATCACTTGAGCCTAGGAGGTTGAGGCCGCAGTGAGCTGTGGTCATGCCACTGCACTCCGGCCTGGGTGACAGAGTAAGACCCAGTCTCAAAAATAAAATGAAATAAAATAAAATAAAAAGAGTGACAACACCAAGTGCTGGCAAGGATATGGTCCAACTAGAACTCTCATACATTGCTGGTGAAAGTGCAAAATGGTACAAACCCTTTGGATAATGGCTTCCTCTTCATTTAAATCCTCTTCATTTAAATAGGGCGGGCACAGAGTAAATGACTTTGTAACTTCATCTTCTTCATTTACATAGTAACCAATGGAAACCTGTAGAGGGTATTTAAACCTCAGAAAACTCTGTAACTGGGCCCTTGAGCCGCTTGCTCGGGCCGCTCCCACCCTGTGGAGTGTGCTTTTATTTTCAATAAGTCTCTGCTTTTGTTGCTTTATTATTTCCTTGCTTTGTTTATATGTTTTGTCCAATTCTTTCTTCAAAACGCCAAGAACCTGGACACCCTCAACTGGTAACACAGGTGCTTATAGAAGTTGATATCTTATGGCTGGGTGCTGTGGCTCACATCTGGAATCCCAAAGCACTTCGGGAGGTCAAGGCAAGAGGATTGCTCAAGGTTAGGAGTTTGAGATTAGCTTGGGCAACATAGTGAGACTCCGATCTCTTTAAAAAAAGTTTATTGTTTAAACAGCAAATACAAGTGTTTCTAACATAACTGCTTGAAACTGGAAATAATCCACATGTCCTTTAACAGATGAATGAATAAGCGAACTGTGGCACAACCATAAAATAGAATACTGCTCAACAATAAAAACAACCTGCTGACACACACAGCGTGAGTGAATCGGAAATGCATTATGAAAGTAAAAACGTGCTGTTTTTCTTTACTGAAAGCCAGTCTCAAAGGGTTAAATACTGCATAATTCCATTTATATGTTATTCTGGAAAGGCAACAGTATAGGGATGAAGGGCGGATCAGTGTTTGGCAGTGGTTAGGTGGCGGGGAGGGTTTGGCTACAAAGGGGCAGCCTGAGGGAATTTGGGGGGTGATGGACCTTTCCACATCTCGATTGCTATTGTGCTGACATGAATCTGTGCCTGCTTTGGAATGTATAGAACTGTATACCAAAGGAGTCAATTTTTTTTTTTTTTGAGACAGAGTCTCACTCTGTCACCCAGGCTGGAGTGCAACGGTGCGATCTCGGCTCACTGCAACCTCTGCCTCTGGGTTCAAGTGATTCTCCTGCCTCAGCCTCCTGAGTAGCTGGGATTACAGGCACCTGCTAACATGCCCAGCTAATTTTTGTAATTTTTTAGTAGAGACGGGGTTTCACCATGTTGGTCTTGAACTCCTGGTCTGGTCTTGAACTCCTGACCTCAGGTATCTTCCCGCCTTGGCCTCCCAAAGTGCTGGGATTACAGACATGAGCCACCGCACCTGGCCTATATGTCTTTTTTAAAAAAACCAGCAATTGGTGTGTGACATAATTAATAAGGAACAAATATTTGGTCTCTGCCCACCTTTCCTGGCACACTGCTCCTGAAACCCTTGGAATCTCTAAAGTGAGAAGGGCCTTTGTATGCTAATGAGATGACTGGTGGCCTGAAGTTCCTGGAGAGCCTCAACATTGGGGCTGGTGTTCAGGGAACCAACCATGTGATTAGGGTGTGGGAACTTTCAGCATCCCCATCTCTGTAGAGGGGAGGGGGATGAAAGTTGACCACCAATGGCCAGTGATTTAATCAATCATGCCTATGCAATGAAGCCTCCATAAATACCCCAAAGGACTTTAACAGATGAATGGTTAAACTGACTATGGCACAACCATACTATAGAATACTGCTCAACAATAAAACAACAACAACTACTGACACAGCATGAGTGAATCCAAAGTGCATTATGAAAGTAAAAACATACTGTTTTTATGTATGGACAGAAGCCAGTCTCAAAGGGTAAAACAGGGTTTAGAGAGTTCCTTGTCAGTGAACACATCCAAGTTCTGGGAAGGTGGTGCATAGCAACTCCACCGGGACAGAAGCTCCTGCGCCCCGGACCCTTCTGGACCTCGTCCCCTGTACCTCTTCAGCTGGCTGGTCCTCTGTGTCCTTTGTCATATCCTTTATAATAAACCAGTAAACATTACATACGTGTGTCAACTGGGGTTACTGGCTCACACCTGTAATCCCAGCACTTTGGGAGGCACAGGTGGGTGCATCACTTGAGGCCAGGAGTTCGAGACCAGCCTGGGCAACAAAGTGAGATGCCATGTCTACAAAAAAATTAGCTGGGTATGGTAACAGGCACCTGTAGTCCCAGCTACTCGGGAGGCTGAGTTGGGAAGATCGCTTGAGCCCAGGAGGCTGCAGTGAGCTATGATCATGTCATCATAGCAAATGATAAAACTCGAGGAGGGGTTGTTGCGAATCTCTGATTTGTAGCCAAATTGGACAGAAGTGTGGGTAACTGGGAACTGATGTTGTAAGTGAGGGCAGTCTTGTGGGACTGAGCCCTTACCCCATGGGATCTGCTAAGTGCAGGTAGTTGGGGTCATAATTGTATCCTCGGTCACCTGTGTCCAGAGAGTTGGGCAACTGGTTGGGATGGGAAAACCAGCACACAACTGGTATTGGAATTGAAATTCTGGAAGTGTTGGGAATGGTAGTAGAATAGAGAGGAAACACGAGTTTGTTTTTTCTTTTAGATGTATAGGAAATTGGCCTTAAAACATGTGGCAATTTCAAAAAGGCAGAACAGACCCCTACCCTAAATTTGTTTTGGATATCATGACTGATGACATCACGCGCGCACACACACACACACACACACACACTCACACACACCCCAAGAGGGTATGAACATTTTATTGCTCACATAGTAAGTGTTTCTGGAGAGAGCAGGGCAGGCTTCCCAAGATGGTCTGCAAATGACCTGAGAGATCAGAGGCAGGAGGCGGGGCTTGGGGTTTTTCTAATGGTTATGGAGTGGGGCCAGGGTGTCTCCCTGTGGTGTTTGAACCAAGGGAGGGAGGACCTGCTTTCTTAGCTTGCTCAGATGTGGGGTAAGAGGGGAAAACCTTAAAAGATAGCAGCAGCCAAACACAGAAAGTGAAGTCAGACTCTTTCTTACAAAACAAAACAAGCAACATAAAAATATCACAAATCTGCATGACCCTGGCTTCAATTCAGGACCTATGTGGAAGAAAGGAATGCATTTCCAGACTAGAAAGTTAGAGTAGACATTAGAAGACTGTTTTGATTCAAAGGATTGTAAACAATGAACATTATTCATACTTTTTGCCTTTTAACAAATAATACACAAATATTATAAATTATAGTATTGTTGTAAATAATTCAAATAGTACAAAATTTTTAGAGCTCTGGCTGGGTGCAGTGGCTCACACCTGTAATCCCAGCACTTTGGGAGGCTGAGGGAGGAGGATCACTTGAGTCCAGGAGTTCGAGACCAGCCTGGGCAACATGGTGAGATCTCGTCTCTATAAGAAATACAAAAAATTAGCTAGGTGTGGTGGTGCATGCCTGTAGTCCCAGCTACTTGGGAGGGGAGAATCACCTGAGTCTGGGAAGTCAAGGATGTGGTGAGCTGAGATTGCACAACTATACTCCAACCTCAATGACAGAACAAGACCTTGTCTCAAATAAATAAATAAATAATCCTAAAAGTGGAAGTTCCCTCTTCCCCACTCCCTGGCCTCTGCCTCCAGCTTCTTATCATATTGTGACTAATTCCTGAGATAACTACTTTCAGCAGTTTGGTGTGTATCCTTCTGACCTTTCTCCATGTACACAAGAATGCTTGTGCACACAAATATAATTTAGTCTGTTAAAGGCATTATATTCTTTATATTATACCTATATTGTCTTAGTCTGTTTGGGTTGCTATAACAAGATACTTTAGACTGGGTAATTTATTTTTTATTTTTATTTTTCTTGAGACGGAGTCTTGCTCTGCCACCCAGGCTGGAGTGCAGTGGCCCGATCTCGGCTCACTGCAACCTCACCTCCCGGGTTCAAGAGATTCTCCTGCCTCAGCCTCCCGAGTAGCTGGGACTACAGGTGTGCACTACCATGCCTGGCTAATTTTGTGTGTGTGTGTTTTTAGTAGAGATGGGGTTTCGCCACGTTGGCCAGGCTGGTCTTGAACTCCTGACCTCAGATGATCCACCTGCCTCGGTCTCCCAAAAAGCTGGGATTGCAGGCATGAGCCACCATGCCCAGTCATAGACTGGATAATTTATAAACAATAGAAATGTAATCTCAGCCCTAGAGGCTCGGAAGTCCAAGGTCAAGGTGCTGGCAGATTTGGTGTCTGGTGAGGGCTAGTTTCTCCTAGATGGTGGCTTTTATGTGCTCTCACATAATGGAAGCAACAAACAGTTCTCAAACCTCTTTTATAAAAGGGCATGAATCCCATTAATGAGAGCAGAGCCTTTATGACCTCATCACCTCCCAAAGGCCCCACCTCCTAATACTATTGCATTGGTGATTAGGTTTCAACATATGAGTTTGGGTGGGACACAGACATTCAGGCGATTGCGTGTGTTTTGCCATATGCACCTCCACTATTAAAGTATTTTGAAAGGCTTTTAAAAGTTCACTAGCTGGGTTTGATGCATGTTGTTTGCATGAAACATCCTCTGGATTCCATAAGCTCCAGAATGTGACCCGCATGAGTCTGGTGATTCTGGATGTTGGTTGCAAGTCTGAAGTTGAATTATTGTGGCAATATAGCCAACTCGATACACTAAAGAGATTATTTAAAAATAGGCTTAGCATGTAATCCTAGCACTTTGGGAGGCTGAGGCAGGCAGATCACTTGAGGTCAGCAGTTCAAAACCAGCCTGGCCAACATGGTGAAAATCGGTCTCTACTAAAATCTTAGCCGGCTGTAGTGGCGGGTGCCTGTAATCCCAGCTACTCAGGAGGCTGAGGCACAAGAATCACTTGAACCCAGGAGATGGAGGTTGCAGTGAGCCAAGATCGTGCTACTGCACTCCAGCCTTGGGGGGCAGAGCAAGATTCTGTTTCAAAAACAAAAAATTTGGTTTAGCAATGTTTGTCAAAATGAAAGTCGGTCTATAAGAATGTATCAGTTAAAGTGTGGTGGCTCATGCCTGTAATCCTATGTACTTGAGAGGCTGAGGTGGGAGGATCACTTGAGCCCAGGAAACTGAAGTGAGCTATGATCATTGTACTGCACTCCAGCCTGGACGACAGAACAAGACTCTGTCTCAAAAAAAAGAAAAAAAAAAAAAATATATATATATATATATACATACATATATATACACACACACACATATATAAACTATGGCCTGGGTACAGTGGCTCATGCCTGTAATCCTAGCATTTTGGTAGGCCGAGCTTGAGCTCAGGAGTTCAAGGCCAGCCTGACAACATAGTGAGACCTCATCTTTACTAAAAATCAGAAAAATTAGCAGGTGTGGTGGCACACACCCGTAGTCCCAGCTACTTGGGAGGCTGAAGAAGGATGATCACTTGAGCCCAGGAGGTCTAGCCTGGATGACAGAGTCAGATCTTGTCTGAACCAACAACAAAAAACTGTATAAAAAATTATAAAAGTAGGCCAGGCGCAGTGACTCACACCTGTAATCCCAGCACTTTAGGAGGCCAAGGCAGGGGGAGCACTTGAGGACAGGAGTTCAAGACCAGACTGGTCAACATGGTGAAACCCCATCTCTACTAAAAATACAAATATTAGCTGCTGGGCATGGTGGTGTGAGCCTATAGACCCAGCTAGCTATGCAGGAAGCTGAGGCCGGAGAATGGCTTGAACCCGGGAAGCAGAGGTTGCAACGAGCCGAGATCATGCCACTGCACTCCAGACTGGGTGACAGAGTAAGACTCTGTCTCAGAAAAATAAAAAATAAATGGCCCTCTCCTTCTCCCTCTCCCCATGGTCTCCCTCTCCCCATGGTCTCCCTCTCATGCCGAGCCGAAGCTGGACTATACTGCTGCCATCTCGGCTCACTGCAACCTCCCTGCCTGATTCTCCTGCCTCAGCCTGTGGAGTGCCTGCAATTGCAGGCGCGCGCCGCCACGCCTGACTGGTTTTCGTATTTTTTTGGTGGAGACGGGGTTTCGCTGTGTTGGCCGGGCTGGTCTCCAGCTCCTAACTGCGAGTGATCCGCCAGCCTCGGCCTCCCAAGGTGCCGGGATTGCAGACGGAGTCTGGTTCACTCAGTGCTCAATGGCGCCCAGGCTGGAGTGCAGTGGCGTGATCTCGGCTCGCTACAACCTCCACCTCCCAGCCGCCTGCCTTGGCCTCCCAAAGTGCCGAGATTGCAGCCTCTGCCCGGCCGCCACCCCGTCTGGGAAGTGAGGAGCGTCTCTGCCTGGCCGCCCATCGTCTGGGATGTGAGGAGCCCCTCTGCCTGGCTGCCCAGTCTGGAAAGTGAGGAGCGTCTCTGCCCGGCCGCCATCCCATCTGGGAAGTGAGGAGCGCCTCTTCCCGGCCGCCATCACATCTAGGAAGTGAGGAGCGTCTCTGCCCGGCCACCCATCGTCTGGGATGTGGGGAGCGCCTCTGCCCCGCCGCCCCGTCTGGGATGTGAGGAGCGCCTCTGCCCAGCCGCCACCCCGTCTGGGAGGTGAGGAGCGTCTCTGCCCGGCTGCCCCGTCTGAGAAGTGAGGAGACCCTCGCCCGGCAGCCGCCCCGTCTGAGAAGTGAGGAGCCTCTCTGCCCGGCAGCCACCCCGTCTGGGAAGTGAGGAGCATCTCTGCCCGGCAGCCACCCCGTCCGGGAGGGAGGTGGGGGGGGTCAGCCCCCCGCCTGGCCAGCCGCCCTGTCCGGGAGGTGAGGGGCGCCTCTGCCCGGCTGCCCCTACTGGGAAGTGAGGAGCCCCTCTGCCCAGCCAGCCGCCCCGTCCGGGAGGGAGGTGGGGGGGTCAGCCCCCCGCCTGGCCAGCCGCCCAGTCCGGGAGGGAGGTGGGGGGGTCAGCCCCCCGCCCCGCCAGCCGCCCCATCCGGGAGGTGAGGGGCGCCTCTGCCCGGCCGCCCATACTGGGAAGTGAGGAGCCCCTCTGCCCGGCCAGCTGCCCCGTCCGGGAGGGAGGTGGGGGGGTCGGCCAGCCGCCCCGTCCGGGAGGGAGGTGGGGGGGTCAGCCCCCCACCCGGCCAGCCACCCCGTCCGGGAGGTGAGGGGTGCCTCTGCCCGGCCGCCCCTACTGGGAAGTGAGGAGCCCCTCTGCCCGGCCACCACCCCGTCTGGGAGGTGTGCCCAACAGCTCATTGAGAATGGGCCAGGATGACAATGGCGGCTTTGTGGAATAGAAAGGGGGGAAAGGTGGGGAAAAGATTGAGAAATCGGATGGTTGCCGTGTCTGTGTAGAAAGAAGTAGACATGGGAGACTTTTCATTTTGTTCTGTACTAAGAAAAATTTTTCTGCCTTGGGAGCCTGTTGATCTTGTGACCTTACCCCCAACCCTGTGCTCTCTGAAACATGTGCTGTGTCCACTCAGAGTTAAATGGATTAAGGGCGGTGCAAGATGTGCTTTGTTAAACAGATGCTTGAAGGCAGCATGCTCATTAAGAGTCATCACCACTCCCTAATCTCAAGTACCCAGGGACACAAACTGGGAAGGCCACAGGGTCCTCTGCCTAGGAAAACCAGAGACCTTTGTTCACTTGTTTATCTGCTGACTTTCCCTCCACTATTGTCCTATGACCCTGCCAAATCCCCCTCTGTGAGAAACACCCAAGAATGATCAATAAAAAATAATAATAATAATAAATGCTTTGTTTTTTTTCTTTAAAAAACTTTGCCCTGTCTTATGGTGCTGAAAACATAATGTTTTTAAGCAAGAACACCAGAACATAGACCCTGGATGAGTGCTGGCTTCCAGACTGGTCATCTGGGTGGTGTGGGAGTGTGGGGGGTGGGGGAATGTGCATTTGTTTCAGTGGTGCTGATGCTGTTTTTACTTAAAAAGGTATTTGTGTACTGTTTCAAAATGTCCTCAAGAGGCAGTTATCCATGAAAATCAGACTTCAGACTCAGGTTTTTAAAAAAATCCAAAATAGTATTGATTGGCTCAATTATACTTATTTCAGACTGTAAACATAACCAAAATTCTCCATCCCTTCCTATCTTCATCCCTCTTTGCAATGTGACTTTGCAATTCCTCCCATCAAAATGTGGGTTCTGTTTTTTTATCCCTTGAATCTGGGCTGGTCTTCTGTGTTGCTTTGGCCAATAAGATATGGCAGAGTGATGTTCCAGTTCCATGTGTAGCCCTTAAGAAGCCCTGGCATGCTTCTACTTTCGTTTTCTTTCTTTTCTTTTTTTTTTTTTTAAATTTTGAGATGGAGTCTCACTTTGTTGCCCAGGCTGGAGTACAGTGGCATGATCTTGGCTCACTGCAACCTTCGCCTCCCAGGTTTAAGCAATTCTCCTGCCTCAGCCTCCCCAGTAGCTAGGATTCGAGGCACGTGCCAGCATGCCCAACTAATTTTTATATTTTTAGTAAAGACAAGGTTTCACCATATTGGCCAGGCTGGTCTTGAACTCCTCACCTCAGGTGATCTGTCCCCCTCGGCCTCCCAAAGTGCTGGGATTAAAGGCATGAGCCACTGCACCCAGCCTACTTTCTTATTTGGAACCTGCTGAGCTGCCATATGAACAGGTCCAGGCTAGCCTACTAAATAATAAGAGACATATGGCCTTGTCACCCATGTCATCTCAATCAAAAGTTGAGTCAATTCTTAGGCATGTCAATCAGACCTGCCCTCAGACTAACTGCTAGGATTATTAGCTGCAGATTTATGCGCGACCCTGGACAAGACCAGAAGGACCACTCAGCTCAGCCCAGCCTGAATTGCCAATCCACAGAATCATGCACTAGCTATGGCTGTTGTTTGGGGTAGCCACAGTAGATAACTGGTATACCACTGTATACCCCAGTCTTGTCCTGGAATACATTTCGTTTTCTTCAAAAAAATTAACTCTTGGCTGAGCATGGTGGCTCATGCCTGTAATCTCAGCACTTTGGGAGGCCAAGTTAGTGGGATCTCTTGAACCTAGGAGTTCAAGACCAGCTTGGGCAACATAGCAAGACCCCATCTTGAAAGAAAGAAGGAAAGAAGAAAGAAAAAAAAGAAAGAAGAGAAAGAAAGAAAGAAGGAGAGAGAGAGAGAGGGAGGGAGGGAGGGAGGGAGGGAGGAAGAACCCTTTCAATTAACTCTCTCATCCAAGGATAAAGATTTATCAGCTGGAGGCTGGGTGCGATGGCTCACACCTGTAATCCCAGCACTTTGGGAGGCCAAGGTGGGCGGATCACGAGGTCAGGAGATCGAGATCATCCTGGCTAACACGGTGAAACCCCATCCCTACTTAAAAAAACACACACAAAAAATTAGCCGGGCGTGGTGGCGGGCGCCTGTAGTCCTAGCTACTCAGGAGGCTGAGGCAGAAGAATGGCGTGAACCCGGGATGTGGAGCTTGCAGTGAGCTGAGATTGTGCCACTGCATTCCAGCCTGGGAGACAGAACAAGACTGCACCTCAAAAAAAAAAAAAAAGATTTATCAGCTGGATGAGATGGCTAATGCCTGTCATCTCAGCACCTTGGGAGGCCAAGTTGGGAAAATGGCTTGTGTCCAGGAGTTCAAGACTAGCCTGGGCAACACAGTGAGAACCCATCTCTACCAAAAAAAAAAAAAAAAAAAAATTAGCCAGGCCTGGGCACGGTGGCTCATGCCTGTAATCCCAGAACTTTGGGAGGCCAAGGAAGGTAGATCGCTTGAGCCTAGGAGTTTGAGACCAGCCTGGACAATATGGGGAAATCTTGTCTCTACAAAAAACTACAAAAAAAAAAAAAAATTAGCCAGATGTGGTGGCATGTACCTGTAGTCCCAGATCTTTGGGAGGCTGAGGTGGGAGGATCACTTGAGCCCAGGAGGTCAAGGCTTCAGTGAGCTGAGATTGCACCACTGCACTCCAGCCTGGGCAACAGAATGTGACTCTGTCTCAAAAAAAAAAAAAAAAAATCGGCTGGGCACGGTGGCACACGCCTGTAATCCCAGCACTTTGGGAGGCTAAGGCAGGCGGATCACTTGAGGTCAGGAGTTCAAGACCAGCCTGGCCCACAAGGTGAAACTCCGTCTTTACTAAAAACACAAAACTTAGTCAGGCTTGGTTGTGCCTGCCTGTAGTCCCAGCTACTTGGGAGGCTGAGGCATGAGAAGCGCTTGACCTGGGAGGTGGAGGTTGCAGTGAGCCGAGATTGCATCACTGCACTCCAGCCTGGGCAACAGAGTAAGACTCTGCCTCAAAAAAAAAAAAGTAGTCCTAGCTACTTGGGAGGCTAAGGCAGGAAAATCACTTGAGCCTACAAGGTTGAGGCTGCAGTGAACCATGATTGTGCCACTGTACTTCAGCCTGGGTGACAGAGAGAGACCCTGTCTCAAAAAAAGAGAGATTTGGCCAGGTAGGGTGGCTCAAGCCTGTAACCCAGGACTTTGGGAGGCCGAGGTAGGTGGGATCATCTGAGGTCAGGAGTTCAAGACCAGCTTGTCCAACATGGTGAAAAACTATCTCTATAAAAATACAAAAATTAGCCAGGCGTGGTGGTGGGCGCCTGTAACCTTAGCTACTGGGGAGGCTAAGGTGGGAGAATCACTTGAACCTGGGAGACAGAGGTTGTAGTAAGCTGAAATCGCACCATTGCACTCTATCCTTGGCAACAGAATGAGACTCTGTCTCAAAAAAAAAAAAAGACTTATCACCACTAAAGATATTTAAAATAAAATTTAAATAAAGTGATAGGCTCTCAAGAATCTAAAATTGGCACTTTCAGATTGTTTTATAAAAGAACGTTGTTAGCATTAAGTGATTGTCCTAAAATGATTGCTGTGGTTAAGTAAGAGAAGAAGATAATTAGTAATTGGTATGTTTAAGTTCTTGTTTGTTGATGTGCATTTGTGTTGCATTGCTTTGTAGGCACACCTTGTGCTTCCATAGAATTGTCGGCCTCTGCAACAGGAAAGAGCAGCTCTGGGGAAGTCGCTGGTGCTGACAACCTTTGCTCACACCCCTACTGGGTCCCCGTCTGCATCCTCCAACACCCTCATCCTGCTTCCTTTACATAGAGTTCATTCTCAAGGAATCTTTTGGCCTGATAGTGAGGCCTCCTGCAAGGAGAAGGAAAGTCAGTGTCTGAATCTGTTTGGGCGGCTATAACAAACACCACAGACCAGGTAATGTATAAAGAACAGAAGTTTATTTCTTACAGTTCTGGAGGCTGGGAAGTCCAAAGCACTGGCATGTGGTGTCTGTTGAAGGCCTTCTTGCTGCATCCTCCCTCATGTGGTAAAAGAGATTGGAAGGCAAAGAAAACGGCACAGATGCTATGCTCTTACATAGTTTCAGGGCAGAAGAGAGTGAACACCTGCTCTCACCCTTTTATAGGAACCCTAATCCATCCCTGAGGGCTTCATCCTCATGACTTAGTCACCTCCTGAGGCCCCACCTCTCAATACCATCACATTGGCCAGTAAGTCTCAACACATGAATTCTGGCGGACAAAAGTAATTGGCAAAAATCACAATTACTTTTGTACCAAACTAATATCTATCTATATTTAGCTATATATACATATACACACACGTATTTTTAAAGTTATTGTTTTATTATTTATTTTATTTTATTTTTTGAGACAGGGTCTCACTCTGTTGCCCCAGCTGGAGTGTAGTGATACAATCATGGCTCACTGCAGCCTCAAACTCCTGGGCTCAAGTGATCATCCCACCTCAGCTCCCAAAGTAGCTGGGACTACAGGCAGAAAGTTATTGTTTTATATAAGCCATACTGATTCATTATAGAAAAATTGGAAAGTACAGATAGGTTTTTTTTTTTTTTTTTGAGACAAAATCTCGCTCTTGTCCCCAGGCTGGAGTGCAATGGCATGATCTCGGCTCACTGCAACCTCCGCCTCCTAGGTTCGAGCGATTTTGCTGCCTCAACCTCCCGAGTAGCTGGGATTACAGTCACCTGCCACCACCATGCCCGGCTAATTTTTGTATTTTTAGTAGAGACAGGGTTTCACCATGTTGGCCCGGCTGGTCTCAAACTCGTGACCTCAGGTGATCTGCCCACCTCGGCCTCCCAAAGTGCTGTGATTACAGGCGTGAGCCACCACACCCGGCCCAGATAGGTTTTTTAAAAACAAAAATAAATTACGTTGTCATAGTCTTGCATTTGTACTTTATAACCTGAATTTTTACTTTATATATAATGAATTTTTTGGTGTTAATGTAATTCTATTATTTTGAATAATTAATACATTTACATTCTTCAGAATGTAAAATATTTGTAAAGGTACACAGTGAGACATCACTTTCTCACTCTAGCTCCCTGCTCCACCCCACTTCCAATACACTGCATTCCTTCTGAGTTTCTTTATGGATATACCAGAAAATATAAACATACGTATTCTGATTTTTTTCTTTTTTTGCATGAAAGGTAAACACCACGTCTTGTTCTGCACTTAACAATATATTTTGAAGTGCTCCTTGTATCAGAACGTAATGTGTTTCTTCTTCTTCTTCTTCTTTTTTTTTTTTTTTTTTTTTTGAGACAGGTTCTCGCTCTGTTACCCAGGCTGGAGTGCAGATCACAACTCACTGCAACCTCCACCTCCCGGGCTCAAGTGATCCTCCCACCTCAGCCACCTGAGTAGCTGGAAACACAGGCGTGCGCCACCTTTTTTTTTTTTTTTTGTATTTTTGTATTTTTGTAGAGACAGGGTCTCGCCAAGTTGCCCAGGCTGATCTCAAAATCCTGGGCTCATGTGATCCGCCTGCCTCAGCTTCCCAAAGTGCTGGGATTACAGGCGTGAGCCACTGTGTCTGGCCAACACCTATTTTTTTTAAGTTAAAACATACCCCTAGGAAACCCCATCTCTACTAAAAATACCAAAATTAGCTGGGCATACTGGTATGCACCTGTAGTCCCAGCTACTTGGGAGGCTGAGGCAGGAGAATTGCTTGAACCTGGGAGGCGGAGGTTGCAGTGAGCAGAGATCATGCCATGGAACTCCCGTCTGGGTGACAGAGTGAGACCCTGTCTCATAAATAAATAAATAAATAAATAAAATTAAATAAAAAACATAACCTGTCAGGCGAGGTGGCTCACGCCTGTAATCCTAGTACTTTGGGAGGCCATGACAGGCAGATCACTTGAGGTCAGGAGTTCAAAACCAGCCTGGCCAACATGGTGAAACCCCATCTCTACTAAAAATACAAAAAATTAGCAGGATGTAGTGGTGCACGCCTGTAATCCCAGCTACTCAGGAGGCTGAGGCAGGAGAATCGCTTGATCCCAGGAGGTGGAGGTTGCAGTGAGCCAAGATCCAGCCACCGCACTCCAGCCTGGGCGACAGAGTGAGACTCTGTCTCAAAAAAACAAAAAACAAAAAACATATCCCAGCACTTAGAGACATGACTAGAAATATATCCTGAGAAAATAACCATGTATGTGCACAAATATTTAAGTAAAATCATGTATACAGCAGCACTAATTATACTAGCAAAATAGACACAGATGCAATAGGGATTTGTTAAATAAGTAATGGGGTATCCATACAATGAAACATACCCCACTATTTTTTAAAAATGAGGAAACAGGTGAGGCATGGTGGCTCACACCTGTAATCCCAGAACTTTGGGAGGCTGAGCAGGCAGGTCGCTTGAGCCCAGGAGTTCGAGACCAGCCTGGACAACATAGTGAGACCCTGTCTCTACAAAAAGTAAGAAAAAATTAGACAGACATGGTGGCGCATGTTTGTAGTCCCAGCTACTCATGAGGTTGAGGCAGGAAGATCTCTTGAGCCCAGGGGTTTGAGGCTGCAGTGAGCTGTGATCAAGCCACTGTACTCTAGCCTGGGTGACAGAGTGAGACCCTCTCTTAAAAAAAAAAAAGTTTATCAAGTCTATTAGCTATTTTTAAATTGCTTATCCATGTCTTTTGCCCACTTTTCTATTTGGTTGTTTATGTTTTCATACAGATTTATGAGTGTTTATATACAATTAAATATATTAACGCTTTGTCTTATATATCCAATTCTTTTCTCAGTTTATTGCTGGCCTTTTAGTTTTTTTTTTTCATGTTCAGAAATTTTTTGCAGTCAGATCTTTTTATCTTTCCCTTTAATGGTTTTTCACTTTGGTGTCTTGCTTACACAATTGTGAATTTCAGGGATGCTGGTAGAGTGAACCTGAGATCCCATGGTGCATTACAAGCCAATGAAAGTTGATTTAACTGGCCAAAGTAGAGAAGCTAGGCTGGGTGCAGTGACTCGCACCTGTAATCCCAGCACTTTGGGAGGCCGAAGTAGGAGAATTGCTTGAGCCCAGGGGTTCCAGACCAGCCTGGGCAACAGAGTGAGAACCCCTCTCACAAAAAAAAAAAAAAAAAAAAAAAAGGTAGAGAAGCTGTCAAGACATGAGTTTTGCTTTCATTTGTGCTACCTTGGTGTATGTTTTAATTTGGAGGACTCTTAGGAAAATCCCAGCACTTTGGGAAGCTGAGGTGGGCAGATCACTTGAGGTCAAGAGTTCAAGACCAGCATGGCCAACATGGTGAGATCCTGTATCTACTAAAAATACAAAAAAATTAGCCAGGCATGGTGGCACGCACCTGTAATATTCCCAGCTACTGGGGAGGCTGAGGCAAGACAATCGCTTGAACCCAGGAGGCAGAGGTTGCAGTAAGCCGAGATTGCACCACTGTACTCCAGCCTGGTGACAGAGCGAGACCCTGTCTCAAAAATAAAAATAAAAATAAAAGAAAAGAAAAATAAAATATAAAAAGTAATAAAATAATAAAAATAAAAATAAAAGAATGTCTGGAAATGTAAAGTGATAAGGCAGTCAGGGCAGGGAACTCCTGTCTGACTTAACACAAAGGCATTTCCTTGAAGCATTTTTTAATGTTTCTGGTTCAGTTTCACTTTCTTGTAATTAATTGATAAATATCTACTGTGTGTTTGATGGATAAAACAGAGTAAAGGAAAAAAAGCAGGGAGGCAACAGGGACAGTTCTAAGGGATCAAGTGATACCAAACTGATGCAGAGAAGAACCCAGTTGTATGCTGAGGGAGTGAATTCAGCAGGATTTTCTGGACCTACAATGGGTGCTCAACTGTGAAATCAGTCAGTGACATCTCTGTGTAGAAAGGTGTGTGTGGATTTCTCCAAGTTCAGCTGGGCATGTCTAGTCCCTTTTAAGGACTCACCTGATTAGATTAGGCCCACCCAGGATAATTTCAAGCATGCGGTGAGCCCATAAAACCCATTCATGTTGTTTTGCAACTGTTGATCCTGGAACTAATAACTCTGCACCTCTGCATTTCTTAGCTATCCTCTTCTCCTTCTCCGTTTTTTTGTTTTGTTTTGTTTTTGTTTTTGTTTTTGTTTTTGAGACACAGCCTTGCTCTGTCACCTAGGCTGGAGTGCAGTGGCATGATCTCGGCTCACTGCAGCCTCCACTTCCTGGGTTCAAGCAATTCTCCTGCCTCAGCCTCCCGAGTAGCTGGGACTACAGGCACCCACCACCACACCTGGCTAATTTTTGTATGTTTTGTAGAGACAGAGTTTCCTCATGTTGGCCAGGCTGGTCTTGAACTCCTAACCTCAAGTGATCCGCCCACCTTGGCCTCTTGAAGTGCTTGGATTACAAGAGTGAGCCACGGCGCCTGTCCCCCTTTTCTTTCCTGCTTCCTCCACTTCACAGGCGTTACTACCCACTAAGACCTTCAACTAACATATGGCTTTCTATGCCCATCCCCTAGTGACTTTCTAAAAAAAAAAGTATGCATATTTCAGGATATCCCTTTTAAAAATTTTTTATTTAATATTTATTTATTTTTATTTTATTTTATTTATTTATTTATTTTTGAGATGGAGTTTTGCTCTTGTCACCCAGGGTGGAGTGCAATGGCATGATCGCGGCTCACTGCAACTTCCACCTCCCGGGTTCAAGTGATTCTCCTGCCTCAGCCTCCCAAGCAGCTGGGATTACAGGCGCCCACCACCATGCCTGGCTAATTTTTGTATTTTTAGTAGAGACAGGGTTTCACCATGTTGGTCAGGCTGGTTTCGAACTCCTAACCTCATGTGATCCGTCTGTCTTGGCCTCCCAAAGTGCTGGGATTACAGGTGTGAGCCACCACACCTGGCCTACTTTTATTTTTTTGAGACTGAGTCTCACTCTGTCACTCAGACTGGAGTGCAGTGGTGCAATCTTTGCTCACTGCAATATTCACCTCCCCAGTTCAAGCAATTCTCCTGCCTCAGCCTACCGAGTAGCTGGGATTACAGGCACCCATCACCACGCCCAGCTAATTTTTGGTCAGGCTGTCTCAAACTCTTGATCTCAGGTGATCCACCCACCTTGGCTCCCGAAGTGCTGGGATTACAGGCATGAGCCACCGTGCCTGGCCATCAGCTAATTCATATAGGTCTGAGGTTTGGGCACAGTGTAGCTGGGGTGTTTGCTCAGGGTCTCACCTTGCCATCAAGGTGTCAGCCAGCAGCCTTCATCTGGAGGCTCCACTAGGGGAAGATCCACTCCTGGTTTCCCTCAGGTTGTCAGAACTAATATCCTTGCAACTGTAGGACTAAGGCCCCAGTGGTTTTGATAGCTGTTGACTAGGGACCACTCCCAGCTCCTAGAGATCATTCTGTTATATTTGCAATGTGGCCTCTTCTCACACTTTAAATCTCTGACTTCCAAAAGGACTCAGGCCTTTTAAGGGCTCAACTGATTAGGTCAGATCCACCTAAGATAGTTTTTTAAAATTAACTCAAAGTCAACTGATCAGGGACCTTAATCATATCTGCAAAATCCCTCTTTTTGTATAAAGAAACATAATCATTATTGTGATATCTCATTATATTTGTAAGCCCACTCACACTCAGGCTGTGTACAACAGTGGGTGGGAATTTGGGGGCCATCTTAGCATCTGCCTTCTGCAATATAGCATGGCACAGTGGAGTGGCTAATAGAAAGGGCCCTGGGGGAGGCTGCAGGAGTTCAGGGCTGAGCATGATTTACGAGCCATGTGACCTAACCTCTTCATGTCTTGGTTCCTCCATTTGTGAAATGAGGGAGTGATAGGTACCTACCTTGTAGAATTACTAAGTCAATGCAGGTAAATCCCTTGAAAAAATTTCTGATGCTTAATAAGTGTTGACTCTTATTAATACAGTTTACCTAAGCATTTGTAAGAGTTATATATTCTGAGATGTTATTACTTTATCAAAGACTTAAAAGCAAGAAGTACAAACATAGTAGAATAAAGCTGGACACATTGGCTCACACCTGTAATCCCAGCATTCTGGGAAGCCGAGGCAAGAGGATAGCTTGAGCCCAGGATTTCAAGACCAGCCTGGGCAATACAGTGAGACCTCATCTCTTTTATTTTTTTATTTTTTTATTTTATTTTATTTTATTTTTATTTTTTTACTTTTATTTTTTATTATTATTATACTTTAAGTTTTAGGGTACATGTGCACAATGTGCAGGTTAGTGACATGTGTATACATGTGCCATGCTGGTGTGCTGCACCCATTAACTCGTCATTTAGCATTAGGTATATCTCCTAAAGCTATCTCTCCCCCCTCCCCCCACCCCACAACAGTCCCCAGAGTGTGATGTTCCCCTTCCTGTGTCCATGTGTTCTCATTGTTCAATTCCCACCTATGAGTGAGAATATGCAGTGTTTGGTTTTTTGTTCTTGCGATAGTTTACTGAGAATGATGATTTCCAATTTCATCCATGTCCCCACAAAGGACATGAACTCATCATTTTTTATGGCTGCATAGTATTCCATGGTGTATATGTGCCACATTTTCTTAATCCAGTCTATCATTGTTGGACATTTGGGTTGGTTCCAAGTCTTTGCTATTGTGAATAGTGCCACAGTAAACATATGTGTGCATGTGTCTTTATAGCAGCATGATTTACAGTCCTTTGGGTATATACCCAGTAATGGGATGGCTGGGTCAAATGGTATTTCTAGTTCTAGATCCCTGAGGAATTGCCACACTGACTTCCACAATGGTTGAACTAGTTTACAGTCCCACCAACAATGTAAAAGTGTTCCTATTTCTCCACATCCTCTCCAGCACCTGTTGTTTCCTGACTTTTTAATGATTGCCATTCTAACTGGTGTGAGATGGTATCTCATCGTGGTTTTGATTTGCATTTCTCTGATAGTCAGTGATGGTGAGCATTTATTCATGTTTTTTGGCTGCATAAATGTCTTCTTTTGAGAAGTGTCTGTTCATGTCCTTCGCCCACTTTTTGATGGGTTTTTTTTTTTCTTGTAAGTGTGTTTGAGTTCATTGTAGATTCTGGATATTAGCCCTTTGTCAGATGAGTAGGTTGCGAAAATTTTCTCCCATTTTGTAGGTTGCCTGTTCACTCTGATGGTAGTTTCTTTTGCTGTGCAGAAGCTCTTTAGTTACAAAAATTAATTCAAGACAGATTAAAGACTTAAACGTTAGACCTAAAACCATAAAAACCCTAGAAGACCTCATCGCTTTAAAACAAATTATTATTTAAAAAAATAGCAGAATGACATGTAACAACTCTGAGAAGCCATGGAAGAAATGCTAATTAGAGGAAATATCAAATAGTCTGTGAGACTCAAGTGGAACACCAAAATGACATAGAGTGAGAACATTGAAGGAGAAGAATGACTAGAAAAGGAGAGAGTAAAATGTTCTAGGACTAATCAGATGCAAATAATCCACCCACCATTGCTGACCTAGAAACAAGATACATACATCCCAAATTGTCTGTATAAATACGTTCTTCTTGTTCAAAAAAGAAATCTTTCTATATATTTAAGTGTTTCAATGATCATCTTAGTCTATTTTCTATTTTAGAATACCCAAAACTGGGAAATCTAGGAAGAAAAGGAATATTTTTCTTATAGTTATGGAGGCTGAGAAGTCCAAGGCCAAGGGGCTCCATCTGGTGAGGGCCTTCTTGCTAGTGAGGACTCTCTGCAGAGTCCCAAGGTGGCGCAGGGCATCACAGGGTGTGGGGCTGAGTGTGCTTGCTCAGTTCTGTCTTCCTCTTCTTATAACGACACCAGTTCCCATGATAACCCATTCATCCATTAATCCAGTAATGGGTTAATCCACTCACACAAGCAGGGCCCTCATGACCCAATCACCTCTTAAAGGCCTCCCCTCTCAGTACTGCCAAATTATTGGAGATTATATTTCAACATGAGTTTTGGAGGGAACAAATATTCAAACCATAGCAATGACTGGGAGAGTTTTCTTATTTCTTATTTATTTATTTATTGTTATTGTTGAGACAGGGTCTCACTCTATTGCCCAGGCTGGAGTGCAGTGGCACAATCACGGTTCATGGCAACCTCTATATTCCAGGCTCATGTGATCCTCCCACCTCAGCCTCCTGAGCAGCTGGGACTACAGGCAAATGCCACCATGCTGGTCTAACTCTTATGTGTTTTTTGTAGACATGGGGTTTCCCTATGTTTCCCAGGCTGGTCTCAAACTCCTGGGCTAAAGTGATCCTCCTGCCTTTGCCTCCCAAAGTGCTGGGGTTACAGATGTGAGCCATCATGCCCAGCTGGGACATAGGTTTGAGAAAACTTAATCTTCCAAAGCCTACATTTAGCCATTGACAATATACACTGTCCTCTTGGGAATTCGATTCTTGCTCTCCCTGTGGGTGCTTTTTATTTTGTTTACAATAAAATATATCAGAGATCAGCAAACTACAGTCTGTGGGCCAAATCCAGCTTTCTGCCTGTTTTTGTAAATAAAGTTTTATTGGAACACGGCCGTGCCTATTCATTTAGTATTGTCTGTGGTTGCTTACACAGCGCAACAGCAGAGTTGAGTAGTTGTGACAGAGCCCAAAGGCTTGCAAAGCCTAAAATATTTACTAGCTGGCCCTTTACAGAAAACAAATTACCAGACCCTGAAATATATTAATAAGTAAAATGCACCATCATATTAGCAACTATACAGATCTGCCAGAACAGAGCGTATAAGCCACATGATACAGAATTCAGCCCGTCTGTTAGAATTGTGGCCAAGGGAAGGCAGGCAAGAGGCAGCTTTGCAGCCCAGCCACAAAGGGCGAAAAACACAGAGTAAAAAATGAATCCAATTCTTCCTATTGCTAATACGGAAAGCTGGAAGTGCGGGTTGAGACGTCTCGTTTTCAAATCAGACTTCCTTCTCAAAAGATCGAAGACTTTAGTTAGGGCTCTTTGGATGGTAAGGAGCAGAGATCCCCTTGAGCCTACTCGTGTAAAGGTTTTGTTGGACCGCGGCTCACGGCGGTGAGCGGCGTGGAGAAGAAGCGTGGCCCTCTGGCTACCTCCCTTTCTCCAGGCCCCAGGACATCCTCCTTGGTTGGCACCCGCGGCCCCAGGCCTGGGTCCCGCCCGCGCGTCCCGCAGACCCCTGCTCTCAGCGCCTGGATCCTTCCAGGGTCTGTCTATGCTCAGGGCAGCCTGCGTGCAGCGACGCCGCCTCCAGAGCGCACCCCCTGGGCGGGAGCCAGGAGAATAAGGAGAAAACCTGAACAGGGCCTCTGTGGCTAAAGGAGGCCAGAAGGCCCCAGAGAAACCCGCGCCAGAGGAGGGCCCCCCAAGCGCTGAGGCCCACGCGCCGCCGCTGGCCCAGGAACTGGCCGAGTGCATGGAGCAGATGGTGCAGAAGCGCATCCTGAAACAGGGAGAGCAGGCTATTGCGGCAACCGAACCCTGGCAGCGAAGGAACTTCCTGCCCCGGAAGAGACAGGGTCTCCCAGGCTGTAGTGCATTGGTGCCATCTGGGCTCACTGCAGCCTTCACCTCCCGGGTTCAAGCGATTCCCCCACCTAGCCCCCTGAGTAGCTGGGATTACGGGGGTCTGCCACCACGCCGGGCTAATTTTTGTATTTTTAATAGAGATGGGGTTTCACCATGTGAAACCCAAGCTGGTCTTGAACTCCAGGGCTCAAGTGATCTGCCCACCTTGGCCTCCTAGAGTGCTGGGCTTACAGGTGTGAACCACCGACCCCAGCCATGTTCAATTTCTTTTTGTTTTTCCCTTATCCTGGAACGATCCCCCTCCCTCGGGGTGGCCTAGGGGCTTGTCTTGAGCACAGAGCCTTTCCAGGACTTCCCTTGGCAGAGAACCCTGGAGTTGGCCTGTCCCTGGCCAGACCCAGGGTCTGGGATTGTTGGGCAGGTGTGAGACTGTCAGAAGGGCACAAGACTCCATTTATTTGCTAATGAAATGTCCCTGCTGCCAGAAGGAAGAGAGGTATATTTAGAAAAAATACAATAAATTGAAGTGAGTATTCAGTGTGTTGCAGAAAGAATATTGTACTCCATCTTCAGGATTAGATTAAGTAGCTGTTGGTAACAAGGATTAGTGGGGAAGCTATATAATCAAACACTGCTTTTCACTTTTGAAAGGATGCCCTGTCAAATGGTTTAGTGCTTTATGCCATTATGTCACATTGACATAATAAATCTCTATTTTTGATAAAAATGGGATAGGATTTACAAGGTTTGAACTCTGGGATCCAAGACTAGAAAACACCATACTATGGTTGGAAACTTTGTGTCCTCCCCAAATTCACAGGTTGAATCTCTAACCCCCAAGATGATGTTGGGAGATGGGCCCTCTTGAGAGGTGATCAGTACTCTCATACAATTGGCCTGAGGGAGCTCATTCAAACACAGCAAAAAGTCATCATCAATGAATCAGAAACAGGCCCTTGCCAAACACCAGATCTGCTCATGCCTTATCTTGGACTTCCCAGCCTCCAGAAATATGAACAATACATTTCTGTCATTTAGAAGACATCAGTTGATGGTATTTTGTTGTAGCAGCCAAAATGGACTAAGACACATCACCAGGAATCTGGAACCAAAACTGTAGGAGCTGCGTGCCCGCAGTTCTGGCATCCTCCTTTATCCTACTCTTTGCTCATTTGCTTCCTCAGCCTACTTTCCTGATAGTTTTGACCTACAGATGACCTTGGCTTTTTCTTTGGCTAATTGCTGATGTTGCTTTTAAAATTAAAGTAATACATGCATAAGTAGAAAATGATTTCTTCCCCACTCTGGATCCCTAGTCCCCTCCACCAGGAAGCAATTTCTGTTAATAATTGTGTCTTAGACATCATCGCAGGTATTTTCTATGCATATATATCCCCATTCTGTATACAAATAAGGGCATGCAACATACATCTTTCCATTTTCACCAAAGTTTGATAAAAACTGTACCCCAAAACAGACGGGTTTATTATTTTACCTTCTTTGGCCAATGCAGAGTTCATATTAGAAAAAATCCAATAGAACCGTTTATATTTTTTCTGTAGTCTTATTCATTCTTTAGATTTTCTTTTTCTTTTTCCAAATCAGATGATCCCTTGGGAGGCATATTAAAGGGTTTAAAATTTAGATCATAAAATAAACCACTCATTTCCAATAAGTAATACAATACCACGCATTATTCAGACACACTGACCATGGTGTGTGTGGCAGGGAATGTTTTATGACTTAAAATTCACAGTGCTGTCATTCTTGCCCAAAACGAGACCAATTTCTACTTTGTGGTGGATATACAGCTGAGGTGTTCAAGAAATAGAGCATTTTCTATTGTTCTGTAGCCTATTTATTTATTTATTTTTTGAGACAGAGTCTTGCTCTGTTGCCCAGGCTGGAGTGCAGTGGCGCAATCTCGGCTCACTGCAGCCTCCGCCTCCTGGGTTCCAGCAGTTCTGCAGCCTCCGCCTCCCGGGTCGCTAGGATTACAGGGACGGACCACCACACCCAGCTAAGTTTTGTATTTTTTTAGTAGAGATGAGGTTTCACCATGTTTGCGAAGTTGGTCTCAAACTCCTGACCTCAGGTGATTGGCCAGCCTCTGCCTCCCAAAGTGCTAGGATTACAGGCGTGAGCCACCACACCTGGCCTATAACCCAATTTAACTTCTACCCAGGACCCCCAGTTGACTAAGGTTGTGGAAATGTGGCATTCTTCCCTGCCCTGGGGTATTGTCTAAGCCCCAGGGCTTCTGTAATACCAGGAAGTTGGGGTTTGTCCTCTATGTTGCCTACCAGGTGTCCACACAGCCATCCATCCACGTCTGCCTGGTCAGGTCCGGTGGACTGGTCCATGCTGTCGTGAATAGGGTCAGGGCTATTCTTCTGTGGCCTCCATTGCTGTGCACAGGCTTAGGAAGTAACTGTCACCCTCTGTGACCACATTCCCCTAGACGCCTATGTGTTCATTTCCTTTCTGGGGTTTTGCAACTTTCCCACACAGGGGAACACAGGCCTCCTATGCTCTCAGATCCTTTGCTTGCAACGTGTTTTCTTCCACAATGTCTATGGGAAAGCACTGGTTCCCATTATCCACATTCATCACTTTCCCTCTCTTCTCTTTTCTTGCCCCACCCAGTCTGCCAGCCCCTCAATCAAGGCCTCTTTTGCTTTTGTGTGGGATAAATGCAGGCAGGGGGTAGGGAAGGGCAAAGGTGAACCTTCTTCTACTACAGCGTTATTATTCTCTTCGCATTTCTTTTGGTCTTAGTTCTTTTGGTCTTAGTTCTTTTGGTCTTAGTTCTGCCCGGCTGGTCTTCTCCTTCACCTGTATCTGGTCCCATAGCAATTAGCCCTTCCTGTGACATCATGTAAAGAATAATCTAGGCTGGGAGTAGTGGCTCACAGCTGTTATCCCAGCACTTTGGGAGGCTGAGGCAGGTGGATCACCTGAGGTTCAGGAGTTGGAGACCAGCCTGGCCAACATGGTGAAATCCCATCTCTACTAAAAATACAAAAAAATTTGCCGGGTGTGGTGGCATGACCCGTAGTTCCAGCTACTCAGGAGGCTGAGGCACAAGAATCACTTGAAACCAGGAGGCAGAGGTTGCAGTGAGCCGAGATCACGCCACTGCACTCCAGCCTGGGAAACAGAGTGAGTCTCCGTTTTCAAAAACAAACAAACAAAACAAAACAAAAACAGTAAAGAATAATCTAGTAGAAATGCGCTACCTGGTGTGCATTTAATTTTCCTGAGGGCTCTATGTCCTAAAGTTTGATCTTCTTTCTGTCCCATGTCATAAGGTTAGAACGCGCAGGGTTTTGGCAAGCCTGAAGCAGAGGGCATAGATTCTGTTCTTTGTCTGTCCTGAGAAGAGAAGCCCTAAGGAGGGCAGCTCAGATGGCCCAGGTGGGAGGCGGAGCCACCGGGTCCAGAAGGTGGCCTGGATCAAGCCTTTAGTCTCAGGAGATAGAGTAGTTTCAGGTGGGGCATGGGAGGTGCCTGTGTCTCGCAGGCTCACACTGGTCCTCTCTCCCTGCTGGACAACTGGCCTTTGTGATTTCCTGCCTCTGACCCCACTTTCCAGATACTTCTGTACCAACTCCCACTGACCATAGACAGATGGATATAAAAGATCATGAGTCCAAGACATAATGTGTATGGCTCTTGATTTAGGGCTGTAAGATGTCGGGGATAGGGGATAATTTAGAAATACTTAAAACAAAAACAATTTTATTATAATAAATACGGACTAAAGTGGGATATACATTCTATTAGGCTGAAAAAAAATCAGGTCCTTTTTTTGCTGTCTAGTGTTATTACAGATGAAGTTTTTAGGAAAGAAGTGAAAACGTACAGTTTTGCTTAAGGCACAGACGTTAGAAAGTCAGTGTCCAACATAGCCTGAACAGTTGGGATGTGGACGACTACGACACGCTCAGGTGCCACCTGTGGTCAGAATGCAGGAGTGCACTCTCAGTTGTGTTTGTGCCGCTCTGCCTGGAGCAGGCTCTGTCATTTTCGCAGCAAAGTTTCACATCTCTCTAGCTGTGCTGTTACTATGGTGAAGGAGGCAGTAAAGGCACTCATCTGTTTCCCTCTTTCAACACCATTGATCATGCTTCATCATCTGAGAACTGATGTTTTCTAGCCACCATTACACCTCAAATTTAGGAAAACACCAAGCATGTAATTCAAAGTTGCTAAGAGGCTGTGTGGGTGGATCACTTGAGGCCAGGAGTTCGAGACCAGCCTGATCGACATGGCCAGACCCCGTCTCTACTTAAAATACAAAAATTAGCTGGGCGTCTTGGCACACGCCTGTAGTCCCAGCTACTCAGGAGGCTGAGACAGAAGAATTGCTTGAGCATGGGAGGCGGAGGTTGCAGTGAGCCAAGATTGCATCACCGCACTCCAGGCTGGGTGACAGAGCAAGATTGTTAAAAAAAAAAAAAGTTGCTAAGACTTCATAAGACTGGGACCACAGGGACTGGTTGGAAAGTGACTTTGTTTCTTGCCCTGAGTAGTGTTGTATCAAGAACCCCAAATTTTGGCTGACAGCTTCGAGAGTATCATTTTAAAAGTAGAACACTTACAATAAGATGGTGTTGGGCCAGGCGTGGTGGCTCACACCTGTAATCCCAGCAGTTTGGGAGGCCGAGGGAGGTGGATTGCTTAAGGCCAGAAGTTCCAGAGCAGCCTGGGCAACATCGTGAGACTCCCATCTCTACAAAAAAATTTAAAAAATTATTATTTCATTGTAGAAATGTGTAAAGTAATGGCTTTAAGCTTGTTTTATATAAGGTTTGTACAAGGTTCATTTTGCTTCATGTCATTAGTGATTTTCTTTTTCTCTTTATGACATTTTGAAGGAAATCATTTAGACCAAGAAGGTATTTGATATTCTAGATCAGGACTGGGAAATTCGATGCACTGCAGAGAGACACGTGTGGGGCAAGCTGGATGTTGTACAATTTGGATGGAAGAGGACTGTGGTGTTCTGGAGGGCCCATAAGTCAGCTCGATGAGGAACGCTCTTTTCAGGTCCAGCTAGTTGTAGCCATATGGAAATGTGAGCCCCAGGTTGCCAGAACTGCTGTTTCAAGAGAATATAGAAATCCAGATTTTCATGTAAAATTGTTTGATTTTTTTTAAGTTATATGGGACTTACTAAAATAAACCTGTGTGCCCAATTTGGCCTGTGGGTTGCCAGGTTGTGACTTTTATTTTAGACTTTCTGGTTTATACTTCTTTTGTTATAAAAGTGAAAGCATGAGACTCCATAGGTAAGTTTTGGCAGCTTATATCAAATAAATACAGACAGTAGAGAGATTATTTTTAATCCAGTGAGCAATTAAAACTCCTTCCAAATGGTGGCACTGTTGGTATCTTTCTTCAGAGAATAAGCATAGAGCAAACATTTGCGCTGAAAGAAATTTGCACATGGAGAAAATGCCTTTTAGAAAAGGACATGAATGACAAGAGCTGCGGAAGGAGCCTTGGAAAATCAGAATGCATTCCAGGCACTAAATGCAGAGGAAATGCCTCCAAGGGTATTGGTGGGATATGATATTTTTTCTTTTTATTCTTTTTTTTTTTTTTTTTGACATAGAGTCTCACTCTGTTGCCCAGGCTGGAGTGCAGTGGTGCGATCTTGGCTCACTGCAAGCTCCACCTCCCAGGTTCACGCCATTCTCTTACCTCAGCCTCCTGAGTAGCTGGGACTACAGGCACCTGCTACCACACCCTGCTAATTTTGTTTTTGTATTTTTAGTAGAGATGGGGTTTCACCGGGTTAGCCAGGATGGTCTCGATCTCCTGACCTTGTGATCTGCCCGCCTTGGCCTCCCAAAGTGCTGGGATTATAGGCATGCGCCATTGCACTCGGCCAGGATATTTTTTCTTTATAATTTACACTTAATTTAAAACAAGCCTTGGCAAATTAGCAAATGTTCTATTGATTTATTATTAGTCATTTGTTTGTTTGTTTTTGAGACAAAATCTTGCTCTGTAGCCCAGGCTGGAGTGCAGTGGCACAATCTCAGCTCACTGTAACCTCTGCCTCCCAGGTTCAAGCGATTCTCCTGCCTCAGTCTCCGAGTAGCTGGGATTACAAGCATGCACCACCACACCTGGCTAATTTTGTATTTTCAGTAGAGATGGGGTTTCACCATGTTGGTCAGGCTAGTCTTGAACTCCTGACCTCAAGCAATCCATCCTCCTCAGCCTCCCAAAGTGCTGGGATTACAAGTGTGAGCCACCATGCCCGGCCTTTATTATTAGTCTTTTTTTTTTTTTTTTTTTTTTGAGATGGGAGTCTTCTGTTGCACAGGCTAGAGTGCAGTGGCGCGATCTTGGCTTACTGCAACCTCTGCCTCCTGGGTTCAAGCAATTCTCCTGCCTAAGCCTCCTGAGTAGCCGGGATTACAGGCACCTGCCACTGCGCCTGGCTAATTTTTGTATTTTTAGTAGAGATGTGGTTTCACTATGTTGGCCAGGCTGGTCTTGAACTCCTGACCTCATGATCCATCGCCTTGGCTTCCCAAAGTGCTGGGATTATTATTAGTCTTTTTTAGCATACCTTAAACTTGCAGTTGCTTCACAATCATTTTTGTTGTTCTTCAAGAAATGATAAAAATAAGGGATCCTAGATTCCACGTTCTGCTTTTTAAAAATAAAATAATGAATAAAGCGCCAAAGCCTAGAAGACAATGGGATTGTAAATAGCAAACATTAGGACCATGTGACCTTGAACCATTTGAGAGGAATAACATGGCTCTTCTCATTAAAATTACAAAATAGGCTGGGTGCAGTCGCTCACGCCTGTAATCCTGGCTCTTTAGGAGGCCAAGGCAGGAGAATCACTTGAGACCAGGAGTTTGAGATCAGCCTGGGCAACATAGCAAGACCTCCTCTTTACAAAAATTAACAATAATAAAATTTAGAAGGCTGGACATGATGGCTCATGCCTGTAATCCCACACTTTGGGAGGCCAAGGTGGGTGGATCACTTGAGCCCAGGAATTCAAGACCAGCCTGGGCAAAATGGTTAAACCCCATCTCTATTTATTTATTTGAGACGCAGTTTTGCTGTTGTCACCCAGGCTGGAGTGCAATGGCATGATCTCGGCTTGCTGCAACCTCCGCCTCCCGGGTTCAAGTGATTCTCCTGCCTCAGCCTCCCGAGTAGCTTGGAGTACAGGCGCCTGTCACCACACTTGGCTAATTTCTGTATTTTTAGTAGAGACAGGATTTTACCATGTTGGCCAGGCTGGTCCTGAACTCCTGACTTCAGGAGATCCACTCGCCTTGGCCTCCCAAAGTGCTGGGATTACAGGCGTGAACCACCCTGCCCGGCTCTCTATTTATGTAAAAAAAAAAAAATTCTTGTTTTACAATTTTTTTTTTGAGACAGCATCTTGCTCTGTCTCCCAAGCTAGAATGCAATGGTGCTGTCTCAGCTTACTGCAACCTCTGCCTCCTGGGTTCAGGAGATTCTCCTGCCTCAGCCTCCTGAGTAGCTGGTACTAAAGGTGCGTGCCACCACACCCAGCTAATTTTTGTACTTTTTTGGTACAGACGGGGTTTCACTATGTTGGCCAGGCTGGTCTTGAACTCCTGACCTTGTGATCCGCCCACCTCAGCCTCCCAAAGTGCTGGGATTACAGGCGTGAGCCACCGTGTCCGGCCAATTTTTTTTTTTTTTTTTGAGACAAGGTCTCAGTTTGTTGTCCAGGCTAGAGTACAGTGGTGTGATCATGGCTCACTGTAACCTCCACCTCCTGGTTCAAGCGATTCTCATGCCTCAGCCTCCTAAGTAGCTGGGATTACAGGCGCCCACCACCACACCTGACTAATTTTTGTATTTTTGTAGAGATGAGGTTTCACCATGTTGGCCAGGCTGGTCTTGAACTCCTGACCTCAAGTGATCTACCTGCCTTGTCCTCCCAAAGTGCTGGGATTACAGGTATGAGCTACTGTACCTGGCCTATTTTAAAATTATTTTTTTAAAAAAGAAGGAAAATACTAGGTGTGGCCCATATAGGGTGAGATGGAGGTTAAGCTCCACTTCCTGGCGGGGAGCATCAACATGCATTCTTCTTCGAGGAAGATTTGTCTCTTCTATTTATTAATCTTTTCCGTCATAAATAAATTATGATCTTCTGGGACGCAGTGTATGGACGCAAGTGTATTTATGTTATATTTTAGGTTATAGTCCAGTACTATCATTATTTTGTTGCTCAGATTATTCCAGCTTCGGCTGTTGGAGTTCTTTCCGGTTGGCCCTGGGGTCCCTGTGACCTGCCCACACGCCCCGATCTTTTTTGTTTTTTAAGCTCTTTTAAACTTTCTGGCATTGCAAGATGCTCCAGGCTTATCTTGTATTTGCCTTGCTCTACTTCTAGCATCAACCATTTCTCCAAGGAGCCCTGGTTCCTTTCATTGGAGAACACTGTTTAGCAAACAAGACTTGATATTGGCTGTGGTCATCACTACTGAGGCCCGCTCAGTGGGCAGAGCTGGGAAAAATGTACATGCATACCAACCCATGCATGCACACAAATCTATGATTATTTCTGTATCTAGGTGTTTGTGTCTATATTAAGCTAAAAATGAGCTCAGACTCATGTTAACCATCCTGTCTACTGTGTTCCTGTACAACAAGGACGTGAGCTTCCTATTTTCCAACATGGTCAAGGAAAGCAGTGTCCTGGTTCATCAACTCTTCTAGACAAATGAGTTACCAGATGTGACTTTTGTGTATGATCAATTTGCCAATAATTAAACTATAACGTTAAAATAATTTCTTTTATTTATTTATTTTTTTGAGACAGAGTCTCACTCTGTCGCCCAGGCTAGAGTGTGGTGGCTCGATCTTGGCCCACTGCAACCTCCGCCTCCCAGATTCAAGGGATTCTCCTGCCTCAGCCTCCCAAGTAGCTGAGATTACAGGCGCACGCCACCATGCCCGGCCAATTTTTGTATTTTTAGTAGAGACGAGGTTTCACCATGTTGGCCAGGCTGGTCTCAAACTCCTGACCTCAGGTGATCCGCCAGCCTTGGCCTCCCAAAGTGCTGGGATTACAGGCGTGAACCGCCACACCTGGCCTAAAATGATTTCTATGAAAATAGCAAACCTTTATATAGCACCTATTATGTGCCCAGAATGTATATTTATTCACTCATATAATCTTTGCAATCTTTCAAGTAGGTACTGTTATTATTCCAGTTTTACAGCTGAGGAAACTGAGATACAGAGAGGTTAATGTGCCTGCTATAGTTATGCAGCAAGTGGCAGAGCAGCCTGATGTCAGAGTCCACTCACTCCGCCTCCTTGGCAAGCTTCGTCTTTCTTTGAGGATTCAGGAGACACCTCAGAGTCATGATTCTGCGTATCAATTCTAAGTATTCTGCAGATGCATGACCAAGGTTATGGTTTATTGAACATCAAGTAACCAAGAGTTTTACTTTCTTTTTTGTTATATGGAGTTGTCATATTTTCCACAACGGGCACCTATTAATTTTATATTAAGAAAAAATGTAAACATTATACACACATTTAGAATAACAGGAGCTGTCTACTCCTCCCCACCTAGAGGTTCTCCCTCTATTTCCAATACTGGAAGATCAGGGTTTAATTTTATGAAGGTAGGGCAGGGCATGGGAGGTTCACTCGTGTAACTCCAGCACTTTGGGAGGTTGAGACAGGAGGATTGCATGAGCCCAGCAGTTCAGGACCAGCCCGAACAACATAGGGAGATCCTATCTCTACAAAAAAATGTGAAAAATTAGCTGGGTATGGTAGCAGGCGCCTGTGGTCCCAGCTACTTGGGATGCTGAGGCAGGAGGATTGTTGGAGCCAGGAGGTCAAGGCTGCACTGAGCTGTGCTCGTACCACTGCACTTCTGGGCAACAGAGTGAGACCCTGTCTCAAAAAAAAAAAATTGTGCTAAGGTAAAAAGTAAGTTTTTCTTATACTTGACAATATTTTCTTCTTTTGTGTGTGTGTGTGTGTGTGTGTGTGTGTGTGTGTGAAAAAGAACCTTGTATATATCTCATTTCCCTTTGGCTGTCAGGAAGCTCCATGTAACAATTACACGGTTTTTTTTTGGACAGAGTCTTGCTCTGTTGCCCAGGCTGGAGTGCAGTGGTGCAATCTCAGCTCACTGCAACCTCCACTTCCCAGGTTCAAGCAATTCTCCTGCCTCAGCCTCCTGAGTAGCTGGGATTACAGGCGTGTGCCACCACACTCAGCCAATTTTTGTATGTTTAGTAGAGATGGGGTTTCACCATGTTGGCCAGGCTGATCTCGAACTCCTGACCTCTTGATCCACCCACCTTGGCCTCCCAAAGTGCTGAGATTACAGGTGTGAGCCACTGTGCCCAGCCAATTACACAGGTTTTTATGGCCTACTCTAAATTTTTTTTGGTCTTAATTTATACTACTTAAAAAAAATAATGACTCTATGGGTTTCAGAAGATGATACAATGAACTAATGTGGATCCCCCTCTTCCTGCCAATAATAAATTTAAAAATATATTTTTTAGGCCAGGCACGGTGGCTCACGCCTGTAATCCCAGCACTTTGGGTGGCTGAGGTAGGCGGATCACTTGAGGTCAGAAATTAAGACTAGCCTGGCTAATATGGTGAAACCCTGTCTCTACTGAAAATACAAAAATTAGCCAGGTGTGGTGGCATGCACCTGTAATCCCAGCTACTTGGGAGGCTGAGGCAGAGGTTGCAGTGAGCCGAGATTAGGCTACTTGGGAGACAAAGCAATCTAGCCTGGGAGACAAAGCAAGACCCTGTCTTAAAAAAATTATATATATTTAAAAGTTCAAATCCATGGCCAAGCCATAAAGAAGAGAATTTCCCAGGTACCAGCCATGAAGGGCAGCTTGCACCAGAGTGGTACCCATGCGAGCTGGTGCCATGATGGCTTAGGGAGATAGTGGCCTAGATATCGGCCCAGATGGCTTATTAGCCATGGTGGGATAGGAGACCCAGCCTCCAGCGTGCAAATGGTGGGGAGCTGTAACTGGCCTCTGCTAAAATCTGAGGCCTGGAATGGCGGGACCACTGTGTCCAGGGGACTGAAAAACATTGCCTTCCTACCCAAGCATAGGAGTTAATTTTGCCATGGCTCTGGGTGAGAAAAGAAAAAAAGCTTCCTTGAGACTTTGAACCCCCAAACCTGTACCACACAAGGATGTGGAATCCAAATGGACTCTTCCTGCTTGCTGTGGCCATAAGGAGCCAATAAATAAACATGAAAACGAATCATAGTGTGGTGAAATACTGGGGTCCTGAGCAGAAGCAAACCTAGAGCTGCTCTATGGGGCCGTTTCCACATGCCAGAGCTCACGGGACACATGCTTGTGCACACACATGCACACACACGCGCGCATGCACAGGCACGCATGCACCCGCACACGCGCACACGTGCATACACACACGCGCACACACACGCACACATGCACACACACACGTGCTCACGAACACACACGTGCTCGCGAACACACACGCACACACATACACACACACATGCATATACACACTCACACATGAGAAAGATGCACTGGTATGAGAAATGGACCCACCATCAGAGGGGATCAGCAGACACAGCATCAAAAGGATGAGTGCCCTTGAGAATTTGAGATAATTGAACACTGTGAAGAATGACCGTATGGAAAAAGAATAGTCAGGTTTGCTGCAACACAGGAATCTCCGATTGAAGAAGCACTGTGAATGCTGAGTAGAAGGCATAAAACTTGGTGCACCCTTGAGGTATTTGTTTTGTCAATTCAGATTTTAATAAATTGAGTGTTCAAGTGGGGCCCACAGTACACAAATGGTGCTATCTGGAAGGCTTTGAGAACACCTTCGACCAGCCTTGACAAAACAGGTCACTGCTCTCCACAGGCCTGGATGAGGACTCAGGCTGCTGAAACTCCTTCTATCTTGGAGCATTCCCCACAGTCCCTGTTCCCAAGGGCTTGGTGGTCCACTGCATGTGTTCTCCTCCTGGTCTACACAGGACGCTGGATTGAAAGGTGGTGGGTTCACATGGGAGGAAGGAGTAAAGGAGCTGAAAATGAGTACTTGGTGGAGTGACATATCCAAGCTCACATGACAGCTTCCTGCAAGGAGCTGTGGCTGACAATAGGTGGATCATCCTAATGAGGCGGGAGAGAGGCACTCCCAGTCACCACTGCCACCAACAGGCTTCACGGACTGGTCCACCGGGTTAACGAAAGCAAACACTGAAACTGAGAATCGGAAAGTCGAGGGTGTGTGCTGGAGAACTCTTCTGCCAGAAACACTTTCCTCAAGAGGAGATGACTTTTGCAAGCAGACAGAACACCACACCACACAGGCCACACAGCATGTAGTGAAGGGCTGTGCAGCAATTAGCTGGTTGACTCAATACCTGGAGACAGTATGACCTGCCACTTGTTCTCCTGTTCATCCTACAACACACGGCTGCAAAGTCTCCTCCTGTGAAACCTTTCTGCCTGTCCCCGCCTCCAACTCAGTTGTGCCTCTTCCTCAGTGTGTGATTGGTTTATATCCACATAGTATCTGTATGGACTAAAAGGCCACAGTGGCTAAATGCTCCGACAGTGACCCTGAGCATCTTTGGCCCCTGGGGCCAGCAGAGGCCTGGGCCTGGAATAGGGGCTCAGTAAAAGGTGTGGAGATGAGCAAGGCATCAATTCCACATCCCACATGTTACTCAACCAGGGCCAGATGAGCAAGGATTAAGTCAATTGCACTAACCAAACTTGATACACGCATCATCTTGATGCCATTCAGGCAAACCACAATTCAGTGGAAAAGGGTCGAACAGCCTGCCTGCCTGCCTGCCTGCCTGCCTGCCTGCCTGCCTGCCTTCCTTCCTTCCTTCCTTCCTTCCTTCCTTCCTTCCTTCCTTCCTTCCCTCCCTTCCTTTCCTTTCTTTTCTCTCTTTCTTTCTCTCTCTCTTTCTTCTCTCTCTGTTGACCAGCCTGGAGTGCAGTGGTGCCATCTGGGCTCAAGGCAACCTCTGCCTCCCATGTTCAAGCGATTTCTCCTGACTCAGCCTCCCGAGTAGCTGGGATTACAGGCACCTGCCACCACCCCTGGCTAATTTTTGTATTTTTAGTAGAGAAGGGGTTTCACCATGTTGGCCAGGCGGGTCTTGAACTCCTGATCTCAAGTGATCTGCCCGCCTTGGCCTCCCAAAGTCCTGGGATTACAGGCATGAGCCACCGTGGTCAGCCTCTTTCTTTAAAAAAAAAAATTTTTTTTTTGAGATGGCATCTCGCTTTGTTGCCCAGGCTGGAGGACAGTGGCACAATCTTGGCTCACTGCAACCTCTACCTCCTGGGTTCAAGTGATTCTCCTGCCTCGGCCTCCCAAGTAGCTGGGACTACAAGCATGCCACCACACACAGCTAATTTTTTTTTTTTTGGTATTTTTAGTAGAGACGGGGTTTCATCATGTTTACCAGGCTGGTCTCGAACTCCTGACCTCAAGTGATCCACCTGCCTTGGCCTCCCAAAGTGCTGGGATTACAGGTGTGAGCCACTGCACCCAGCCAGCCTTTTTCTTTTTTTAAGTTAAGGTCTTGCTCTCGTCACCCAGGCTGGGGTGCCGTGGTACGATCATAGCTCGCTGCAGCCTGGAACTCCTGGGCTCAAGGGATCCTCCCACCTCAGCCATGCCTGGCTGTTTTCAAATTTTTGTAGGGGAAGTCTTGCTATGTTGCCTGGGGTGGTCTTGAACTCCTGGTCTCAAGCGATTCTCCCAGCTCAGCCTCCTAAAGTGCTGGGACTATAGGAATGAGCTATCATGCCCAACCCAGACAGGTTTCTTAACATGGTGTAGAAGAGTTAATTCATGGAAAGTTCTACTCTTTATTCAATTGTTTTGGCATCATTTATACTGCTGATATTTTATCTGCCTTTTCCAGATTTAAAAATAAATTCTGGCCAGGCATAGTGGCTCACATCTGTAATCCCAGCACTTTGGGAGGCCAAGGCGGGTGGATTACCTGAGATCAGGAGTTCGAGACCAGCCTGGCCAACAGGGTGAAACCCCATCTCTACTAAAAATACAAAAATTACCCAGGCGTGGTGGCAGGTGCCAGTAATTCCAGCTACTTGGGAGGCTGAGGCACGAGAATCGCTTGAATCCAGGAGGCAGAGATTGCAATGAGCCGAGATCATGCCACTGCATGCCAGCCCGGGTGACAGAGTGTCACTCTGCCTAAAAAAAAAAAAAAAACCTTCAAGTCTTAAAAAAAATATCTTTTCTGGCCAACTCAGCAGGAAAGAGGCTCAACAGGAGAGCCAGCCATTTATTTTTAAATGTTTAAGTATGGCTATATAACTATATATATATTTTTATAGAGCATTTAAACATTTACTTTTGCCACTAAGTTATTGCTCCTTAAGGCTTTCTGTGAGCGATAGTTGAACACAATAGGGTTATAGTGTTTTAATAGAGAGAAATACAGTCTTTATGAAATAAGCTACTGTTTAGATAGACTCTTTGGCTTAGTAAAAGTGGTTCTTATCTAAAGCTCAGTTTCTGAATCGGGAAAGGCATTTGTTAGAAGCGTCATCTAGCACGCTTCAGTGCTGGAAACAGAAGCTGGGCAAGAACATAAAAAATCCATTTATAAACTCAATGAGTCTTCTTTTCATAAGTAGCAACTTGTCTCCTGAATTGGTTGAGACTCAGTTCTGACTGTAGACATAGTTCTGCTCTAGAAAGCTCTGACATGATTCCAGTCTATTAGTGCCTTGGAGGGCACAGAACTGTACCTTTAATGCAGCTCTTGGTCTAATCTTCCTGCCAGAAAGGAACCTGCAGAACTCCAGGAACCAAAATTGCTGCTGTAAAATTGGAGGTTGACTAGGAAAATGCCTTTTCCTATCAAGTCACGTGTGCTGGGGTAAGAAACGTATGAAATGTCTTTCTGTGCAGGGTGAGATGATAGGGGCTCAATTTCTGCCTCTAGAAGGTTATAGTGTGAGAAGCGCACAGGGCTGAAGGGGTCTGCAGTGTTCGTAGTCATGGAATAAGTGCTCTTTTAGAATAGAGAGATTTCGTCAGTAAATAAAGGACGTTATATATTGAGGTGCCAAAAGGCTTGATTTGAAATAACATCAGGCATAATTTATGAGTTAGCCACTGACTTGTTAGCCTATTGTATAAAGCCAGAGGTTAAACTGGGCCAAGGCCACAAACAGCCTCATAGGGCCATTTTGTTTGGATTTAGGGAAACAATGGCTTCCTATAAATGGTTCTTAAATGTAGCTGATCTTCAGAGTTGCCCAGGAAACTTTTAAAACACAAATTCTCAGGCCCGTTCCCAGATGTACTGAATGAGGAGTGGGAGGATGAGGTCCAGGAACCCTGAGTTTGGGATTCAGGTCACTGGATGGGACCTTGGAGAAAGAATTTAGGCCAGGCAGATCTGGTTTTCAATCTTGCCTGTGTGACCTTGAGCAACTGTCTTGACTGTTCTGAGCTTCAGAACCTTTAAGAAGAGTAACTTTGGAGTGAGTTGATGAGACAGCACATGTCAAGTGTCTCAGAGGATTGGCATCAAGGATGCTTTGCTCCAGCAAATGATGCCACTGACGCCACCGCCCTTTGGGATTTCTGTGGACATGATGCCCAAGTAAACCATAATCAGATTGCCACATAGCAGGTCAGGCCACTGGCTGAATCTCAGAGAGGAAGTGTTTGACATCCTGGTTCTTTCTGATAACCTCCAATTGAACCTAATTAAATGTGTGTCCACCCACTCAAAAGCCAACAGCAGGCCAGGCATGGTGGCTCAGGCCTGTAATCCCAGCACTTGGGGGGGCCGAGGCAGGCAGATCACTTCAGGTCAGCAGTTCAAGACCAGCCTGGCCAGCAAGGTGAAACCCTGTCTCTACTAAAAATATAAAAACTAGCTGGGTGAAGTGGTGGGCGCCTGTAATCCCAGCTACTCAGGAGGCTGAGGCAGGAGAATTGCTTGAACCCAGGAGGCAGAGGTTGCAGTAAGCCGAGATCGTGTCACTGCACTCCAGCCTGGGTGACAGAGCAAGACTTTGTCTCAAAAAAAAAAAAAAAAAAAAAAAAAAAAAGGCCAAGAGCAGGTGGATGGAACCAGTTGAGCAGCCTGGTGTAGGCCTTGGGGCTTCCAATTCACTTGAGGGACATCTCTTGCCCTGGGTCCCCTAAACATGCGATAATCATGCTTTGTGCTTGTAAGCCTCAATATCTCCAAGGCTCACTGGCTTCTCACTATAATTGGGTGAGGGGATTGCCTGTAGGCGATGTCCCCCAGACAGCTCCTGGCTGGCCTGGATCTTCTTCAGCGATCAGAAACTAAGGGAAATCAGGGGCATTTGGAGGCACAGGTTAAAATGGCTGAGCTTCCTGGATTGACAATTGTACTGGACGCTTGGAAGGAACAGCATTATTCCCTCCATAATAGCTTTTATTTATTTAGTGTTTGCTTTGTGCCAGGCATTTTTTTTTTTTTTTTTTGAGACAGTCACCTTGCTCTGTCACCTAGGCTGGAGTGCAGTGGTGCAATCTCAGCTCACTGCAACCTTCACCTCCCGGGCTCAGGTGATCCTCCCACCTCAGCCTCCTGAGTAGCTGGGACCAAGGCATGTGCCACCAGGCCCAGCTGATTTCTGTATGTTTTTGTAGAGACGGGGTTTCACTATGTGACCCAGGCTGATCTCAAACTCCTGGGCTCAAGCAATCCTCCCATCTCAGCCTCCCAAGTAGCTGGGACTACAGGCGTGTGCCACCAGGCCCAGTTAATTTTTGTATTTTTAGTAGAGATGGGGTTTCACCATGTTGGCCAGGATGGTCTCGATCTCTTGACCTCATGATCTGCCCACCTCAGCCTCCCAAAGTGCTGGGATTACAGGTGTGAGCCACAGCGCCCAGCCCCATTTTTAATTTAACTTTTTATTTATTTATTTTTAATTTTCTTTTGAGACAGAGTCTCACTCTGTCACCCAGGCTGGAGTGCAGTCGTGCTGTCTCGGCTCCCTGCCACCTCTGCCTCCCGGGTTCAAGGGATTCTCCTGCCTCAGCCTCCCAAGTAGCTGGGATTACAGGTGCGCGCCACCATGCCCAGCTATTTTCTTGTATTTTTAGTAGAGATAGGGTTTCACCATTTTGGCTAGGCTGGTGTCGAACTCCTAAACTCAAGTGATCCACCTGCCTTGGCCTTCCAAAGTGCTAGGATTACAAGCATGAGCCACTGCACCCAGCCTAGTTTAAGTTTTTAAATGGAATTTTAAAAATATACACACAGGGAAATTCAGTGAAAGGAATGATACATACACTTCAGAGGGATGAGGGAGCCATCAGTCACTGGCCAAAGGCTGTTGCTGGAGAGTTCTAACTTCCTGGCATCTCCAGTCTGCCTTGCCTAGGAAGAATGGCTTTCCCTGTCTTCCTTGTACAGATCCTGGTGGTTAGGCGTGTGCCAATGCCATGGACAAGGTCAGTCCTGTGGCATGTGGGTCAGGCACCAGCAGCATCTGCTATAGAGGCTGAGGGTGAGGGAAGTGTCTCAAAACAGACACAGGTAGGTGATTGTAGGTTTCTGGGTTTTGCACTGGAAGGTTGGGGAATCCTTCCTTGAGACAGAGAGCACCGGAGGGGTAATCGGGAGGGGCAGGTGGGGGAAGCGCCTGAGTTTGGTTTGAACGTGTTGAGTTGGGCTCATCCACATGGAGATGTCAAGATGGCAGATGGAGTTTTGGGTCTCAGGCTCAGGGAAAAGGTCAGCAGTTTGAGATCAGCCTGGCCAACATAGCAAAACCCTGTCTCTACTAAAAATACAAAAATTAGCCGGGCGTGATGTCGTGCACCTGTAGTCCCAGCTACCTGGGAGGCTGAGGCAGGAGAATCACTTGAACCAGGGAGTCAAAGGTTGCAGTGAGCCAAGATCATGCCACCATACTCCAGCCTGGGCAATAGAGTGAGACTACATAAAAAAAAAAAAAAAAGAAAAAGAAAAAGAAAAAGAAAAAAAGAAACCCTCTGACTCCTCACCTTTAGGGTGGCTTAGATCTCAAAGACTGTCCACAGAGTTTCCTTATCTTCCTTATATTGGCTCACAGAGGACCACTGACTACATTTGCTCAACACAAGATCCCTCAAACTATTTAATATTTGGTCAGCATAAAATCTTTAGAATTCCTTTGCCAATGCTATATTGGCAAAGTTTTTATCTGACCAAGACATTCTAAAGCATGAGTATATAATGGCTCATTAACATTCTGCTAACACTGATCAGTACCTACTTACATCTAAGACATCTTGTGAATCCAGTGAATAAAAGCACGCCCATCATAACAGCAGCGAGGCACATCTGGAAGATGAGGAATCCGTAATGCATTATCTTGTATCATTGAAAGTCCAAGGATCTTGATCCATGGACAATCATAAATCCAGAGGCTGGGCCTGGCACGGTGGCTCACGCCTGTAATCTCAGCACTTTGGGAGGCCGAGGCAGGCAGATCACCTGAGGTCGGGAGTTTGAGACCAGCCTGACCAACATGGAGAAACCCTGTCTCTACTAAAAATACAAAAATTAGCCAGGCGTGGTGGCGCATGCCTGTAATCCCAGCTACTCAGGAGGCCGAGGCAGGAGAATGGCTTGAACCTGGGAGGCAGAGGTTGCAGTGGGCCGAGATCACGCCATTGCACTCCAGCCTGGGCAACAAGGGCGAAACTCTGTCTCAAAAACAAACAAACAAACAAACAAACAAACAAACAAAGCAGAAAGAGGCTACCAGCAGCCTGACAGGTGAGGTGGACACTTCACCCCTTCAGGCCTCTGGGTTTGAACCATCAGGTAGAAGGGAGGCTGGAGCCATCCATTCCCCAGGCTTCTCCTATAAATGAACTCTGGTTCAGCGCTGCCCCCAGTCCTGTCCTGGCCTTGGTAGGAGCAGAGAACAGATGGTCTAAAACCCATCACGGTCAGGCTGACCTCCCACCGCCTCCCTCCACACACATGGCCCCCAGCTGGGGTAGAGGCAGAAGGAGTGGGAGAGAGAGGTTCTAAAATATGTGTACAAACATTGAAATTGTTTTTCCATCCTTATCTCCAGTTTCTGTTTCATGGGTCTTTCTGTGGAAATAAAACTCTAAGTTTACTGGTGGTTATTAAAACAATGAATTTCCTCCTCCAATGGAGACAAGTGCAATGGCTGGACTTTTAGTGTCTAATTACCAGGAGCAGTTAAAGTAGCTTAGTAAGTGGGTGTCCAGATGACTTAGGTGTTCTTGCATATTTCAATATCTATTTAAAGAAAGGGTGCCCAGCCTCCATTAACATCCAGAGATTCTCCTAGAAGCCACCCTATTTCCCATCATTAAGGTCAATCTGAGTTTCCAAACAAAGAGCAGGATAAATGAATTGGACCTGCCAGGCCCAGGAAGCCCTGGGCTCCTCAGCCTAGCAACAGCTCCCAGTGTTGTTCTTTTTCAGTAAAATGAAGGTCAAAGGAATCATGTGGCCTCTGGCTTTGAGAGAAAGAAATCTTCCCAGGGGACTCCTAAGACAGTGAAGGGAACTGTGAGCCCACCACAGGGGAAGCAGGACAGACTCAGGCTGTGAGTCCATCTTGCACTTTCTTTTTCTTCTTTTCTTTTCTTTCTTTTTTTTTTTTTTAGACAAAGTCTTGCTCTGTCCCCCAGGCTGGAGTGCAGTGGCATGATCTCAGCTCACTGCAGCCTTGACTTCCTGGGTTCAAGCGATCCTCCTCCCTTAGCCTCTTGAGTAGCTGGGACTATAGGTACTCACCACCAGGCCCCGGTAAGTTTTTTGTACTTTTTGTAGAGATGGGGTTTTGCCATGTTGTCCAGGCTGGTCTCGAACTCCTGAGCTTAAGCTATCTGCCCGCCTCAGCCTCCCAAAGTGCTGGGATTTCGGGCATGAGCTAACATGCCTGGCCTCTTGCACTTCATGGTTGTACTTCAGATCTTATTGGGCAGAATCTTTCCACTTTCTTTTCTTTCTCTCTCTCTCGTTCTTTTTCTTCTCCTTCTCCTTCTTCTTCTTTTCTTTTTTGAAACAGTCTCTTGCTTTGCTGCCCAGGCTGCAGTACAGTGGTGTGATCATGGCTCCCTGTGGCCTCCAATGCCTAGGCTCAAGCAGTCCTCCTCTCTCTGCCTCCCGAGTAGCTGGGACTACAGCCACATGCCACCAGGCCCGACTTTTTAAAAGTTTTGTAGAGATGGGGTCTTGCTATGTTGCCCAGGCTGGTCTTGAATTCCTGGCCTCAAGGAATCCTCCCACCTCAGCCTCCCAAAATGTTGAGATTACAGACATGAACCATGGCACACAGTCTTTCTACTTTCTTTTGTGCTTAAAAAGAATGCACACATATCAATTATCTCCTAAGCTTTGGTGTGGGCAGGTTGAAGTAATCTGAAAAAAAAAATGGATTGTGTATCGATATTACTCTAAAGCATTTATATGGAAAGTGGAAAAAATGCAGATGAACATGTTCCCTTTGTCATTGTGGAAAATAACACACCTGGCTTGCTAAAAGCTTTTTTCTTTTTTCTTTTTCTTTTATTACAGGCATGAGCCACTGCACCCAGCCTTTTAAAAAACTTTTTGGCCAGGTTGTTTTATAGGCTCATGCCTATAATCCCTGTTCTTTAGGAGGCTGATGCAGGTAGATCCTTTGAGCCCAGGAGTTTGAGACCAGCCTGTGCAACATAGTGAAACCCCGTCTCTACAAAAATATACAAAAATTAGTCAAGCATGGTGGCATGCACCTGTGATCCCAGCTACTGAGGAGGCTGAAGTGGGAGGAGTTCTTGAACCCGGGAGGTCGAAGCTGCAGCATGCTGAGATCACGCCACTGCACTCCAGCCTGGGCAACAGAGCAAGACTCTATCTTGAAAACAAAAACAAAAACAACTTTCAAATCCAGCTCTTTTGGCATGGCAAGGCACAGACTGAGAGATTATTATTTATTATAATTTCATGGCTGTTTTGCTCAGGGGTGATTTTCAATTTGAACATCAAATTTGGCATGAACACCAACCAAAAGCAGCCAATACTATCTATGGTGTTTGGGTGCGCTGGCTGATGGCAGCCCCAGGACTTTCAGCGGGAATTTCCTTTTGTGCTAATGCCTTGCTGTCAACAGCAGGTGAAACGATGCTGGTGAAGAAGCCAAGTGTCAGGTGTGCCTGGCATGTCCTGAGAATCTGATTCCTGGGGGTGGTGCCTCCCTGGCTGCGAGGGCCCAGGGCAGGCCTGCTGCTGTTCTCTCCCTCCTGGTGCAGGAGAACGCAGATGCCGAGAAGTTGGAATCTGAAGATGGATCATCCATAATATAAAAAATGACACTCCAAATCGGTTTCAAATAAAAGGATATTTCATGATGGTGCTGGCACTGATTGTTTCACGTGGCTTCATGCTTCAAATGTTTTTCGGTCAAATTAAGAGGCCTAGTAGCCATCAAACTCTTGTCCAGTGCAATGACCAGAAATCATTATAAATGAGTTCGAATATTGCTAGGGACATAGATGCACAGCAGTGGTCACAGGGAAGTGAGACCAAGAGATTGTTTCACCGAGGAAATGCCATTATCACATCACTCTCAGAGCCCGCGTCTTTGCTCAAGGAAGGGAAAGAAATCCCCCCAGGATGTCTTATAATTGTTACAGGTGCCACCAAATGTGGGAAATAACTAGAATGCAGGAATTCCAGGAGAAAAATTAGTGGAGATACCTATTGCAGTAAGCGCTGTTTAAGCAATAATAATAAAGGTAAGGGCTCACATTTATGCAGCATTTACTATGAGCCAGCCATTGTTTCAGATACATCTATTAACCACCTTATAAGGTACGCTCAGTTATTATTCCCACTTTAGTGATGAGGAAACCGAAGCATGGAGAGGTGCAGCACAAGCAGGCTCCACCTGGGTCACAGCTTTTTCTCTCGAATCAATTCATTTCACACCAAGTATTGATGCCCTCTAGGTGTCATGGGGGAAAGTGTCCCAATTTCTGTGCTTAAGGGTGGGGTTGGGTGATTAATTTGGAGGAAATCTTCCACATGCCCGGTGTGTCCTGCAGATACAATTGTTGGAGAGGCTGGAGAAACCAATATTTTAGCAGAAGCTTGAGGAACAGGCAGTTTTCCTTGTTTTCACCATCCCTAGATGACGTGGCTGTGAGTTCCATGTAAAAACGTGCAGTTTGCATTACTGTTCTCTTCTCCCTGGCCTAAATTGGATTTAGACTCAGCCCTCCTGCCCTGTCCCGGTCTCTCTGAGGACTTCTACCTATTCCCTCATTCCCCTAGCCCCATTTTGCTCAGATGGGTTTTTTATGGCCATGACTCCACCCAGCTAGAGTTGTCAGATTTAGCAAATAAAAATAGAGGTCCGCCAGCGGTGGCTCATCCCTGTAATCCCAGCACTGTGGGAGGCCGAGGTGGGAGGATCACCCGAGCCCAGGAGTTTGAAGCCAGCCTGGGCAACATAACAAGACCTTGTTTCTACAAGAAATAAAAATATTAGCCAGTTTCGTGGTGGTGCATGCCTGTAGTCCCAGCTACTCAGGAGGCTGAGGAGGGAGGATCGTTTGAGCTCAGGAATTTGAGTCTGCAGTGAGCCAAGATAGTGCCACTGCACCACAGCCTGGTGACAGAGTGAGACCCTGTATGAAAAAAAAAAAGGAGGCTGTCAGTTAAAGTTAAATTCAAATTTCAGATAAACAATGGAAAAATTTTAGTGTAAGTATGTACCATGCAGTATTTGAGACATACTTCATTACTATTTAGAAATATATACATATGTAAAATTAAATTTCTATAGAGATGAGGTCTCACCATGTTGCCCAGGCTGGTCCTGAGACTCCTGGGCTCAAGCAATCCTCCCGCCTTGGCCTCCAAAGTGCTGGGACCACAGGCGTGCACCACCGCGCCCGGCCGGGACATACTTACACTAAAAAAAGTACTTGCTGTCTATCTGAAATTCAGATTTGGGTGGGTCGCCCTGTATTTCTCGAGGCAACCCCTCAGCAGCCCTCAGGGGGGACTCCCTCCGCACTCCAGGCCCTCGGGTGGCGCCTTCGCTGGTTTATCTGCGGTTCACTTGCACCTTCTTCAGAAGTGGCCGACAGCCCACAGCGAAGGCGGCCCCGTGCCAGACTCTTCTCTGGGGATGAGGCTCCGGGGAGGAGACTCCGGGGATGCGCCTCTGGCGGGATCTCCCCTGGAAGAATCTGAGTCCAGTGGGGAGAGGAACACGTCCCGCAGCTGCCCCGTTCCACGGTGGGAGGCGTCACGCGGCCGGGAACACAGGGAGGCGGGGGGCTCCGGAGGCGGCGGCTGGGAGGACCCCGCGGGAGGGCGCCGGGGAGGCCGCGAGGACCGCGCCGGGGGGCTGCGCCCAGGCAAGCTGTGTCCCTCCGAGGCGAAGATAGGAAGCTGCCCCGCGGCGCGCGGTCCCCAGGCAGGGTGCTCGCGGGCGGAGTCAACACAGCCTGGCTTCTGCACCGGCTCAGGCCGCCAGAGGGCGCGCGGGTTCGGGAAATGGCTTCCCCCCCCGCAGGAGGAGGGCCGAGCTCCCCGCGGGGCGGGAGGAGGAGGGAAAACCGAGGACAAGCCCCCGCCTTGGCGTCGAGGGTCTCCACCAAAGCCCCACGCGAGAACGGGCCGCGTGTTTCTGGTGAGAGGGGTCTCGATAGTGCCATCCACCGCGAGGCCCGACTCCCAGCGGCGTCCAGGAAGCAAGGGAGGGAGGGCGGGAGCGGGGACGCGGCCGTTCCCACCCGGCTCCTCTCACGAGACCCGTGACAAATCGCTGGTCGGAGAGAGAGTGCACGGCCCCAAGGAAGGGAGGCACTCAGAGCCCTGTCCTTCCAGACATTCAGACTATTAACTGATGGTTGGTCTAGAGGGGACAGGACGGCAGAGAGACAGAGAAAGCTGGCGAAGGACGCGCAGGATTTCAGATGTAATGCGTGACTCAGAGAGATTGCATAACTTCTTCCAGGCCTCAGTTTCGACGTCTGTCAAATGGGAGTACATTTTCCCTCAGCGGGAGGATCGTTTTGAGTCCAGGAGTTTGAGGCTGCTGTGAGCCCAGATCGTGCTACTGCACGACAGCTTGAGGACAGAGTGAGACTGTCCCCCCCGCCAAAAAAGAGGATGTCAAAGTGAAATTCAAATTTCAAATAGACAATAAATTTTTTTATTTATTTTATTTTATTTTTGAAACGGAGTCTTGCTCTGCCCCCCAGGCTGGAGTGCAGTGGCGCAGTCTTGGCTCACTGCAAACTCCACCTCCCGGGTTCAAGTCCTGCCTCAGCCTCCCGAGTAGCTGGGATTACAGGCGTGCACCACCACATCCAGTTAATTTTTGTATTTTTAGTAGAGACAGGGTTTCGCCATGTTGGCCAGGCGGGTCTTGAACTCCTGACATCAAGTGATCCATCTGCCTCAGCCTCCCAAAGTGCAGGGATTACAGGCGTGAGCCACTGTGCCCGGCCAAAAAAACTTTTGGTGTAAGTATGTACCATGAAGTATTTGGGACATACTTCATTACTATTTAAAAATATATACATACATAAAATTACATTTATATAGGGACGAGGTCTCACTATGTTGCCCAGGCTGGTCCTGAACTCCTGGGCTAAAGCCATCCTCCCGCTTCAGCCTCCAAAGTGCTGGAACTACAGGCGAGTGTACCTCAGTGGTCCAATGAGAAAATCCACTCATCATGTGACTGTGTTTGTAAACCGTGAGGTGTGCAAAATGAGGAGCTGTTGCCCTCTCTTTCCTCCCCTTTCACCACTCTCTTTCCTCCCCTTAAAAAACAGGGGAGGTGGCTCACTCCTGTAATCCCAGCACTTCGGGAGGCCAAGATGGAGGGATTACTTGAGCTCAGGAGTTTGAGAACAGCCTGGGCAACATAGTGAGCACCCCCCTTCTCCACTAAAAATCAAAACAATTACCTGGGTGTGGTGGTGCCTGCTCATGGTCCCAACTACTCTTGAGGCTGAGGAGGGAGGATCGCATGACGCAGATCCAGAAGGCAGAGGTTGCACTAAGCCGAGATGGCTCCACTGCACTCCAGCCTGGGCAACAGAGTGAGACCCTGTCTCAAACAAAACAAAACAAAACAAAACAAAAAACCAGGGGAGAGAATATGTGTTGAATAAAAGAAAGGAAGGAAGGAAGAAGGGTGGGAGGAGAAAAGACAAGAGGAACACAGTCAGGGTGGGCTCTGCCTTTCCTCCTTCTCCTCTTCCCTTGTTAAACGTTCCAGAGACACCGGGCCTTTGATTTCCTTATTTTTCAGATGAGAAGATTCATTCATTATTCGGCAAGTATTACCGAGTCCCCAGTGTCTGCCCTCCCAAGAGGATAGAATCTAGCAGGGCCATAGTCCTGTCCACATAACATTCCCTCATGTGTCTACACTGCTTCAGATTTTGCAAAGCATTTTTACAGCCACTTTCTAATTTGTCCTCCAGGAAACCTTGGCCAGGTGCAGAGACAGGATTAATTGAATTTTCCTCCATTTTACAGACAGGAAGCAAGGTTCAGAGACACCAAGCGCTGCCCAAGGTGGCTTAGTAGCATGGGGGTCAATATGGCTTCTTTCCCAACAAATGCTTCACATGTAGTGAGTTGAAAAACATAGCAGGAGGAAGTGACCTTGTTTGTTGAATAAAAGAGCAAACGGTTAAAACTGGAAACAAGCTCCGTGTTCTTCAGCAGGGTGAAAAGGCGGCGGCCCATGGAAGGCTATGCAGCTATGCTTGTGGCTGGCTCATTTTGGAGGTAACAGTCACAGTTTCCATCATTTAGGGCCCTCTCTGAGCTGGATGCTCTGCCAAGCCTCCCATACAGATTATTACTTCACCTTCACAATAGCACCCAAGGTAGGTACTCAGGCAGGAGGGTGACCTCCTCAAGATCACATGGCTGTGGAGCGTGGAGGTGGGCTCTGAGCCCAGGTCTCTCTGCCTCCAGAGCCTGCCCAGCATTGCAGGTGTTTGCAAATGTTTGTGGAAAGGCCAAAACGTCTTAGGCTGACTTGGTTCTCCTCTCAGAGCAAACCTTCATATTGATGAGGCCGCTCTCTACGCACTGGCTTGGAAAAGGCCCATGAAGGCTTGTTGAGTGAGTGAGAAAAAGAAGTATCTGTGTGTGATTAAAAAAAACACAATTTCATATGGGCTCATATTTTTGTCTATGTCCAAGAATAACTCTAAGAGGATGCTAACCTATTTTCAGTGGTCACTTTTCTGTGGAGAGTGGAACTGAAGTCGGGGTGGGTTCAGGGAGAATTTCTGATGTAATTCTATGAACTTGGTTATTGTCTGAATTTCTTGTAACAAGTATGGTGCTTTAAACATCTTGGAGGCTGGGCACAGTGGCTCATGCCTGTAATCCCAGCACTTTGGGAGGCTGAGGCAGAAGGATCACTTGAGTCCAGAAGTTTGAGACCGGCCTGGGCAACACAGTTAGACCCCCGTCTCTACAATAAATTTAAAAAAATATTAGCCCGGCATGGTGGTGTGCACCTATAGTCCTAGCTGTTCAAGAGGCTGAGGTGGGAGGTTGGCTTAAGCCCAATAGTTCAAGGCTGCAGTGAGCTATGATTGCACCACTGCACTCCAGCCTGGGTGACAGAGCAAGACCCTGTCTCTAAAAATAAAGTAAAGTAAAATAAAATAAAACAATGAAAACCTTGGAAGCGCATTATTTGTAATAGTGAAAATTTATAAACCACCTAAATGTTTCCCACCAAACCCATGAATCCTTCCCAGCCCCTCCAGCCTCAGGCTGCCCTCTCAGCTCAACCTGGGGTGGGATTGAGGATTAAGGCACATCCAAGAATGGGAGTTGGGGTAGGTTTGAGTCCAAGGAAAGGGGGCTGGGCATGTGGGCTCACACCTGTAATCCCAGCACTTTGAGAGGCTGAGGCGGGCAGATCACTTGAGGACAGGAGTTCGAGACCAGCTTGGCCAACATGATGAAACCCCATCTCTACTAAAAATACAAAAATTAAGGCTGGGTGCGGTGGCACACACCTGTAATCCCAGCACTTTGGGAGGCCGAGGTGAGTGGATCACTTGAGGTCAGGAGTTTGAGACTAGCCTGGCCAACATAGTGAAACCCCATCTCTATCAAAAAATACAAAAATTAGCTGGTGTGGTACATACCTGTAGTCCTAGCTACTCGGGAGGCTGAGGCATAAGAATTGCTTGAACTCGGGAGGGCGAGGTTGCAGTGAGCTGAGACTGTGCCACTGCACTCTAGCTTGGGCGACAGAGCAAGACTCTGTCTCAAAAAAAAAAAAAAAAAGAAAAGTGGCTGTGCGGCTGTGGCAGGACCGCTCCCTCCCTCAGTGGTTGCTGGACTGAAGATGGAGGTCTGTGTGAGTGTGTGGTCACACTCATACAGACATGTATCCCTCCACCCCGCCCACACACTCCCGTCAGTCTTCTGCTCCACAATCCATGGAGACCCTGCCATGTGCACGGAGGTCTCACCTCCTCCTGGAAGCCTGCTCAAGGCTGAGGGGAGCAGATGTGGTCCTGCCTCCGTCGCTATCCCGAGGACCCTCACAGCTAAACCTTCTCCCTGACCCTGCTGGCAGGGATGAGCTGGGAGAGGGGACACAGGCTGGTTTGGTGTCCTGGAAGATCAAGGCTCCATGCAGCTAGCAGTGGTCCCAAGTTCTCTCTCATTTTCTTTCTCAAGGGGAAGAAAGTCTTCCCCGGCCCTGTGGCCTCCACAGGCCTCCTCTTCTCCGGAGTAGCTCAGGAAGCGTGAGCTCTGTCTACATGGGATCCCAGTTTTGTGGTGAGTATGTTGATATGTGTGGATATGTGACATATGTGGCTATGTCTATAGAGAAACCTTTGGGCTGGGCGCAGTGGCTCACGCCTGTAATCCCAGCACTTTGGCAGGCTGACGTGGGCGGATCACGAGGTCAGGAGATCGAGACCATCCTGACCAACACGATGAAACCCTGTCTCTACTAAAAATACAAAAAATTAGCCGGGCATGGTGGTGGGTGCCTGTAGTCCCAGCTACTCAGGAAGCTGAGGCAGGAGAATGGCGTGAACCTAGGAGGTGGAGCTTGCAGCGAGCCGAGATCGCGCCACAGCATTCCAGCCCTGGCAACAGCGAGACTCTGTCTCAAAAAAAAAAAAAAAAAAAAAAAAAAAGAGAAACCTTTGGGGAGATGCTGACCAAAATGTTCACTGTGGTTATTTCTGGGTGGGGGGATTGTGGGTGATCCTCGCTTTCTTCTTTTCTCATATGCGTGGTGTGCATGTGTTTAGTTTGTTTTCTAAAGTTTGCATACAGCCCCAGAGATAAAATCATCAAGAGAGGAAGAGAGAGAGAGAGATCTGCAAAAAGCCAGCAGGAAAGGCAAAGCAATGAAGAGAGAATAAAGCGAGAAAGAGAAGGTCCAGAAGAGGCAGAGGATACCTCAGGGGGAGGCAGAGGGCAGAGGGGACAATGGCTATTTCCTGGAGGCCTGGGTGTGGCCCTGGATGGGAGCAGCTGGTGCCCTCAGAACCCACAGTCTTGTTTTTTTTTTTTTTTTTCTGAAACAGAGTCTCGCTCTGTTGCCCAGGCTGGAGTGCAGTGGCGCGATCTCTGTTCACTGCAACCTCCACCTGCTAGGTTCAAGCAATTCTTCTGCCTCAGCCTCCCAAGTAGCTGGGATTACAGGCATGTGCCACCACACCCAGCTAATTTTTGTATTTTTAGTAGAGATGGGGTTTCACCATGCTGGCGAAGCTGGTCTTGAACTTTTGACCTCAGGTGATCTGCCCTTGGCCTCTTAAAGTGCTGGGATTACAGGCATGAGCCACCGCGCCCTGCCAAAGCCCATAGTCTTTCCAGGGCCCACAGGCCTGGTGGCGACTGGCCCCATAGCTGCTCATGGGCTGCCTCCAGATGGCACGACAGTCTCCCTTCCCTCTGGCTCTGTAGGCAGCCGCGGCATCTCTGCTGGTGATGGAGGCAGCAGATGTTAGATGTGGCTGCAGCCCAAAGTCCAGGCTGGGGCAGCTGTTAGGAGACAATCCTCCATGGGCCTCACATGTCTGCACATCTCGTGAGCAGAGGGTGCCTTGGTTCTAGGTGATCTTTCTAGGATGTTTGTACAACAAACAACCTTAGAGGTGAGTGTTAATGTTTCCTCCTGGAGCGAAAAGCAGATGTGCCCACTGCCCATTATAAAATATTCTGCTCCCCGGCTGGGCACGGCAGCTCAGGCCTGTAATCCCAGCACTTTGGGAGGCCAAGGCAGATAGATTGCTCCAGGAGTTGAGACCAGCCTGGGCAACATGGCAAAACCCTGTCTCTACTAAAAATACTAAAATTAGCTGGGTGTGGTGGTACATGCCTGTTAATCCCAGCTACTCAGGAGGCTGAGGCACGAGAATCACTTGAACCTGGGAGGCAGAGGTTGCAGTGAGCCCAGATGGCGCCACTGCACTTCAGCCCGCGTGACAGAGCGAGACACTCTCAAAAATAAATAAATAAATAAATAAAAATAAAATATTCCACACAACCCCTAAGGAGCCCTAAGCTCAGGGCTCCTTTTCAGGAGGTTTTCACTGCACACAACTTTATATGGTACATTAGACTCTTCTCAGAAACAGGGAGGCAGTGTAGCCTGGCAATTAATAGTACAGACTCTGAGAGGGAGCCTGCATAAGCTCAAATCTCAGCTCTACCACTGCTGGGCATGTGGCCTGGAACAAGCCACTTAACATCGCTTCCCTGCAGAAGGTGATCTGAGAGTAAACACTCTAAAGAAAGGGTAAAGCCGGGCCGGGCACGGTGGCTCACACCTATAATCCCAGCACTTTGGGAGGCTGAGGCCAGGAAGGATTGAGGCCAGGAGTTCGAGACTAGTCTGGACAACATAGTGAAACCCTGTTTCTACAAAAAAAAAATACAAAAATTAGCCAGGCATGCTGATGTGCACTTGTAATCTCAGCTACTCGGGAGGCTGAGATGGGAGGATCAGTTGATCCTAGGAGGCCGAGGCTGCAGTGAGTCATGATTGCACCACTGCACTTCAGGCTGGGCAACAGAACAAGACCCTGTCTCAAAAATAAATAAATAAAACATGAAAGAAAGAAAAGATGGGATGAAAACCATTTGGCACTTGTTCTATTAAAGATTAACACAGCCAGGCTTAGTGGCTCACATCTGTAATCCTAGCACTTTGCGAGGCCAACACAGAAGGATTGCTTTAGCTCAGGAGTTTGAGACCAGCCTGGGCAACATAGTGAGACCTCATCTCTACAAAAAAATAAAAATAAAAATAAAAAATTAGCCAGGCATGTTAGCACATGCCTGTGGTTCCAGCTACTTAGGAGGCTAAGAGGAGAGGATCACTGACACCCATGATTTCAAGGCCCATGATTTCAAGGCTGCGGTGAGCCTGGGTGACAGAGCAAGATTCTGTCTCAAAAAAAAAAAAAAAAAAAGAATACATGACTACCCTACGAACCAAAAATTGTACTCCTAGGCAGATACCCAACAGAAACACAGCCCTATGTGTGCCAAAGAAACATGGACTAGAATGTCCAAGGCAGTGCTAGTCACGATAGCCAGACTGGAAACTACCCAAATGCTCATCAACAGTAGATGAAAAACAATTATTTCCACAGGAGAGACGTTGATGAAACAATGAGAATGATTATCTAAACTACATACGACCACGTGATTGAATCCTGCAAATGTCTTGTGGGGTGGGAGAAGCTGAGTGCAAAGCATCTATGGTAGGACTCCATTCACAGATACAGAAGCAGGCATGCATGTCGGCCGTTAGAGGTCAGCTTTGGAGACAGCGAGTGACTGGAAGGGAAGTTTCTGGGAGCTGAGTGTGCTCTGTGTCTTGAACCGGGTGTGAATGTTAATGATGTACTTTTCTGTATGTAAATTATTTTCCAACAAAAATTTAAAAAGTGGAAGGCAATGGTTGGAATGGATTTAATTCAAGATAATGGGAGTGGGTTCTTTGGAGCCTGAAAGGATTGTTTCAGAAAATTCCACAGGCTCCTGTTCTCTTACAAGGCCAACAGTGCTGGAGCAGAGAGCATTTAGATGCCTTCCAGGAAGTGCTGTCCGTAATGGGACTAAGAGGAACGGGTTTAATAACCTTCCTATGCTGGCCGTACTTTGTGGTTTTCAAAGCACTTATCTGATCTGCATTTACTGAGTGTGAAAAAATTGTTATTTTAGTGGTTGGCACTTCTAAAGAAGGGTGCCCATTTAGGAAGTAAATTTCCCTTTCCTCTCCCCTCCCCTCCCCTCCCCTCCTCTCCTCTCCTCTCCTTCTTCTCTTATTTCTCTCTCTCTCTCCCCCCCCCACCTCTTTTATCTCTCTCTCTCTCTCTTTCTCCCTACCTCTTTCTTTCTCTCTTTCTCTTTCTTTTTTTTCCTTCAGGGCTTCACTCTGTCACCCACTCTGTCTGCTGGAGTGCAGTGGCATGATCACAGCTCACTGCAGCCTCAACCTCCCCAGGTTCTGGTGATCCTCCTACCTCAGCCTCCCTAGTACCTGTGACTGCAGGTGCATGCCACCATGCCTAGCTAAGTTTTGTACTTTTTGTAGAGAAGGTGTTTCACCATGTTGCTCAGGCTGGTCTTGAACTCCTAGGCTCAAATGATTCACCTGCCTTGGCATCCCAAAGTGCTGGGATTACAGGCATGAACCACTGTGGTTGGCCTGGATCATCTAGTTGCTCAACAGAAATGCAAAAAAAAATTTGAGTGAGGCTGGATGTAATCTCCAAGGATTCGCAGAAATCTTGGGGCACAGGGATATCAGTTTTCCATTGACAAGGGATCTGAGGTCCCTGCCAGTTTCATTTAAATTTCAAGAATAGGCCGGGAGCGGTGGCTCACGCATGTAATCCCAGGACTTTGGGAGGCCAAGGCAGGTGGATCGTGGATCACTTGAGGTTAGGTGTTAGAGACCAGCCTGGCCAGCATGGTGAAACCCCGTCTCTAATAAAAATACAAAAATTAGCGGGGCATGGTGGCACATGCCTGTGATCCCAGCTAGTCGGGAGGTTGAGGCATGAGTCTCACTTGAACCTGGGAGGCAGAGGTTGCAGTGAGCTGAGAGCACGCCACTGCACTCTAGCCTGGGTGACAGAGTGAGACTCTGTCTCAAAAAATTTTTTTTTTTTTCAAAGAACAGCATGACTGCAGCAGGCTTACACCTGGGTATGGGGAGATGGGGAGGAAGGCTTTGTGATCCCGATTACACAGGATAAATCAATCCCAGAGAGGTTAAGAAACGTGTCCGAGATTACATAGTGAGTGTGGCCCCGTGGGATTTGAACCACTGGGCATAGAACACCTGGAGAGGATTTGGACCCTGAAAGTCCTGCTCCTGCCGCCAGGTTTCCAGGCTGGCCTGACTCCTGCCCTCCTCCAGGCTGGGAAAGTCCACACAGCCCACTTTTTCATCTGTGAGCTGCCTGGAGCCTTCTGATGAATCAACTTCTCTGGCCTTGATAAGTCAGGGCAGGTTTCTGAGCTTGTCCTTGAAGCACCCATCTCACAGATGTGATGAGGCCTACCCTGTGTCCAGCCTTAGCCTGGTCCTGGACATGCGGACCCAGCCCCTCTCCTAGAGGAGCTCACAGTCAGGAGTGGAAGCAGGGGGCAGCTGTCTTCAGAAGGGGATGTGCACAGGCTGCCCGTTGCACAGTGCTGATGCTGGGCTTGCCCAGTGACCACCGCCCTCAAGGAGCTGGGGCTGGAGTAGTAGAGGATGGGGGAGGAAGAAAATGTCCCTAATTTGCAATGACAGGCTTCTAATCTATAAATAGCTTTCGGAAATAGAGCAGAGAGAGAGAAAGAGAAGTCATTTGCAGGCTTACATTCAATTCAACAGCAGCCTTTTTCTTCCTTCTGAGACAAGCTATTTGAGTCTATTCAAACTGAAAAAAACAAAAACCACTTTGAATGACCAAATAATCTATTCAGCCATCTTGATGCCTCTCCCAGCTGGGAATTCACATTTTAGGCAGCCTTTGTCCCAGGGGTGGGTGAAGGCAGGTGAGTTCTGAGTGTGGAGGTGGAACAGTGAATACCCAGGCCCCTTTCCACCCCTCTCTCCAAGAAGTGTACCTGCAAACTCCTCAGCACCAGCCGCCACCATGGGAGAAATTCATTAGCAGATCTGGTTTTGCATAATTTAGTAGCTAGCATTCACAAATTAAGTCTGCTGGCTCCCCTCGTGGTAATGGCCTTTAGAGAGATGTGAGAAAACACAGGCTTGTAATCCCAGCAGTTTTCTGGAGCTGATAATTAATAACAACAATAAACTGCTAATAAGACACATCAGTTTTTCCTTCCACTCATGTCTTCTTGCTTGTTCCTCACCACTGCAGAAGAGGAAAGCAGATCTGATGTCCTCCATCTGATAGGCAAGGGAACTGAGATCTGGGGAGGTGTTCCCAGCTGGGGAGGAGGCTGTTCTGGAATCTGCCTCTTCAGCCGGCCTGGGGAGGGTCCTGGTGCCCTCTGAGCTCAGGGCCATGGCCCACTCAGGAGGCCACTGGGGGACCATGGGAGAAGCAGGGCTCGGGAGCACTAAGCCTCTACCCACAGTCTGCATAGCAGGAACCTCAGTCCTTGCTGGAGTCCTTGGCAGAGCAAGTCCTTCGATTAGCAACACCATCAACAGCTGCAATAATCCAAAGCTAATCTTTGTCAAGTCCTTTCAGCCACCAAACACTCTTTCTGCATGCACCATCTCATCAATAACACACAGTTGCCCATGAAGAAGGTACCTATCACCTTTTTGCTTTGTTTTGTTTTGTTTTGAGACAGTGTCTTGCTCTGTCACCCAGGCTGGAGCGCAGTGCTGCAATCAAGGCTCACTGCAGCCTCAAACTCCTGGGTTCAAGCGATTCTTGCACCGCAACCTCCTGAGTAGCTGGGACTACAAGCGGCACCACATGCCCAACTAATTATTTTTTGTATTTTTGTGGAGATGGAATCTCACTATGTTGCCAGGCTTGTCTCAAACTCTTGGCCTCAAGCAATCCTCCTTCCTCTGCTCCCCAGAGCACTGGGATTATAGTCGTGAGCCACTGAGCTGGCCAAATATCACTTCAATTCACTGGTGAGGAAATGAAGGCTCAGAGAGGCTCCAACAGACCCCAGTTGGAGTGGCTTCCTGGTCCCCAGAGCGTCTCCTTCTCTGGGATCGATCTGGATGCAGGTAAGCCTGGCGGGTCTGCTTCTGACATATGGCCTTGTCCCCTTGCCAAAGCTGATTGGGCCAGGAATGGGCTACTGGTCTCTGTTTGGCCAACCACAGCCTCTGTCTGGGATGCGTTAGGCTGGTGCTAAGGCAAGGGAGGCAATATCCCTCTGGCGATGGCTGGAGCCATGGCAGCCCTGCTCTTCCCCTGCACAGGAGGCCAGGCAGCAGCAGGAAGGCAGCTTCAGAGATGGGGAGCGCAGGGACAGGCAGCATCCTGTGGTGTTTGAGTCCTTTATTCCAGTTGTCCCTGAGGCACCCCAGTGGTGACCAGCCCCGGTATCCTCTGAATAAGCCCCCTTTACTTGAGTTGGTTGGATTCAGGTCTCTGTCTCTTGAAACCATGAGTTGTAACCTAGGACCTTGGCTGGGGTCCCTGGGAAGCATGACGTGGCAGGGACTGGAGTCTTGTCCCCTCTCCACCAAGGCTTCCAGGGCCTCCCGGGACTCTCCTCCTTGTGGGTCTCTGCAGGGATTGCGGCAGCCAGGGAAGGCCCCTGGTTCTCAATGCCCGCTGCAGAGGAGCCCCAGTGAAGGGCAAATAGTACTGAGACTACACCCTCTCTGAACCCCCAAATCACAGCACCAGTGTGGCACAGGGCTTATTCATGCCACCCCTGTGTTCTGGGCAGGACTGCCCGAGCCAGCCATGTGGGGCCTTGATTTTTTGAGGGAGAGGAGTCCATGGTCACCTTGTGGTTGGCGGGGTTCGAGAGGCAAAGGTGTCCATGAAGTGGCCCCTGGCCTTTGCCCTGGGCAGGACTTGGAATCCCTGGAGGCTCTCACTCCAGGAATCAGGGTGGAGACATCCCCTGCCTTCTCCCCACTCACCCTGAGGGCCTCCCTAAGTGATCAGGAATCCAAAGTGTGCTTTCCATGATTTGTGTCTCCTCTCCATCCCCCAAATCCCTTGCAGAAAGGTTACAGGCTCCCACTGCGCCAAAGAATCCCCCAGCCCAGTGCATGGGCAGCTGCGCATGCAGGGCTATGGTTGGAGACCACGGCTCTGCCCACTGCTAGCCTTAGGACCTTTAGGCGCGTTCTTCAACCTCTGCATGTTTGAGGCTTCTAAATCCATCACAAAAAAAGACGACAGTAATAGCGAGTAACTGCCTTATGGAATGATTGTTAGGACTCAAAGACATATTACAAGTCAATTGCAGCACTCAGTGAGCTCAGTAAATGCTGGTTAGAGGCAGCAGGCCAACAGAGGGAAAGGGATTCGCCCAAGGTCCCACTGTAAGTCAGGACTCAGCTGGGACCAGAAGCCAGACCTCCTGGCCACTGGTTGATCTCCTCTAAAGACCCAGAAAGCACCGCACTCTCTCCCCCACGCCCACCCCAGCACCCACTCGAGCTGCCAAAGACTCGCAGAGGCATGTGGGATGCCCAGAACCAGGGCTTTATGTTTGGCAGCTGCCTTAGGAAGGGAATGCGCTGGGGAAGGGGCAATGGGTTTCTGTGGATTGGAATTTATAAAGTGACAGTTGGTTCTGGTGATTCAGGCAGTGATTTGTGATTTATTGACACATCAGAAAAAGCTGTCAACCCACCCCAGTCAGCTCCTTCTCTGGAAGGCACCACCAGCTGGGAGCCCCCACCCTCACTCCACCCCTAAACCAGCCCTTTGGAAGTGGGATGTGGGTGGCAGCCTCCCTCCCTCCCCCAGCAGGTGGGGGTATTGACCTTGCTGCCCACAGATGACCAAGGGACAGGGTGGATGTTATTTGGTGAGGGGTGTGCACCGTGAACTCTTTCCTTCCCTATGAACATTTCAGTGAGGTTGACGTTACTTGCTTAAGGGTGTACGTGCAAGCTCATTTCCGTGAGTGGGGTGGCGGGGCACTTGGGCAGGTCTGTGTGTCGAGTCCTGGGCTGTTCGGGAGAACAAGGAGCTGGCTTCTAGGATGCGGGGCTGAAGATGTAGGATGGAGAGGCCCCAGCTGCCATCTGGAGGATGTGGCTGATGGGAAGGGAAACCTCTCCTTTTCCTCTTCTGCCTCCAAGACCTCTTCAATTTTTGTTCAAATCAAGACCATTGGTTATCTTTACAATAATGGTTTTAAAAATCAATAAAGAAAATGTATCAGCAACTGAGAAGAGGTCTTGAAGGCAAAATAACTGGATGAAGGAGGAGCAGATGACAAAGGGGGAAAGAGTCCTAGAGGACGGCCAGGTCCCAGGAGAAGGCCAGGAGCGGGCTCTGACATGTGGAGAGCTTAGGCCGCAACTACGAGGACAGCCTGGGAGTTGTGCCTTCTGTCCACAGGCCAAGGTCTCTGTGGTTCACAAAGTCTTACATGTGGCTGAACCACATACACACCTGCAAGGAGGGTGGAACAAATATCACCATACTCCTAGGTCACAGGCGAGAAAACCAAGGCGTGAAGATGCCATGACTTTCCCAAACTCACATAGGCGAGTCACGGCAGGGCCTTGATGGACCCCCAGTAGCCCATCTGGCACCTTCGGGGAAACCCAGCCCTGCAGGTAGGTGCACAGCTGGCAGGTGAACCCTGCGAGACAGACGTGGGGCACAAGGCACACAACTGCACCCAACAGCCCTGGCTTGGGCTCGAACCGAGGTCTCTGAACTTCAAAGGCCCAGCTCCTTCTGCCCTGCTAGAGCAGTCCCATGAACGATGAAGGAGGATGAGGAAGGGCCTGGAACTCCATGATGGGCAGGCCCCTGGAGCATGCACTGCACTATTTGATTTTCTCCTGTCTGGTCCTGGGCCAGGCTTTTCTCTGGGTGGAGGTCATCGAGGCACATGCTGAGAACTGCCATGGGTAGGAGTGGCCCGCACTGTGTGCCTCTCCTCGACATGTGACCAGCTGATGCCCAGAGCTTGGTAGAGACTTCACACTGTTTCTAAAAAAAAAAACAAATCATCTTCTACAAAACGTCTATCTCCTGGTGTCACGAAGCCACGGACGACACCAGAAAAGGGTGGCCTGTGGAATGTGGCCTTCAGTTGGACACTGCCCTCGGAAATTTGTCCCCGACTCTATCCTTTTTTTTTTTTTTGAGATGGAGTCTCACTCTGTTGTCCGGGCTGGAGTGCAGTGGCGTGATCTCGGCTCACTGCAACCTCTGCCTCCTGGGTTCACGCCATTCTCCTGCCTCAGCCTCCTGAGTAGCTGGGACTACACGCACCTGCCACCACACCGGGCTAATTTTTTGTATTTTTAGTAGAGACGGGGTTTCACCGCAGTAGCCAGGATGGTCTCGATCTCCTGACCTCGTGATCTGCCTGCCTCGGCCTCCCAAAGTGCTGGGATTATATGTGTGAGCCACCACTCCCCACCTTCTATCCCATTCTAAGTGGTAAGTACTACAGCTGGAAAGGGGTAAGGCCAGGACCCTCCCCAGTGAGGACAGGGACTCTTTCCCCACTGTATGAAGCTTACTGCATCTGTCCCTGCTGCTGGACTCCAGCTTAAATGGTTAGCAAGAGGCCGGGCATGGTGGCTTACACCTGTAATCCCAACATTTTGGGAGGCTGAGGTGGGAGAATCGCTTGAACCCAGGAGTCCAAGACCAGTCTGGGCAATGTAGCAAGAACCCATCTCCACAAAAAAATAAAAATGTTGGCCAGGCACGGTGGCTCACGCCTGTAACCTCAATACTTTGGGAGGCCTAGGCCGGCAGATCATGAGGTCAGGAGATCGAGACCATCCTGGCTAATGTGGTGAAACCCCCGTCTCTATTAAAAATACAAAAAATTAGCCGGGTGTGGTGGTGGGTGCCTTTAGTTCCAGCTACTTGGGAGGCTGAGGCAGTAGAATGGCATGAACCTGGGAGGTGGAGCTTGCAGTGAGCGGAGATCGCGCCACTGCACTCCAGCCTGGTCAACAGAGTGAGACTCCGTCTCAAAAAAAAAAAAAAATGTTAGCCAGTTGTGGGACAGCACATGCCTGTCATCCCAGCTACTCTGGAGGGTGAGGTGGGAAGATCGCTTGAGCCCAGGAGTTGGAGGCTATAGTGAGCTGTGATTGTGCCATTGCACTCTGGGCAACATAGCAAGACACTGTCTCTAGAAAAAACAAAACAAAACAAAACAAAACAAAACAAAACAAAACAAAAAAAACAGCCAGCAAGAACTTTGTGAGCAGCCCCAGGTCCTGGCCTTGAGCCAGTCCTAGCAGGGAGAGAGGAAAAGGCTGAAGAGATGGCACACATGGTGGAAAAAGCTCAGCTTTAGGGGCCAGACAGGAGGCTTCAACTTGCAGTAACACTTCTGTTTGCCTGTGTGTCTGTCTGTCCACTTATCCATCCAATACCCAGCACCCGCTTTGTGTAGAAGTTTCTGGTGGAAAGTACTCGCAGACACTGAGGGGAGAGGCTGAATCCAGATAGCAGTTTTTCCCCTGGTGGGTTCACCACAGTCCCTGGTCCAACCCTCAGCCCCAGGCTCACAGTCTCTACCTGGTCAGCATCTCAGACTCAGGAAGGCCAATGCACACCTCCAGAACCCTCAGAGACAGAGGCAGAATATCTACTCACCGAGAGATCACCCGTGAAAATGAATACTGCCGGGTAGACCAGAGATCTGTATGGCCTGACCAGCCCTCTTTCCTTGCTGGCCAATGACATGGCAGGCCTGGGTTCATGGTGGGCACACGTGACGGAGGTCGGTTAGGGATTCCAGTGACTTGTGCCCTGGGAAGTGGTGGTCTTCTCCCAGTGTGGTCCTGCCTTCCTCCGGAACCCGTTAGGTCAAGCATTTCTTCTTTTAATGAACTGAGACAGGGCCACTTGCTCTGCTGGACACTGTTCTGGTCTGTCTCTGGCACTGGTTGCCCTCTCCTCTGCTTGCAGAGCTGGCCACCCCCTTCTCACAGACACATGCTGCCTTTATTTTTATTTATTTATTTTTTTGAGACAGAGTCTCGCTGCATTGCCCAGGCTGGAGTGCAGTGGCCACGATCTTGGCTCACTGCAACCTCCACCTCCTGGGTTCAAGCAATTTTCCTGCTTCAGCCTCCCGAGTAGCTTGGATCCCACCACGCACCACTAACTTTTTGGTATTTTTAGCAGTGACAGGGTTTCACCATGTTGGCCAGGCTGGTCTCAAACTCTTGACCTCAGGTGATCCACCTGCCTTGGCTTCCCAAAGTACTGGGATTACAGGCACGAGCCACCATACCTGGCTGGAACACATGCCGTCTTTAGACACGTTTTTGGTGCTCATAATAGGTCATGGTTGGCCTTGCTGTTTCTCTAGTGTGACAGCGCATGGTTCTGCTTTGCCCTGAGCTGATTTTATAGTTTAACTCTTGGAAAGAGACCTTTCTCTCTGTTTTCTTTTTCTTTTCTTTAATTTTCTTGAGGCGGGGTTTTGCTCTGTCGCCCAGGCTAAAGTGCAATGGCATGATCATAGCCACATGGCCTTGACCTCTTGGGCTCAAGCAATCATCCCGCCTCAGCTTCCTAGGTAGCTGGGACTACAGGAATGAGCCTCCATGCCTAGCTAATTTATATATATTTTTTTGTAGGCACGGGGTTTTACCATGCTGCCCAGGCAGGTCTCAAACTTCTGGGCTCAAGCAATCCTCCTGCCTTGGCCTCCCAAAACCTTAAGATTACAGGTGTGAGCCACTATGCCCATCCCTCCCTGTTTTCTAGTCTTCGAGGGCACCTTAATTCACTTCAAAACACACTCTCTTGGCACAAGGAACATGGAGGTGAACAGTACAGGTCTCTCCTGGCCTTCCTTACCGGTTGGGAGGGAAGGAAAGCCATGCCCTCGCTCATCCGGGCTTCCTTTCTGTGCACTGCAGGCAGATCATTTGCTTGCAAGGATGCAGGCTACCAAGGAAGCCATGGCCAGGCCTGGTGGGGAGCAGACGCCAGTAATGCTGCTGGGGCCACCGCTGTGGTATTCTGGGGTGCGAGGGCTTTGGCTCTCCTTCCCTTTGGGTGTCTTTCATTCTTGGGCTGTCCCTTCTGGGGAAAGGGAGTCCTAAGATTACTGATATTGTTAAGGGATCTTTGAGGAGGATGTTGATATTCTTCCTGGAAACTTCTGTGGCTCATGGGCCTTCACCTGAGTTCTAAATGAGGTACTCAGACAAGTGAAGGATGAAGAAGACAAAGAGAAGCTTTATTTAGTGTTAAAACAGCTCGGGAGATCCGCAGTGGGTAGCTCATCTCTGTAGGCAGGTTGCCCATCCAGTTCAGCTCTCAGCAGAGAGGAGGCCCTGGAAAGGGTAGCTCCTCTCCAGGAGGCTGGTTATTCCCACGTCTCTGCAGGTCTCTGAAGCTCTGAGCAGAAAGGATAGCCTCTCTCTGTAGCTGGTCTTCCTGTCCTCTCTCTGTCCTTCACCTTCTCTGCCCTGCTCTGGCCATCCTCTCTCTTGCTCTGGCTGAGCCCAGGGCTTTTATGTCGCTCAGAGGGGAGGAAGTGCATGCCCACTGGTCCATGGGTGGCCATGGGTGGGCCTGGAAGAGGCACCATGAGTCCGCACTCAGGTCCGCAGGACTGGCAGCCCAGCCCCCAGCCTTCAGGCCCTCTCTGGCCTGAAGGTGGGGCCTTACTGGGGTCCCCCGCTTCCACCCAGGAATCTGTCTGCCTCCTGCTGCCATTCATGACCCCTGGGGCTCGGCCCTAAGCCCTGCTCCAGTATCGGAGTGGGCGCCAGGACGGGAGAGAAACCAGGCAGCAGGAGCAGGGACAGGAGGCTGGGCGGTCTTCCCCAGCCGCCTTGAGGACGCAGGCTGCAGAGATGCACTGGGCCTGTGCCTGGGAGGGTGGCCGCAGCTGCATCCAGGAGCTCCTGTCCCACCAACCTGGAAGGGGCAGGACTCCCGCTTGTCCCCGGCTCCGGCCTGCTCTGTGAAGCGGGAGGCCCAGGTCTGCAGCCACAGTTTGGGGGACTGCAGCTGCACCCGCAAGGGCAGATCCTGCCTGCTCCCGGGCCCCCTTCAAGAGCACAGCGAGTCTTGGATCCACAGCCGCAGTTTGGGTGGCTGTAACCCTGCCCAGGAGGGCGGGGCGTTTGCCTGCTTCGTAGAGCAGGAGGTCTGGGTCTGCAGCCACGGTTTGGGCAGCTGCAGCGGCACCCAGGGAGCTACTGCCCCAGCTCAGAAGGGATGGGGCTCCCACCGGCTCCATGGAGTGTGCAGCCCACCGCTCTGCCTTCCTGCTGCCATCAGTATCTCCAGGTAAGGCAGGTTGCACTGGCTTTTGTGCCCTTCGTCCATCCTATCCTCAGCCTAGAGGTCTTAAGGGCTGAAAATGGAGTCAATAATTTGCCTTTTAGTGGAATTTTTGGCTAAGTTCCTAATGGTGCACTTCCAGCGAAGTGGGCATGCTTAAGTCTTTGTTAGAGCTTCCAAAATTCAGTACAGTAGAAGTTTCTCTCTCACTGGGGGACCTAGGGCAAGTAATTGAGCCCCATCTGAGCCTCAGTTCCTTTGTCTGTACAATGGGGATGGAAAATGCCAGAACCTATCCTACAGGGTCATTGTACGGGGCTTAGAACAGGCGCTGGTGTTGGCAGCCAGGAGCGGTGGCTCACGCCTGTAATTCCAGCACTTTGGGAGGCAGAGGCGGGCGGATCACAAGGTCAGGAGATCGGGACCATCCTGGCCAACATGGTGAAAGCCCGTCTCTACTAAAATACAAAAAATTAGCCAGGCGTGGTGGCACGCGTCTGTAATCCCAGCTCTTCAGGAGGCTGAGGCAGGGGAATTGCTTGAAGCCGGGAGGCGGAGGTTGCAGTGAGCTGAGATCACGCCACTCCACTCCAGCCTGGCAACAGAGCAAGACTCCGTCTCAAAAAAAAAAAAAAAAAAAAAAAAAAAAGAACAGGGGCTGGGGCTTGGGGGCAATTGCCCCCTAAATGTCAGCTCTTCTTATTACTTGGCCTGTCCTGGAAGCTGACTTTTTAAGGAGCAACTTTCTCTGCCTCTTTCTTTTTATTGGTTTTTATTTTCACTCATTCTAGTTGGAGGAGTAACTGTCTTTCTTTCATTCTTCTCCCTCCTTAGCCTCTGCCACACTCCTTGGGAGCCCAGCTCACTTTCTTCAGGAAAGGAAGCATCTGCAGTGGGGTTTGGAAATCTCATTGCTTGGGGGCCACTGGGGGTGCTTTGGCAGTGATGCCCCAGCCCAGAGAAGACCTCGCTTTCTTCTTTGAATTAACTGAAATCTCTGCCTCCCATGAGTTCTTGTCAGGAAAATTGCTCTCAATCACTTACAGCTATTTCCCTTTCCAAGGATCTAATTTTCCTAATTCCCAGAATGCTGCCCTAATTGTATTGTAGTTTCTGAGAAGGTGACGATGGTAGGGGCTGGGTGTATATGTGTGTATCTGTGTGTGTCTGTGTGTGTATCTGTTTGTGTCTGTATGTGTGAGGGTGTGTCTGTGTGTGTGTCTGTGTGTGTCTCTGTGTCTATGTGTAAGGGTGTGTTGTGTGTGTTTGTGTGAGAGGGTGTGTGTGTCTATGTGTCTGTGTGTGTCTGTGTGAGGGTGTGTGTCTGTGTGAGAGGGGGTGTGTGTGTCTGTGTGTATCCATGTGTGTGTGTCTGTGTGTGTCTCTATGTGTGAGGGTGTGTGTGTGTCTGAGAGGGTGTGTGTGTGTCTGTGTCTGTGTGTGTATCTGTGTGTGTGTGTCTGTGTGTGTCTCTGTGAGGGTGTGTGTGTGTCTGAGAGGGTGTGTGTGTGTCTGTTTGTGTCTGTGTGTGTATCCGTGTGTGTGTGTCTGTGTGTGTCTCTGTGTGAGTGTCTGTGTGTGTCTCTATGTGTGTCTGTGTGTGTCTGTGTGCGTCTCTGTGTGTGTCTGTGTGCATGTGTGTGTCTGTGTGTATTTGCCAAATGGGGTTCCCAGCACAGGGAATGGGGATCTCTTGGTGACTTCCTTTTAAAGCCTGCATTTTCCTGGACACTGAAGGTGTCCCAAAGACCCTGGCCTCCTTCCCGAGTCTCATCCACTGACCTGAGACAGTGGCTGGGAAACAGTCCTGGGGGTGAGGATGAGGCCACCTGATTTGACCAGGAATGAGTCAGAAACGTTGTGGACTTGAAGAAGGCCAGCTGGAGGTCTTGTTTTCAGCAGCCCTGCGGAGGGCAGGAAGGTTGGCAGAGGAGATGGCGTGAGCTCATGCCCAGTAGGACTACTGTGGCCCAGTAGGTCCCACAGAGCAATGTCCTCTCCTGTCTCCTGGCGTTTACTCAGGCCTGGTATGGCCAACTATTGTGGCCTCATCTGAAGCAATGTCTGTGTGCAGGGAAAATTCCAATTCTCTTCCACAGCTCAAACAGAACTTCTGGCACCAAATATGTGGGTTTTTCCACACTAAGCAATTCTCCAATTCTCTGCAGATACCAACTGGGCATCCAGTAACTCAACCCAATTCCCACAGGTGGAGGGCTGCTGCATTATTCCATAAGACCATTTCCCATGTCAGACACCAACTGCAGGTCGTGGGTCCCCAGGTTACCCACGCTTCTGTCCCACTTGGCTATAGATAAGAGGTTCCCAAAACCCCCTCCTTAGATTCAATCATTTGTCAGAATGGTTCACAGAACTCAGAGAAGCATGATTACTAGCTTATTATAAAGGATATTACAATTGGCTGGGCATGGTGGCTCACGCCTGTAATCCCAGCGCTTTGGGAGGCTGAGGCGGGTGGATTGCTTGAGTCCAAGAGTTGGAGACCAGCCTGGGCAACATGGCGAAACCCCGTCTCTACAAAAAATACAAAAATTAGCCAGACGTGTTGGCATGCGCCTGTAGTCTCAGCTACTTGGGAGGCTTAGGTGGGAGGATCATCTGAGCCTGGGGAGGCTGAGGCTGCAGTGAGCCGTGATCATGCCACTGCACTGCAGCCTGGGTGAAAGAATGAGACCTTGTCTCAAGAAAAAAAAAAAAGATATTACAACAGATACAGATGAACATCCAGATGAAGAGGCACATAGGGTGAGGTCTGGAAAGGTCCTGCGCTCGGGAATGTCTGTCCCCGTGGAGCTGGGGGGTGCCGTCCTCCCAGCATGTGGATGTGTTCACCACCCGGGAAGCTCTCCAAACCCTGCAGCTCAGGGGTTTTTATGGAGGCTTCATCACGTAGGCATGATTGATTTTTAACTCACTCTCCAGCCTCTCCCCTACTCAGAGGATGAGGGTGAGGTTCAAGGTTCCAAGCCTCTAATCATGGCTCTGGTGATCAGCCCCATCCTGGCACCAATCCAGAGTCATCTTGTTAGAACAAAAGATGTTCCTACCAACCAGGAAGTTCCAAGAGATTAGAAGCTCTGTGTCAGGAACCAGAGTCAAAGACAAATACAGTTGTCCTTCTGTGTTCATGGGGAATTGGTTCCAGATGATCCCCCTCCACTATAACCAAAATCTATGGATGCTAAATTCCCTGATATAAAATGGTGTAGAATTTGCATATAACCTATGTACATTCTCCCATATACTTTAAACAATCTTTAGATCAGTTATACCTAATACAAGCAAATAGTTGTTATACTGTGTTGTTTAGGGAATAATAACAAAGATCTACACAGTGTTCAGTACAGATGCAACCATCCTTTTTTTGTTGTTTGTTTGTTTTTGAGGCAGGGTCTTGCTCTGTCACCCAGGCTGGAGTGCCGTGGTATGATCTCAGCTCAGTACAGCCTTGACCTCCTGGGCTCAATGGATCCTCCCACCTCATCCTCCCAAGTAGCTGGGACTACAGGCATGTGCCAACACGCCTAGCCAATTTCTTTAGTTCTTATAGAGATGAGGACTCCCTTTGTTGCCCAGGCTGGTCTCAAACTCCTGGGCTTAAGGAATCCTCCCACCTTGGCCTCCCAAAGTGCTGGCATTACAGGTGTGGGCCACCACACCCACACCTAGCCCATTTTTTATTCTGAATATTTTCAATCAGAGATTGGTTGAATCCATGGATGCGGGACCCATGGATATGGAGGGCTAACTTTATAAGACCAAAAGATATATCTAGCATCCCTACCACTCAGGAAATTACACGGGTTTTAGGAGTTCTGGCTAGGTGCTGGAGACAAAACCCAAAATATATACTTTTTATTATATCACAATTATCACAGTCTGTGAAATCATGTATTTGATGAACTCACTGTATTTTTTTTTGAGACGGAGTTTTGCTCTTGTCGCCCAGGATGGAGTGCAATGGTGTGATCTTGGCTCACTGCAACCTCTGACTCCCTGTTTCAAGCAATCCTCCTGCCTCAGCCTCCCGAGTAGCTGGGATTACACCAGCTAATTACGCCAGCTATTACGCCAGGCACACGCAACCACGCTCAGCTAATTTCTGTATTTTAGTAAAGACAGGGTTTCACCATGTTGGCCAGGATGGTCTCGATCTCCTGACCTCGTGGTCTGCCTGCCTCGGCCTCCCAATTTTATATTAAATATATAACTATTGAAACAAAGTAATTCATGTTGCATTTCACCTAAAACCTCCCATCCCCCTAGTGGCAGCTGCCATTCTTTGGAAACTTGGCTTGAGCTTTGGGAGAGGGATGAGGGCGGAGTGCACATACGAAGTCCTTTTTGCCAGACTGGGAGCTGGGCAAGGACAGACTGTGCCCAGTCCTGTGCCTGGCACACAGAAGGTGCTTATGGCGACACAGTGTGGATAGAGGAAAAAGCACAGTCTCACATTCAGATCCGGGTTCAAAAACTGGCTGTGCTCTACTGTCTGTGCAATTTAAGGGAAGCTAACCTTGGTTTTCCAATATGTACAATGGGGATACCACCTGTCTTACAGTGGTGCTGGGAGGCTAAGTGGGATGGTATATCCAGGACTTAGCACGGAGTGAACTCTTAATAGATGCCAATTTCCTCTCTTTCTCTCTCCTGGTATTTTATTAACCAATTGGTGCTAAGCTGTTAGTGAGGTAATACGGCCATCTCCTTTCACAAAGGAATCTACATTTGGCCTCAAGGATCAATCTGAAGTCCTGGGATGGCAGGGATCAGCACTATGGTGGAGAGGCACTTAGGCTTGGAAGGTGGCCCCTATTGGGACCACAGTCTCGGTTTTCACAATGGCTGATCATGGCTGCTTCTGGCCAAAGAGGCAGGAGTTGCAATGGGGACCGCCTGCTTGTGAGCTCGCAACCTCAATTCTTCCAGGGGCAGGGTGGGTCCTACAATCTGGCAGCAATAAAACTGATCACAGGACTGAACTGAGACAGTAGGGAGTGGTGGTGCTTGTGGCAAACTGGAGAGTGCCTAACACATTCAAGCCCATCTGAAAGCAACACCACCATTACACTGGCTGAATGAGGAAGTCTGACCAGGCCAGGTGCCTCTAGTTGGAAACCCTAGAAGGGTTATTCCAGGCAGGAGTAATATTCACAATATTTACCCCCCAGAAGGCCTGGTTAAGAGACGCCAGTAACTCCCCATTTCAAGCCTCTCCACCACCTAAAACTCTGGGTAGAAGCAGGAACGAACTTTTCCCTGGGCCCCGAGGCCTGAAGCTGCCATGTTCTGCAGCCATTTAACACCCAGTCCATAAACAGTCGCCGCCTGCTGTACCCTCCCTGGGCTACTCTCTGGGCCTCCTTCCCTGAGGTCCAGCAGCTGGGAAGTGACAGCTTCCAGGCTGTGTGGGATCCTTGGCACGTGTGAGCTGCTCCCTCTACCCCTGGGAAGCCACATCCAACCCAAGCTGGCCTGGGCTGACCTCAAATCCCGGCCACCCTGCCAGAGGCGGCTTCCAGTCCTCGTTCCTGGAGCTCAATCAAGGGATCTGAATCCTTTTACTTCCGCCTCTCGAGCTCATGCCCGTTCCTGAGGGGAGGTTGGGCTTAGCAGTTGTGGCAGTAGCAGGCTGGGTGCGACCTTCTCTGAGAGTTGGCCTCCTACACCCGGGGTCACTGGTAGGACTGAAGGAGATGCGGATCTGCTTGGCACAATGAAAGTCCCGAACGTCAGGAAGGGAATCGTGCGGCTTGTAAAGCCACACGATCCACCGAGCTCTAATCATGCCACGAGGATGATCTGGCCCCTGCCCTGATCTCCTGGTGGGAAGCGTCCCTTACCCCTGATGTGCTCTGGTTTGGAAAGTGCTTCCACGTCTACACTCTATGGGATCCTGTTCACTGCCTCCAATGTAGGCAGGGCAAGAAACGTTCTATTTGTGTTGTAGGGACAAGCGGTCAAGGGGCTTACTTAAAGTCACATAGAAAGGTGAGGACAGAGTTAGGATGAGAACGCAAATCTCCTGGCTCCCTGGCTTTCCTCACTGCCTTCCACCCCTCATCCCACCTAAGCCTCCATCTCACCTCTCACAGCCCCCTGCTGGGGAATGCGGCGATAGGAATAGGCGCACTCCTCCCTATGAAACTGGTAAATGGTGGAGCTAGGAGAGGGAGCAGTGAGCATTTGAAACCCAGTAAAAGACTCGTATTTCAAGGCTCACAGAGCACTTCGTGTGTGATTCTCAAAGTACACCACCTGTGATGCAGCCCAGCCAAAAATGTGTAACTTGAATTCATTAAGTAGGGGATCCAACTAAATGACACCACATGGAAGCAACCAGAACATGGGGTGCCCTGCAAGACAAGCGGCCCAGCCTCTCCATGTTTCATCTCATAAAAGGAACACCGTGCTGGACTAAAAGACAGAGAAGGAAGGTAGCCACCAGGTGCAGTCTGTGGTACTGGATTGGACAGTGGTGTGGATGAAGTGGCTGTAATCAGGAAAGTCTGACTGTCATCTAGGTATTACATGGCAGGAACGTGTATTAAAATGGAAGGGAGACTGTGGACTGAACAAAGTGAGTTAGGAAGCTCCATGTTATCAGACAAATCCAAAAGGAGGATGTTCTGCAAAACAACTGCCTGGGCCATTCAAACATGTTAATCTCCTAAAGGATAAAAAGGCAGGGGAAATTGCCATAGACAGAGTGTTGCTGTACCCCAAATTAATATGTTGAAACCTAATCCCCACTGTAGGGTATTTGGAGGTGGGGACTTTGGTAGGTAATTAGGTCACAAGAGTGATGTCTTTATGAATGGGATTAGTGTCTGTATTAGTCTGTTTCCACACTGCTCTAAAGATAATACCTGAGACTGGGTAATTTATAAAGAAAAGAGGTTTGACTTACAGTTCCACATGGCTGGAGAGGCCTCAGGAAACTTACAATCATGGGGGAAAGCAAAGGGGAAGCAGGGCATGTCTTACATGGCAGCAGAGGAGAGAGAGCAAGCAATGGGGAAGTGCCACACTTTAAAACCATCGGCCCTCATGAGAACTCACCTGCACAGCATGGAGGAAACCACCCTCATAATCCAATCACCTCCAACCAGGTCTCTCCCTTGACACATGGGATTACAATTTGAGATGAGATTTGGGTGGGGACACAGAGCCAAACCATATCAGTGCCCTTAAACAAGAGGCCCCAGAGAGATCCTCCACCCCTTACACCATGTGAAGACATAGTGAAAAGACAGCCATCTATGAACCAGGAAGAGGGCCTCACCAGGTACTGAATCTGCTGGTGCCTTGATCTTGGACTTCCCAGCCTCTAGAACTGGGAGACATACAGTTCTGTTGTTTATGAGCCACTCAATTTATGGTATTTTTGTTATAGCAATCCAAATGGACTAAGACAGAAATGTTATAATTTAAAGGAGACTGAAGAGACGTGATGACTTAATGTAACATGTGACCCTCAATCGGATCCAGAAGATATGGAGGTGTGCCACCCAGATACCCCTGCAACGGGCTGCCTCCTACCGAGAATGTGGCCAGCAGACGGCCCCTGCTATTTGCTCTTCGGGATCTGCTTTGGCTGGAGAGCTGCCTTGCCCAAGGTCAGCCCCATGCATACTGATTCAGGAGGGGCCATCAAGGCCCTTCTGGCTCCATATAAGACAATGTGATGGGCAATTCTCACTCCAGAGCTTCCCCATCGGGTGGACTGAGGCTGTGTCAGGCCCATGTGGCAGTTCTTCCTCTGCTCAGTCCTGCTTCCTTTCCCAGGCACAGATGCCTCATGAGGCAGAGCTTGCAGTGAGCTGAGATGGCGCCACTGCACTCCAGCCTGGGCAATAAAGCCAGACTCCGTCTCAAAAACAAACAAACAAACAAACATTTTGTACCCCCAATCCATCTTGGTGTGAACTCCTGAATAACCCAACCTTTAGTGCCAACTGTAAGGGACAGGATTAGGAGGTAAGGATTAGGCAATTAAGGGACATTGAATATTAACTGTGTATTAGTTAATAATATTGTATCACTGTGAAATATGTTTTTTTTTTTGTTTTTTGTTTTGAGACTGAGTCTCGCTCTGTCACCTAGGCTGGAGTGCAGTGGTGTGATCATAGCTCACTGTTGCCTCAACATCCTGGGCTCAAGGGATTCTCCTGCCTCAGCCTCCCAATTAGCTGGGACTGCAGGTGTGCACCACCACGCCCAGCTAATTAAAAAACTTTTTCATAGAGATGAAGTCTCATTATGTTGCCGAATTTGGTCTCAAACTCCTGGGATCAAGCAATCATCCTGCCTTGGCTTCCTGAAGTGCTGGGATTACAGGTGTGGGCCACATGCCCAGCCTAAATTTCTTGGATGTGATAATTGTGTGTGGTGTAGATGGACATCCTTGTTCTCAGGAGATACATGCTGAGGTATTTAGGGGGAAGGGTCATGATATATGCAACTTAGTCTCAAATGGTTAATCTCTCTCTCTCTATATATGTATTACTCTATATGGGTCTCGCTATGTCTGGACATAGATATAGAGAAATCTATATAGACATTGGGGAGACAGACAAGACGAACGTGGCAAAATGGCACCAATTCATGAATGGGAGCCATTTTTTCAATTTATTGTAGGTTTGACATTTTCACAATGAAAGTTGAAAGGAAAAAAATCAATATGTATGGTGTGGCCTCATTTTAGTAAAAACAATACACATATATATTAATACACAGAAAAATCTGGAAGGATATAGACGAGCTATAGTGGTAGTCTCTGAGTGGTTGGAAATGTGTTATTTTTATTTGGGGATCATCAGTATTTTCCTGTTTTCTAAAATTCACATATATTGCTTTGGTAGTGAAAGATTATTAAAATAATTAATAAAGGCCTATGGTGCAGGAAAAGGTGGCCTCCTTTTGATCCAGGAGGGCAGTCTCCTGGAGCAGGGGCCGACGTCTCTGCTTCTCCCAACGAGTGAGGTGAAAATCCCAATAAAGTCACTTTCTCCATTGGCTGTTCCAGCCTCAGACCAAATTGGCACTGGCTTGATGGGTAAATCCACAGTAGGGAACAGCTGAGGTTGGCCTCCTGGTGGAAGGTGCTGGGTTAGTCCAAGGCTCAGGGCGCCCAGAGCTTGTCTATGGCCACAGTCACATGCAATTTTCAATTTCCAGTTCTGCTGGTGTGGGGAAAGTGTATGGGTATTGCTTTGAGTTATAACTATAGTTGAATTTTTTGTTTTTCCTTTTTGAGACAGAGTCTTGCTCTGTTGCCCAGGCTGGAGTGCAGTGGCGTGATCTTGGCTCACTGCCACCTCCGCCTCCTGGGTTCAAGCAATTCTCTTGCCTCAGTCTCCTGAGTGGCTGGGATTACAGGCGTGTGCCACCATGCCTGGCTAATTTTTGTATTTTTAGTAGGGATGGGGTTTCACCATGCTGTCTAGGCTAGTCTTGAACTCCTGACCTCAAGCAATCCACCCACCTTGGCCTCCCAAATTGCTGGGATTACAGGTGTGAGACACTATGCCCAGCCTATAGTTGAAATTTTTTTAACCCTTTTTTAATGCCTCTAGAAGGAAGATTTTAAAAAAATTTTTTTTTTTTTTTAATCGTTATGGTTTATGTTGCCTAGGCTGGCTTTGACCTCCTGGCTCAAGCGATCCTCCTGCCTCAGCCTCCCGAGTAGCTGGGATACAGGCATGCACCCCCCACGCCTGGCTTTTTCCATTCCTCTTGTGTGTTATTAGCCATAATCGGTTCTGATCTTTTTGTAAACTTGAAAAAAATCATTTCCCTCTTATCACATGTATTTCAGTCTGAGAAAGCTTTCTCTGCAATCCTTGGTTTACAGGGGATATTACATTCAAATACTGGTAGTGTGAACTCCAGAACTGTGGGAAACTTCAGCACTTTCTCAGTCCCCCACCCATGGCTGAGGCCCACCCTGAGGGCTCTGGTGAGCCTGGGGGTGGCACCACCCTTAAGGGAAGGGCTTAGGGAGGCCCAGAGCTGGGTCTGGGAGGGGCTCTGCCAGGGAGCCCGGAGAATCAGAACTGTCATTAAGAGCCGCAAAGGCTGGAGGAGGAGAGGGAGAAAGGAGGAGGAGTGAGACTGGTGGCAAGGAGGGGTAAAAGCCAGCCAGGGGAGGGGACAGAGGTGGGAACCTCGCTACGCTGAGCTCATGTGCCAGGCCCCCCCCACCAGTGCCGCCCCCCTCGTCTCTGCTTCTCACCCCTTTCTTTGACCCCACGCTGCTTGTTATGCCTGCCTCAGTTAGAACTCTTGTTTTTGTGGCCCATCCCTGGGAACCATCATCAATCAATCAGCAAATATTTGCTGCCCCTTTCTTAATTGCTTGGTGTTTAGAAGAAAGCTTTTTTGACAACTCAGCATGATAAGCACAGCGTGTAATTATTGGCTTCCCGGGAGCAGCTCTTGTTTCACACAGAGCATCTTTTTAGCCCTTTCATCTCTTTTGCTGGCCTAGGACATTCTGATGACAAACCTGGATGTGTCAGCATCATGTTTAAGGTGAACTTGGAGAGCATGGGGTCTTTCAGGCCTGTGTTGGCTGGGTCCCTGGGCACTGGGTCGGGTCTGGGTGGGAGAGTGCTTGCCCAGAGCAGCAGCAGGCCACACAATCCAAAGCGTGAGACACTCACCCGGATGTCTCCAGGTCCTGCACATACAACACAGCCCACTTTGAACTCATCATTTGTTCTTCAAACTATCTGGTGTTCACAGAGCCCTTCTCTGAGCACTAGACTGGTTTAGGGTCTTGCCACGTGTTCTTGCAGGCCCTTCTAATTCCTATCACTCATCAGATTTTTATTTTATTTTATTTTATTTATTATTATTTATTTACTTATTTTTAGAGATGGAGTCTCACTCTGTTGCCCAGGTTGGAGTGCAGTGCTGCAATCATGGCTCACAGCAACCTCAAACTCCTGGGCTTAAGTGATCCTTCTACCTCAGCTTCCTGAGTAGCTGGGACTACAGGCATGCACCACTGTGCCCCGCTAAATTTTTAAATTTTTAGCAGTGATAGAGGTCTCCCTATGTTGCCTAGGCTGGTCTCAAACACCTGGGCTCAAGCAATTTTCCCACCTCAGCCTCCCAAAGTGCTGGGATTACAGGCATGAGCCACCGCACCTGGTCTCTTAGTATTCTAATTGCTTAACAACCTTCTCTAAGGGCACCTAAGTTCACATGAACAGGGACCAGATCTACCTTGTTCAACACGGACCCTTTATACTTGGCAGTTGGTAATGCCCTGGCAATATTTGTGGAATGAATAACAGAATAAAAGTTCAAGCCACAGTTGAAGAAGGAAGCCAGAAATCTGTTCAGAAGGGAAGCAGCCTCACGTACAGGCCCATGGCCATAGCCAGAGAGAAAATGAGGGACAGCGAGCCACGGTCAGGTGCAGGCTGGGAGGTGACACCAGGCAACCATGGTTTGGGCCATAAACTATGGGCAGGGGAGAGCGCTGGGATGTGGTCACACAGAGAACAAACCTCATGGTGAGCTGGGCAGCCTAGAGACACACTCCCACCGATCACCAGCCAGGTGTGGCTGAGTCCAAGAGACTGAGGCTGTAGTGAGCTATAATCATGCCATGGCACTCCAGCCTGGATGACAGAGTGAGATCCACCTTTAAAAAATAAAAATAAGAAATAGAAATAAAACCCCAAAAAACTGAGTTGTGTTAGGTTGTTATTTTTATTATTTTCAGGTCAAAGAGTCTTGACTAACACAAAGGCTTTGTTCTAAAGGAGGGAAGGTGATTGTAGTTTTGTCCATTCTGTCTTGAATGAGAAGGAACATTATCCCCAAGGGCATACTGACCAAGATCAAGGGAGCCCCAATATTGTATGGCTCGGGCTCATTGATTTCTTTTCAGGGCTCTCTGCGCTGCATTCCCACTGCTGACATGAGCTGTGGCATTTTTTCCATCAAGTGGAATCTGAGTCTCTCAAGTCTTTGGAGTTATTTGAAGAAACTGAGGTCCTTTCATCTCTTCTGGTTTCCTTGGAGCTTGTTCTATTCCCTTTCATCTCCAACTCATTAAGATGGAAAGGTGTAATGGCGTCAGATCCAGGAGTCTGGATGTGCATGAAAGTACACAGGCGATTCTGAGCAACCTCAATAGTCATCTATGTTCTACTTCCTTTAGCATCACAGGCTGCTTCTCTTTTTTTAAAAAAAAAATATACCTGGGTGAGTGGGACACCAGGTATGTGCTAGAGGTACAGGAAAGGGGCTGTTTACATTTAGTCAGAGGCACAATGGGTTCCTTCTTCCTTTCTTTCAGCAAAACCTTCATTTTAGCCCACAGTTCCCAATTTGTTGTGCACCTGAGGAATGCCCCCTGCAATCTGAGTCTTACGGTTGTTAGGAAGTCTGCTCACCTCCTCCTCAGCTGGTCCCTCTCCTCCTTCAGAAAAGCGCTGGAAGCGCTGCAGGGCCTCCCTGCTTGAGTCCTTCCTGGTCAGTCAATCCAGCATTTGTTGTTTCTCATGTGCTCTTTTATTTCTTTGAGTCCCCAGTGGACGATACATTAGTTGGGGGCAAGAACAGTGTATCCCTAGATTTCCTTTAGGAACATCACAGAAGGCCAGGCAGTGATTCAGGGTTTTAATCCCAGTTACTCGGGAGGCTGAGGTGGCGGGATCTCAGAAGGCCAGGCAGTGATTCAGGGTTTTAATCCCAGCTACTCGGGAGGCTGAGGTGGCGGGATCTCTGAAGCCCAGGAGTTGGAGGTTGCAGCGAGCTATGACCGCAACACTGCACTCCAGCCTGGGCGACAGAGTGGGACCCTGTCTCTTAAAAAAAAAAGTATAGAAAAATAGGGAATGAGGGGCTCAGGGCAGTTTAATGGATGCTGGGGCATGTCAAGAGTTTTATCATCAATGTAAGGAAACTGAACTGGAAGAAACTTACGCTGCAGTATGTACTTCTAGGTTACAAAGACTGAGAGCTGTGACCCACTTTGGGTTTTCTCTTCATACAATGCATAAGAAGAAATAAAAGATGATGTTTCTCTAGTCTCTACTTAGTTTATCTTTGCTCTAATTTTTATTATTTATAATATTATTTGATAATATTTATATTTCCTTCCTTCTGCTAACTTTGGGGTTAGCTTGTTCTTCTCTTCCCAGTTTGTTTAAGTGTGAAGGTGAAGTTAGGTAGCTGGTTCAAGATCTTTTTTTTTTTTTTTAATCTTTTTAATTTTTGGAGAGGGTCTCGCTTTGTTGTCCAGGCTGGAGTACGGTGGTGTGATCTTGGCCCACTGCAACCTCTGCCTTCTGGGTTCAAGCAATTCATGTGCCTCAGCCTCCTGAGTAGCTGGGATTACAGGCATGCACCACCACGCCTGGCTAATTTTTCTATTTTTAGTAGAGACAGGGTTTCACCATGTTGGCCAGACTGGTCTTGAACTCCTGGTCTCAAGTGATCCAACTGCCTTGGCCTCCCAAAGTGGTGGGATTACAGGTGTGAGACACTGCACCCGGCCTAGAGAGCTTTATTTTTAAAATGTGTTTACTACTATAAACCTCCCTCTGAGCACTGCTTTTACTACTTCACATAAGTTTTGGGATGTTGTGTTTTCATTTTCAGTTTCTGTTTCAAGATACTTTCCAATGTCCCTTGTGATTTCTTCTTTGACCCACTGGTTAAGAGTGTTAATTTCCACATATCTGTGCATTTTCAGGTTTTCCTTCTGCTATTGATTTCTAGTTTCATTCCATTGTGGTTTAGAAAAGATATTTTGTATGATTTTAAACTTCTTAAATTTGTGAATACCTGTTCTGGGTCCTAATGTGTGTTCCAGCCTGGAGCACATCCTGTGTGCCCTTGAGAGGAACGCGTATCCTGCTGTTGGTGGTGACAAAGACTCCTTAACTAAACGTCAGATTCCTCCGGCCTTCTAGGCCTCAACCTTGGAGTCTGTCCTTGTTCAGGCCTCCGTCACCCAGCTGTAGCAGAAATCTTCATAAGTCAATGTGGAGGACCCCCATCCCCAACCTCAGTATCTAATCACCCTCGATATTGGCTCGAATTCTTCTCCCACCCCTCACCCCCAGGTAATGCCTGCCCACTCTAACCTGCCTTTGGGGAGAATCCTGTTACATCTGATGAACCAGAATCCCTCTGCACCCCTCGCATACTCTCCGTAATTTTCCACCTGCTGCCCCCACCCTGCTCCTGGCCACCGTCCCTACTTGTTCATGCTGTATTCGGAAGTGAGCCCAGTTCCACACTGAGGGCTCTTTCCCCAACAGCAACAGTTCCTGAATAAAATCTGTCTTTACTGCTTTAACTACTGTCAGGCGTGGTTTTTTTAAAATTGGGAAGAGGATGGTTTTGAATATTCACATAAATGTGCCAGTGCCCACACAGGCTCTTTTTGGGCTTATCTCTTAGCATTTGCAGATAAAAATTGTGCTACGTAACTTCACCACAAACTAGTCAACCCATCACATCTGAACAAAAAGTCAATGGCGACGTGCAGCCAATGCTCTTGGGGGTCTGTCTAGAGCTCCAGGGGGTTGGCAGGAGTTGTGGGCCCCAGGAGGATGTGAGATCAAACTGAAGCTCTTGATGGTATCTCTCTCACACTGTTGAAATGACCTTCTGGAAGAACAAGAGGCCCCTTGATTGCTTCTTGATTTGACAAAAATAAACCATATAAAAAAGATTTCAGGACAAATAATTTAAACAGACATCCCTCAAAAGAAGACATACAAATGCAACAGGCATATGAAAAACTGCCCCAAATAACGAATCATCAGATAAATGCAAATTAAAAGCACAATGAGATATAACTTCACACCTGTTAGAACGGCCATTAAAGGAAAACCCTGCACACTGTAGGTGGGCATGTAAATTAGTACAGCAATTATGGAAAACAGCACGGAGGTTTCTCCAAAAATTAAAAAAGTGGATCTACTATATGATCCAGCAGTCCCACTCTGGGTATTTTCCAGAGGAAATGAAATCAATATGTTGAAGAGATATCTGCATTCCCATGTTTACTGCATAGCACTATTCACAATAGCCAAGATACAGAATTTACCTACGTGACCATCCGTGGAGGGAAGGATAAAGAAAATGTGGTGTGTGTGTGTATATATGCATACCCACATGGGATAATAGTATCCCGTTACATATAATAGGATACTACCGAGCATTAAAAAAGAAGGAAATCGGGCTGGGTGCAGTGGCTCACACCTGTAATCCCAGCACTTGGGGAGGCTGAGGTGGGCGGATCATGAGGTCAAGAGATTGAGACCATCTTGGCCAACATGGTGAAAACCCATCTCTACTGAAAATACAAAAATTAGCTGGGCGTGGTGGCATGTGCCTGTAGTCCCAGCTACTCAGGAGGCTGAGGCAGGAGAATCGCTTGAACCTGGGAGGCAGAGGTTGCAGTGGGCTGAGATCGCACCACTACACTCCAGCCTGGTGACAGAGCGAGACTCTGTCTCAAAAAAAAAAAAAAAAGGAAATCGGCCGGGCACCCCAGTGGCTCATGCCTGTAATCCCAGCACTTTGGGAGGCTGGGGTGGGCAAGTCACCTAAGGTCAGGAGTTCGAGACTAGCCTGGGCAACATGATGAAACTTAGTCTCTACAAAAACTGCAAAAAATAGCTGGGCATGGTGGCATGTGCCTGTAATCCCAGCTACTTGGGAGGCTACGGTGGGAGGATCACTTGAGCCCGGGAGATCAAGGCTGTAGTGAGCTGTGATGGTGCCACTGCACTCCAGCCTGGGAAACACAGCAAGATCCTGTCTCAAAAAACAAACAAACAAACAAACAAACAAAATGGTTAAATTCGTTAAAAGAGAAAAAAAAAGAGAAAGAAAAACGCAGGAAAAGAAACCATAGAAAAAGAGCAGGCAAATTTTTAAAAGAACTAGGCCAGGTGCAGTGGCTCACACCTGTAATCCTAGTTTGGGAGGCCAAGGTGGGTGGATCGTTTGAGCTCAGGAGTTCGAGACCAGCCTGGGCAACATGGCAAAACTCCGTCTCTTAAAAAAAAAAAAAAAATTAAAGGGACTAAATAGGATTTCTGGAAATAAACAATATAATCATTCACATTAAGTACTCATTAAGTACTCATTGGGCAGTTACACAGAAGATGAGACGTGGCTAAGAGAAAATGTGTATCACAATGAAAATATGAAGACATGGAAATACTGAAAGTTAAGAAACATGAAAGAATTTTCCAGAATGATACTTATCTTTAGACTGAAGAAGCATATGGAATCACAAGAAAAATATAAAAATAAATACACATGTAGACATATTGTAGTGAAATGGCTAAACAATATTGTGGAATCAGTTAAGTGGGAAAAGACAGATTAAAGATATGGGAACTTAGGTTTATAAAAGAAGTCATGATCATGATCATGAAATAAGCACTGTGGGAAAGGAACAGTCAATGCAGTCTTTCATACCCAGATAAAGTATCATACAAGAAGGAGGAAACAGGGATTTTCCGAAAAGCAAAAACTGAACAGATCACCCAGCAGTGTCAATAAATAATTTTTAAAGGAAGGCAGAAGGAAAGTGATCCCAGATGTAAGGTCGGAATGCAATAAAGTATGGAGAGAAAATGAGCAGATAAACATAGAGAAAAATCTAAGTATTTACCATAAAAACAAAAACATTGGGGTGGGATAATGGACTCAGCTCTGTCTGCTTAATGCCATTGTGCAGAGAAGTACCCTAATGCATAAGCTTTTTAATGCTGTAAAATATAATAGCTGAAATTAAATGCCACTTTTTTCAGAGGTGAATTAACGGACAGTCTGGTGAAATTCACAAGCTTTTTGATGTATAAAACTTGATAAATGGAATGGGTCCATCAATAGGCAAAAGTGTAGCAATGTATCTAGATGAATAGTATGTAATTTCTGCACAGGTCTCTGTTTAGTAAATACATCACTGTATACCAATCAGGAATCTTGCTCCAATAAAGGAACATAAAGATTTAAAAAACTGGCCATTTTGGGGAAATATAAAAAACAAGTAACTAAAATACTAAATGAAAATAACATAAGATGGAAGAGGGGTGAATACGGCTCAGGCGTTGTATGGTTCTTGTTTTGTTCAGAAAGAGGGTAGAAATAGCAACTGTAGATTTGATATAGGCATGAGAAACTCTGAAGATCAGCCACAAGTGTTAGAGAAACAGCAGTTAACTTCTAACTAATACCCGCAGGGGAACGATCACCACCATGGTCAGGATCTCTGGGGGAAAGTAAAGCCAGGAGAGGACCGCAGTGGGGTGTAATTGTGTTTACAGACATAACTTCTTTAGCAGGGTCCAGGTATGTTGGTACTCATTGTTCTCCAAACCCTTTCATAAGTTTGAAATATTTCTTTAAAGTAGAATTCAACAGTTTTTAGTGTAATTTTGTTTTCTATAGCAGTGGTTCTCAACTGGGCTTGACTTTGCCCCTCTCCTTCCCTGTATCACCTTCTCAGAGGAGACTCTGGCCATGTCTGGGGACAGTTTTGCTCATCACTGCTGGGGGTGGTCTGCTGCCCCTTGCAGTGCACAGGCTGGCCCTCCCACCGCGAGGAGTTACCCAGTCCAAAACATCAGCAGTGCTGAGCTTGAGAAACCCTATCCTTTAGGATCAGAATATGTGTTTTTTCAAAAGTTAGATTTTCTCCTTTGCTATTTAAAAATAAATGGAAAAGCAGAAATAACACATGGTGACTTTGTAGCACTTTTCATGTACATAATCAGTTTCAGAAAGTAAAAATGCTTGATGAAGTCATCAGGAAAATCCCCAACTTCATAAATGGGCAGCATAATATTTTAAAGTGTTAAAAATTAATCTTTGGTTGATTGCTAAAGTAGCATGAACATAGCCACAACTATGGTGGGATGCTCTTGATTGGAGTTTCTTTATAAGATGAAGTTTCCAAGAAACAGTTAATTGCTTTCAGTTTCTCCATCTTCAAGAAAGGGACAAAAAGGTAACTGATGAAGCTGTTTCTGTTTTCTTGCTAGTGGAACATTAGTATTCGACAGTAGTACTGTACTAAATTCTGGGGCTGCTACTGAAATGTCATTAAATCCCAACTTTACACATCTGGCACGCTGCCTAAATGCAGCTCAGTGTGTTAAAGCGTAGATTACAGTCCAACAAATCAATGCTCTCGAATTGTGGGTTTATGTAAACCTGCAATTAAAAACAGTGTGCAATCACTTTCTTTGCCTACCTGATGAGGGGAAGAGAAGCAAGCTGTTTTTTTTCAGGGCAAAGAGGTGAGAATGCCAGCTTAAAACAGAAGCATTCCCCGGCGCATGCTTTAAGACATGGCTTTGGATAAAGGCAGTTTCTGGCTGGGCATAGTGGCTCGCGCCTGTAATCCCAGCACTTTGGGAGGCTGAGGCGGGTAGTTCACCTGAGGTGGGTAGTTCACCTGAGGTCAGGAGTTTGAGACCAGCCTGGGCAACATGGCAAAACCCTGTCTCTACTAAAAATGCAAAAATTAGCTGGGTGTGGTGGCACACGCCTGTAATCCCAGCTACTTGGAAGGCTGAAGCACAAGAATAGCTTGAACCCGGAAGGTGGAAGTTATAGTGAGCTGAGATTGCACCATTGCACTCCAGCCTGGGTGACAAAAGGAGACTCCATAAAAAAAAAATCTGTGAGTTATTTGTGGGTAATGGGGAAAAGCCAAGAAATGAGGCAGTGGCCAGGTGCGATGGCTCACTCCTGTGATCCCAGCACTTTGGGAGGTTGAGGCGGGTGGATTGCCTGAGGTCAGGAGTTCGAGACCAGCCTGGCCAACATGGCAAAACCCCGTCTCTAATAAAAATGAGCCGTGTGTAATGGCAGGCACCTAAATATTCCAGCTACTTAGAGGCTGAGGCAGGAGAATTGCTTGAACCAGGAGGCGGAGGTTGCAGTGAACGAGATCACGTCACTGCACTCCAGGCCGGGTGATAGAGACTCTGCCTCAAAAAAAAAAAAAAAAAAAAAAAAAATGGAGGCAGTAACAGCAGGACAGGAACAGTGTATGGCATGTGGGGAGTGCTTATTTTTAAATGATGGAGAGAACACCCACAGGGCTCCTGCGGAAAGGCAGGCCCTTCTCCCACCCCTGCAGAAGAGCAGCTCAGTGAGGTCCTTCCAGAAGCAGAGACTGCCATCTAGCAATTAAAAATGGCAGGATGGGGAACAACAGAGGCTCATTTGGTGCCTCTCTTGCAGAGTTTGGAGTACAAGGAGGTGCTTCCAAAGTAACAGGCACCATACTATTTCTAGTGGCAAAGAGCTGACTGATTCATATTAGAAAAGGACTTAGGCTAGGCCGGGCATGGTGGCTCATGCCTGTAATCCCAGCACTTTGGGAGGCCGAGGCGGGCGGATCACGAGGTCAGGAGATTGAGACCATACTGGCTAACACGGTGAAACCCCGTCTCTACTAAAAAAATACAAAAAAAATATAGCCGGGCGTGGTGGCAGGCACCTGTAGTCCCAGCTACTCGGGAGGCTGAGGCAGGAGAATGGTGTGAACCCGGGAGGCGGAGCTTGCAGTGAGCCGAGATCACACCACTGCACTCCAGCCTGGGCAACAGAGAGAATACTCCTTCTCAAAAACAAAAAACAAAAAACAGAAAAGGACTTAGGCCATAAGTATACCCACAGGGCAAAACAATGTCAGCAATAGCAGCTTCCTTCAAATTCAAAGGAAAAATTTATGCACTGATACAGTTAAAGACATAATTTTATCTTTTATAGCAGGTAGCTGTGGCTGTCAGTCAGCTATCAAAAACAATTCAGAAAGAAAAACTTTCCTGACTTGGTCTTTTAATCATTTTGGTCAAAGCAAAGCAAAAAAGAGCATTCTCTTCCAGGAAATCTTATTTATGTATATATTTTTTATCATAATAGAAAAATCTCTGTATAGAACTGCTTTGGCTACACTTCTCATCTTGAGGGTAGAATGTGTTCTGGACACAAAAGGCTTTTCTTTCTCAGTGACACACCTGCCTTTTTGTTGTGTTTTTTTGTAAATCAGTTGTCCCAAGAATCTTCTCAATGATAGAGTTGCAAATCAGCCATGCCTTCTAGGAAACCCAATGTTAATATTACATAATTGGAAATATGAAAGAATATAGAATCAGAATAAAAATTTTATCCTTTATTCATTTTTAGATAATTTCATCTTACTCAAAGGAGATTTGGTGACTTAAAAGGGACAGTATTCAAGAGTTAGAGTTTAATTGTAATCTGATTTACATTTCAAATACAGAATCATCAAATTTCAATATCTTTTGCTGTCCTTGAGAGAGATAATGTATTTGGTTAAGTGTTTTTATTTAAGGTAAGACTAAGATAGCTGACAGGTGCTCATGCGGGAGGAAGACCAGTTCGCCTTATTTCAGTTCTTCAGATGCTGGCAGACTCATTAAGATGCTGAAATTTGTATTATGCCTTTTTCTTTTTCTAGCTTTGTATTAGTTATCTGTAACTGCATAAAAATTATCCCCACGTTTAGCACTTAAACAAACATCTTGGTTTGTCTCTCACAAGGCTGCAATCATCTCAGGAGTTCCACTGGGGTGGATCCCCTTCCAAACTCATGTCTTGTTGGCAGGATTCAGTTGGAGGCCGTTGGAATGAGGGCCTCAGTTCCATGTTAGCTGTCGGCTGGAAAGTTCTGCTTCTTGTCACATGGGCCTTTCCAAAGAACACCTCACCTTCTGAGCAGGAAAGCATGAAAGTTAAGAGTGGGCGAGGAGACAGAAGCCAGAGCCTTTCTGCCACCAAACCTCAGGTGTGCTCTCTCCCTTCCCCCATGTTCTACTCCTTAGAAGCAGGTTACTAAGTGCAGCTCACACCCAAGGACAGGAGGTTAAACAAGAGTGCACACCAGCGGGCAGGCTTCACTGGGAACCATCTCAGAAGCTGCCTACCACTAGCTTTGTTGTTTCAGATGAAAAGCTAATGACTGAGGAAGTGACTGCCTGCACACATGGATTTGAAGGGCGCAGGGCTACACATCAGCACCAGCTGCACATTTCCTATCTGTTCCTTGTGCTCATTCTCAGAGTGGAATTTTCTTATAAGGTGTAAACACAACAGTGATAAAATAACTCAAGGGTACAGAAAGAATTCCCCTACTATTCACATAATTTTTTGGTTTGAAATTTGTGAATACTTCTCTACACCACCACTTAATAGGACCAATATTATCAATGGAAAAATAAAGCAAGATTTGGAAAGCATGGCTGAATACCTAGATTTCTGATGAAAATTCCTTTAGCAATCAACAACTACTCAAAATGTTTCAACATGCTTGTAATCCCAGCTCTCTGGGAGGCCAAGGCAGGATTGCTTGAGCCCAGGAGTTCGACACCAGCCTGGGTAACACAGTGAGACTTCATTTCTTAAAAAAAAAAAAAAAAAAATTCAGCTGGGCCAGGAGCAGTGGCTCACTCCTGTAATCCCAACATTTTGGGAGGCCTAGGCGGGCAGACTGCTTGAGCTCAGGAGTTCCAGACCAGCCTGGCAACATGGCCAAACCCTGTCTCTACAAAAATAATTTTAAAAAATTAGCCAGGTGTGGTGGTGCGTGCCTGTAGTCTCAGCTACTAGGCAGGCTAAAGCGGGAAGATCTCCTGAGCCCAAGAGGTCGAGGCTGCAGTGAGCTGAGATTGTGCCACTGCACTCCAACCTGGGTTACAAAGCAAGACTGCCTCAAAAGAAAAAAAGTTTCAATAAAATGTGTACTGGCTCAGAGGCCTAAATGGCATCAGATATTGTGGAGTATGACAAAGGTTGGAGGGTAAGAGAACTTTTAAATAACACTTGTTTCTTGATCCTAAATAACACAAAGTAAAATTGCTCTGTAACAATTTACAGAGACAGACCAGTGGTAAACCTTCTTTCTTCTTCCTCTGTGCCCTGATCTGTGCCTGATGCTTGTGAAACTCAGAGGAGTTTCTGCCTTCTTTTGCTCCCCACTCCGTGTTCACCTGTCTTGAGGTATACTCATCCATGTTTCTAAGCTGTGTTATGGCTGGTGCACTGTGCACCCCGAAAGAACAGCTTGGCTCTCCAGCCCACTCTGTGACAGTCCTCACTGCCTCTTCAGTGACCGGATGCAGCAGACTGCAACCTGCAGGCAACCTGGGACAAAACGCATTTTTTTCTTTAGTTCATCTTCACTTGAAGATTAATGAATTTGAAAACATAAAATGGTTCTAAGTGTAATAAAATAAAGTTGCCCTTATCATAACTAGGATTATTGTATTTTGGAAGCTAGTGGATAGGAAATGCCAACTTTGCCCCGGAAGGAAATACAGATTCTGTTGGTATAAGTGATCTAAATTATTTGCCACTTCTAGACTTTAGAAATTGAGGCAAGCAAGGAAATCAGAACAAGTTTTTAATTCTAGTTCAAGAGTCAAAATTCTTTTCTATAAAATGCCAAATCTAGGATTAAGCATATTCTCATATGGCCTGGAAGTTCATCTCTAATAAAAATCTACTGCTTTTAAAAAGCTTACACTAGACAGTGCATACTAAACATGCACCCTAGTCATTAGCTTTTTAGGCTTTGGTAGTCATTAAACCAATTGCAAAAATACATTTTTAAAAAGTTAAAGTAAAGCAAATTCAGAGTTTTGAATTATTAGCAGAGGTATATAAAACATAAGTGATTTTGCAGAAAACTAAAATATCCAAGATAATCTTGTTATTTACAGTAACTCAAACTCCAATCATTCTCCAAAACTCAAGAGATATGGCACACAAATATTTAATTTCTAGAATACACGTCTCCTTTAGATTTAAAAAAGATCAAAAAAGCAAGAACACAGGAGCTCTTCCTGCCTAGTATCGAGCCTGTATACTGTTAACAAACATTGCTTAGTAAGAATTCACGGTGCCAAGGAATCATGGCAGCAAAACTGTAGAACACAATGTTACATACATTTAAAGAAAAGGGGAAATATAATGCATTGAAGAAATTACAGAATAAATTACATTTCAATTCAGAATGATTGACAAGCTTACATGGGCTGCTAAACAGAAGTGCTTGACTTTTAAAACGTACAGCTGGGCTGGGCGCCTTGGCTCACTCCTGTAATCCCAGCACTTTGGGAGGCCGAGGCGGGCGGATCACGAGGTCAGGAGATCGAGACCATCCTGGCTAACATGGTGAAACCCCGTCTCTACTAAAAATACAAAAAATTAGCCGGGCATGGTGGCGGGCGCCTGTAGTCCCAGCTACTCGAGAGGCTGAGACAGGAGAATGGCATGAACCCGGGAGGCGGAGCTTGCAGTGAGCCGAGATCACGCCACTGCACTCTAGCCTGGGTGACAGAGCGAGACTCTGTCTCAAAAAACAAAAAAACAGAAAAACAAAAACAGAAGGCCAGGCGCGGTGGCTCACGCCTGTAATCCCAGCACTTTGGGAGGCCGAGGCGGGTGGATCACGAGGTCAGGAGATTGAGACTATCCTGGCTAACACGGTGAAACCCCGTCTCTACTAAAAATACAAGAAATTAGCCGGGCATGGTGTCGGGCGCCTGTAGTCCCAGCTACTTGGGAGACTGAGGCAGGAGAATAGCGTGAACCCGGGAGGCGGAGCTTGCAGTGAGCCGAGATCGCGCCACTGCACTCCAGCCTGGGCGACAGAGCGAGACTCCGTCTCAAAAAAGAAAAAAACCAGAGTACTGGGGTTCTTGAGACACTGGTGCTGAGTTCACTTCTGTGGGCTTCAGTCTTCTCATTCATACACTTGGGCTAGATAGGTCTTTCTTGGATCTTTAAAACCACCAAAAACTCAATGATCCTTCTGGGTCTAATCAGTGTGATTCAAGGCATATTATTTTTAATGTCATATAATTCATGTCACTTGCAATAAAGTGACATGAACAATATATAGCAGACCCCATTTTGCAATAAGAGTATAATCTCCTTTGAGAATTATTCCTGAAATCACAACCAGGCTTCTCCCGTCCCCTCTCATCAGTGAACACACTCCTCAAACAGGGAAGCATTCTTCTCATCAGACATTGGCAGAACCATACAAATGTTCAGAGGCAGACTTTCAGGAGGTTCTTTTAAAGTCTAACAATTCTATGAAACATGACAAAGACACTGACATAAGCGCTGTCGGGTTAAAGGAGTCTTTGAAATCTCTTTTGTGATGTGAAATGTGAACATTCTTTGCCTTTTGTTAAACGTTTAGATTGACACTCTCCCCACACACAAAAGGAATATCACATCTTATTCCTACATGCTTTAGATGTTGGGATTAGTAGGTTTCCTGCAATAGATCTGTGGGCATTTGGGGGATGATGCGGTGAATTGCAGATGGAAGATAATGGTGACAGTATTATACAGGTATACTTAATGCTGTTTCTGAATTGAAGATATTTATCCCTTCCAGATTTGCATTTTGTGTTCAACACTGGGACACTGTGTGGGGTACCCTGCGTGACAGTTAATACTGTGTAATGAATTCCACAAGATTGCTAAATTTCATGTCTTCTGTTATTAAATTTTATGGCTTTCATTTTAGTAAGCAATTTATAAAGTTTTCTCACTGATCTCAAAGATTAAAGGCTGTATATACAGCAATTAGCATTATTCTGGCAATAATGCCTAAGATTTATTAGTTCCATTCTTACCTCTTCCAAAAGCATAGAGAAGTTTAATAAATAAATGAGATCTAATGCCCATCTATGATTCAATGAAGGTGTATAACATGTGACAGGCTAAGGCTGGCTTAGCTATTGATCATCTGGTTCTTTAGTTCTATCCCTGAAAATACAGACTGACCCTAAACCAATGTTCCTAGACGACATTAAGTTGTGCCTTCACTGGGTTAAGAAGCACCATTATAACCTCTGTCTCCATTTTGCATCTTTTTTACATTCTGAAGAAATGTTCCTATATACAGACCCTCATGCTGTAGTTCAAGAGGAAATTAGCCTCTGCACATAAGTTTTTTTACTGTGAAAAGCAAAAAGTGTTTTAGCAGCCAGAAAATTCAGAACCAAACTTACTGTCTAAATGTTACTTGCTACATTGACTCGTATAAAACTGTGTACTTCTATTTTACTGTTATGTCTTCTTTAAAGGCTCTGTATTTTGTAGGCCTCTTCAAGACCTTATAAATAGAAATCAAATTTCAAAAACAAAAATGTAGTTACAAGTGACTATAGTTTAGCATACTGTATTATTTGCTATTATAATCTAAAGATTAAATATAGGTTTAACAGCTATTTTAAAAAATGAATAATTTTACATAGAAAATATGCTAACTTCCCTTTTATCATCATAAGATCATAGTTGTTGTTATATTAAGTATTTATTATGCTGTTCAAATGTTAGCTGGTGTAAGTTACCTACTAAAATGCTTATTCAGCATAACTACTGAAAAAACTTAGCTGTCTCTGGTATTAGTTCATTGAATATTATATGCATCAAGTCTTTTCATGTTTCCACGTTATATTTTTAAAACAAGAAACTAGGCTGACTTAAAAAAATTTAAATCATGAATACATTATGTATAGGTTTTTCTGTCTCCTAAATATTATCTACTTTTTTAAAAAACAAAAATTTTGATACAAGAAAGCACTCTGAGGCAGTATATGTGTATTAAATTTAAGGTCACAATTTTCACTAATCTGAGAAAACACATATATGTAATATTTAAAAGTTAATGAAATCCAGTGAAACTTCAACTTATTTCATTGAGAATTTACTAACAAAATATAGAAAACAAGAATTTACCTCTTTTAAATGGCATGTCTGTATTACTTACAATTTGATAAATGAGTTCCTTTCCATACATACCTTAAGATCCACAACCTTGGTGGCATAAATAACATGATTAAAGGGTCAGGTACAATGTATATTTTAATATGGGATTTGTGTAGTGATTTAGAGCATAAATATCACACAGTGAAAAATTTATCACAAACTAAATACAGTAACAAAAGGAAAGAAAGAGCTTATGTCCACATTTCCAAGGTCTTTACAATAAGTTATAGCGTCCAGGTCCAACACAGCATATTTGCATACAAAGCCACTGATGTGAACACTGAAAGGAATCTGTCCTGTAGGTCTTTCATCTTGATTTAATAAAGTTTGTACAGTATCAAATAATATCAAAAGTCTAAAAAACACAATGAGCTTTTATGTTTATAAATTATTGTTTTTATACCATAAAAAAAGTCAAAAGTGCAGTTTAAAAAAAAGTGGAAGTTGTTATTCTTGATAAGAGCTAGAAAAATGTCATGTCCCAGTTAAGAAGCAATCTCAAGGCTCATCCAATTTCTAAGGAATTTTAACTGGCATCTAACCTTGGTTACCATATGCTGTAAGCAAAACCAACAGAATGGGAGCTATGTAACAATCTAGCGAAGAGAAACATTGCAAATAAATGTAATTATAGGCCTCTCCCAAAGTGAATGAAATGATTCTTTACTGGAATGAATGGGCTGTCACTGAATGTGACTATACTTGGTAAACTTCAAAGGCTTGCTAGAAATTTTTATCTTTTTCAAATTTTTAGTCATAGCTGACAATGGTACATATATCCCAGGATTATGAAATTTTCTAGTATAACTGAGAAAAATATAATTGAAAGGTAATAAATCATATCATCTATTATTTCTCACAGAAAATAAGGAATAAGGGCCCAGTAATTAAAAGGCAGAAGTACAGAGATTAGCCAAGAAGAAACAGATGGGTGAAATACAACTGGGTCTTAATTGGCACAGTAACTAGCTGTATTTTGACACACTCAAGAACAAATGCCTATACTGAAGTATGTGGTACATTAACCACTTGTACTTATGTAAGAAAATGAAATGGTAAAACGATAGGCTTATAAAACAAATTAAATTTAGAGAAAGGAAAAATAAAAGGAATGTAAAGAAAAATCAAGTTTATTGTGGCATCAAAATATTGACAGAGCTGTTATCAGTCAAGAGCAGTCTTCTTGTTGCTAAAACGAAGAGGCAGCCTGAGCCTGGCTCCATCCAACCACCTCTTCTAATGCTCTTTAACTGGCAGTGCTTCCTATAAATGACACCAAGCAATAGAGATGATTATTGTTTCCACTGAATAGAGTAAGTTCCTTGATTGGTTTAACATATATAGACTGCCTGAGAGAATAAAAACATCACCATACAATAGGTTAACGGTAAATCAAGGTCTTCGTAGTTGTGATGGGAGAAAAGGGTTGGCTGCTGGAAACAGTATGGTGCCCTGGAGGCTGCGTACGTACACACCCTAAGAATTCACATCACCATTAGCAGAAGATTAGAAGTCAATGGATATGGATGCTTGTGCAGAATCTTCTCGCCCCCTGACATAAATTTCACAGGGAATCTCCTCCATTACTCGGTCTTCCAGGGCCTGCTCAGGGCACTCATGTCCCTGTTTGAAAGTGTAACTACTTTTCTTGAAGGTGCTATTAAATGTTTTCATTGGCTGTGGTTGTGCAAAGTCATTTCGGAAAGGAAGTTCCATGGAACTGAGGTTGGTCCTGCTTTGTTTGACGCTGGAGGCCTGCGACCCACAGTGGTGGTCGTGGATGCAGCGGGAGGCGGTGGAGGAGCGCCGCATCTTCTGGTAGTTGTCCAATTCTTCCGACAAGTCTGCCAGGTCTGCAGAAATCTCTTTGTCCCTTAGTGAAAACAGTTCATAATGAGGAGGATCAAACACTTCTTGGAACCCGGTTTTATTAAAAGCGGTTTTGCAAGCCATGACCTTTTTTCGAGGCTGTTTCACTTGTACTAAAATAGAAATAATGAGAAGGACCAAGACAATCCCTGAAGTAATGCCAATAATTGTTCCATGAGTCTTAGTGATTTGTTCAAATACTCCTGCTTTTTTCTTTTCTGCAGAAAGAAAATGAGAAACGTTAAGTTTTCAAAATACATTAATATGAATCCTGGTACAAATTAGTAAGGTATTTTTAGGTAAAACAGAATACTTGGGCCAAATATACTACAGACAATGCAATTTACAATTAGGTTTTTAAACAAATAAAACAACCCTATTATAATTTCTGGTTAAAGTTACCAATCGCAGTACTGATAGATTACAGAAGATAAAGTTCTTGGTCCGTTTCTTCAGAAGACACATAAATGCATACATTCTGCAAATCAAATCAAATATACAAATATAGACTATGCCAAATAAATACTCTTGTTCTATCAAGTTTAGCTTTCTGCTTTATGGTAGGTTTGACCAACTGCTGTGTTCAGGTATACCCGCATCTACTGATGACCCCAGGGAGAGCAAACTAACATCATCAGACTAACCCATCCAGTATATTATCATGACCTACTGTTTTTGAATGATTAACTGAAAACACTTCATGTCGAGTATTTACGACAGCCATATCAGATTAGATCACCTTTCCACAGTAAGATATTTATTGAACTCTTACAGCAGGGGTCCTCAACCCCTGGGCCACAGACAGGAACTGGGTATCACTGCAGGAGGTGAGCTGCGAGTGAGCGAGTGAAGCTGCATCTGTATCTGCTGCTGCTCCCCATCACTCGCATTACCCGCAGCACTGCCTCCTGTCAGATCAGCAGTGGCATTAGATTCTCACAGCAGCAGGAGCCCTATTATGGATAACAATAATGGATTATTATTAGTGTGCTTACTTCTGTTAGGAAATAAACTCCTGGCTTGGAGGCAGAAGTCCAATAGAGTAGTATTAAGTATTTCAGTGTAAAGAAACAAACAAAACATATGAAAGTCAAGAAGTGAGGCAGCTTATTATTTTCCCATTCAGTATGACAGAAGCCCAAGTGCATGTGAGGGATATAGGCTGTGAGCTCCTTAGGAGAATCTAATGCCTGATGATCTGTCACTGTCTCTCATCACCCCCAGATGGGACTGTCTAGTTGAAGGAAAACAAGCTCAGGGCTCCCACTGATTCTGCATTATGGTGAGTTGTATGATTATTTTATTATATATTACAATGTAATAATAATAAAGTGCCCAATAAATGTAACGCGCTTAAATCATCCTGAAACCAACCCCCCTGCCCCACCCCTGTTCTGTGAAAAAATTGTCTTCCACGAAACCAGTCCTTGGTACCAAAAAGGTTGGGGACTGCTGTCTTAGAGGATAAAAGGAAGATTACCTTTAGTTCTTACACAGTGATCTGACAACCAGCTTGCAGACATTCAACCATTACCACAAGCTGCATTTATCTTTCAGTGAGTACACACTGGGAATACAGCATAGGAAATGTTACGAAATAAAAAAAGCAGTTCATAGAATGTTTCTGCTTTTATGTTTTAAGACAGAATCTGCAAGTTGACTTTTATTAAATAGTGTTTCCACATACTTCAGGCTAACCTCTAAATTATTTTGACAATTAAATAAGGTATGTTTACAATACAAATGACAAACTTCAACAACAGTAACAAAATAAGGGCAAGGCATACCACGATATACTTTTTTTTTTTTTGGATGAGACGGAGTTTTCACTTTTGTTGCCCAAGCTGGAGTGCAATGGCGCAATCTCGGCTCACTGCAACCTCTGCCTGCCGAGTTCAAGCAATTCTCCTGCCTCAGCCTCCCGAGTAGCTGGGATTACAGGCGCGTGCCACCACGCCTAGCTGATTTTTTTGTGTTTTTAGTAGAAATGGGGTTTCACCATGTTAGCCAGGTTGGTCTTGAACTCCTGACCTCAGGTGATCCGCCTGCCTCAGCCTCCCAAAGTGCTGGGATTACAGGCGTAAGCCACCGCGCCTGGCCACAATACACTTTAGAACAACTTAACAGTTTGTAGACAAAAAATGCTTTTGTTTAGAGTATGCTTTTCACCACATCCCAGGTCTATGATCCATTTAAAAGAACATTTACATGTTTCCATTTTTGTCAAAGCAGCTATGCTAGGCTGGGCGCGGTGGCTCATGCCTGTAATCCCAGCACTTTGGGAGGCCGAGGTGGGCAGATCATGAGGTCAGGAGATCGAGACCATCCTGGCTAACACAGTGAAACCCTGTCTCTACTAAAAATACCAAAAAATTAGCCGGGCGTGGTGGCAGGCACCTGTAGTCCCAGCTACTTGGGAAGCTAAGGCAGGAGAATGGTGTGAACCCGGGAGGCGGAGCTTGCAGTGAGCCGAGATTGTGCCACTGCACTCCAGCCTGGGCGACAGAGCAGGACTCCGTCTCAAACAAACAAACAAAAAGCAGCTATGCTAAGCACTGTTGTAGAAAATAACATTTTAAGTTCTTAATGAAGGGCAATAGCCACTCTTTTCTCAAAAATGTTGGCCTTTACATCAAACTCACCTTTACAATGATTTTCATCCCAAGGGTATGCACAATTTTGGACACCATTACAGACTAAAGAATTATTGATGCACATGTTGCTATGGCAAAAGAAAGTGCTGCTTGTGCAGGGAGCTGCAGGAAGAGAAAACAGTGTTGCAAAGAGCAGGCAGACCACCTGATTTTATTTCATACATAACAAATCTGACTTTATAAGAGTACTTTCTTACCGCAAAGGCCTTTCCTTGAATAAACTCTGTACTATTCAAACAATAAGACAAACGTCAATATTCTCTGATGCTGGCTCATTCAAACTTTTTCTTATGCTAGGCCCCAAAAGGTCACTTTTAATGTAATGATAATGAATGTATTTTCAATGGTTCTTATGGAACCAGTATACAGTCTGGTAGATTTTTTTTTCCAAAACTTTGAAAGACAATGTTGGCAAGGATGTGGAGACACTGGAACCCTTCTGTACTGAGGGTGAGAATGTAAGATGGTGCAGTCATTGTGGAAAATTATCTGGAGGCTCCTCAAAAAGTTAAAGATAGAATTACCGTATGATCCAGCAATTTTACTTTTAGCTACCTACTCCAAAGAACTGAAACCAGAAACTCAGTTACTTGCATACCAATGTTCACAGCAGCATTATGCACAACAGCCAGAAAGTGGGAACAAACAAAATGCCCATTGATGGGTGGATGGATAAACAATGTAGCATCCACAAGACAATGGAATGTGATTTGGTCATAAAAAGAAATGAAATTATGATACATACAACATGGACAAAGCCACATATTTCACTTAGCATAATTATTTATAATTAAATTTTTTTTTTTTTTTGAGATGGAGTCTCACTCTGTTGCCAGGCTGGAGTGCAGTGGCATGATCTTGGCTCACTGCAACCTCCACCTCCTGGGTTCAAGTGATTCTCCTGTGTCAGCCTCCAGAGTAGCTGGGACTACAGGCACGAGCCATGCCTGGCTAATTTTTGTATTTTTAGCAGAGACGGGTTTTCACTATGTTGGCCAGGCTGGTCTTGAACTCCTGACCTCGTGATCCACCTGCTTTGGCCTCCCAAAGCGCTGGGATTACAGGTGTGAGCCACCGTGCCCAGCCCTATAATTACATATTAATTATTGTATGAGAAATATTGTATGATTCCACTTATTGAGGTGCCTAGAAGAGGCAAACTCATAGAAACAGAAAGTAGAATAGAGATTACCAGGGTCCAAAAAGAGGAAGGAATGGGGAGGTGATGTTTAATGGGTACAGAGTTTCAGTTTGGGAAGACAAAAACTTTCTGAATATGGATAGTGGTAATGGTTGCACAATAATGTGAATGTACTTAATGCTACTGAACTGTATACTTAAAATGGCTAAAATAATAAATTTTGTTATGTATATTTTACCCATAATAAAAAAAATCCACTCTTCTGGATTCAAAAAAATTGTTTTAAGGACACTAAAGGTATATGGAATATATACCATGTAATTTCCTACTTGTATAAATTGTTCTTTCAGCCTGGAATGGCTCCTTCTTTCTCTTTGTGGCGGCCACCTACTCATCTTTCAGTATCATCTCAAATGTTACCATCTGTGAAAATCCCCTTGCTTCTCTGGGGTAGCCAGTCGCTCCTGTGTGTTCCTATCACACTCCACATACTCCTCTATTTGGCACCTATCCTTGTGTATGTAAACCTTTGTTAGAATGGATTATTATTAGTCAGTGTGCTTACTTCTGTTAGGAAATAAACTCCTGGCTTGGAGGCAGAAGTCCAATAGAGTAGTATTAAGTATTTCAGTGTAAAGAAACAAACAAAACATATGAAAGTCAAGAAGTGAGGCAGCTTATTATTTTCCCATTCAGTACGACAGAAGCCCAAAAACCTTAGCAATTTTTTTTTCTTTTTTTTTGGAGATGGAGTCTCGCTCTGTTGCCCAGGCTGGAGTGCAGTGGCATGATCGCAGCTCACTGCAACCTTTGCCTCCCAGGTTCAAGCAATTCTCCTGCCTCAGCCTCCCCGAGTAGCTGGGACTACAGGCACGTGTCACCATGCCCAGCTAATTTGTGTATTTTTAGTGGAGGTGGGGTTTAACCATGTTGGCCAGGCTGGTCTTGAACTCCTGACCTTAAGTGATCTGCCTGCCTCAGCCTCCCAAAGTGTTGGGATTACAGGCGTGAGCCACTGTGCCTGGTCCAAAAACCTTAACAATTTTGACTTCTAAAATTATAATTGGACAAAATGTATTTCCTGCCTAAAAGATTCTGTACTTTTGATTTTCAGAAAATATTTGCTGCACCAAGGAGGGAGAATCGAATATTGCTCTATGTTATACTGACATATCTCAAATATTTTTTATACTGTTTTCAGAAGGTTTTTCAAGATAGAGTATCTAAAATTTTACTTGACTAATGAGATTTTTTTCTAAATATTATCTTTCTTTTAATAAATATATAATAAACATAATTTTAAAAACAGCCACGAGCATTATTTTTCTCCCCTCCAAAGAGAAGACTCTTCAGTGTGCAGTCATAGGAAGTTTGGAATATCTGACCACATTCTCCAATTGCAGTACATTATCAGTAATAAAACTGACATGTTTTCATTCATCTGCCTTACCCACTTTGTCTATTTCTCAATGGGCTGTGAACATGGGCTGTAAAAACAGGCATTTATTAGGTACCTAGATAACTCCAAAACATAATCTGACAAATGTAGGTCCACGGTGAATATCCAAAATTGCTTTGCTATTAAGAGTGTGACCATAATCTCTCTTTAAGCAGAATGCCCTAAACGGTAGTATTCACCCAAGTTTCAGTACAACAGGTTAAAAATCTATAGTCATTATGAACTAGGGTTCATTTATCCCTTCCCCCTCCTCACTGTAAGCCAACCTGCAGTTGAGTTTAGACTTCTTTCTCTATATACAGTTCAACAGTCTTCACACTAAACTGTTAAGCTTGTTCACCTGCGGAGTACTCAGCGGCTGCAGTTCAAGTATGAGAACCCCTTGGTGGCTGACATGACTGAAGAGTCCACAATAGCTACGAACTGTGAAGGAACTTGGGAAATAGCACCATGCAGCAGAAAGCAGAAAAAAACAATGGGCTAGTAATCAATAAAAATGGTTTCTATTATCAGTTAATCCACATTTTAAGGTATTTAACCTCCTTGGGCCTCGGCTTCCTCTTTTAAAATGAAGGGGATGGAATACAGTGTATCTCAGACTTCTGGTTCCAAAATTTGATGAGACTATGCAATCAGTGGTCTCAATCATGATACTTCTGTTTTAGACTTAAGTTCAAATGATGTATATATCTAATAAGTAATTTATCCAGAGACTGCTAACCTGTCAAAATGGTATCACTAAAACCACTGAAATAATTACTTCATGGTTCTTAGATAACATTGATGGTTCCAAGGCTCATCGGAAAGACAACAGGTATCAGTTACACAAACATGCCATCATATTGAGGGCTGGGGAGTGTATGGTGGTGTTTTATTCACTTTACAAAATTAGCTACAAAATTAGCTAGTGCACCTACTTGGGTTTGTCATAGATATCATAAAACTGTATCATACAAATGGGGGCACCGAAAAATACTAAAAAACGGCCAAGAGAAACATATAGCATTTTTGATTTCCTCATTTCTACAAACTGGAGTTTCTTTTTTTATTTATATATCACACTGTAATTCTATTACATACAATATAATTGTATATTATGTTCTAATTCTACTACCTATTTTATCTAGTTCACAAAAACGGGATGCAGGAAAGATAAGCCATTTTCAAGACAGGCTGAATGAGGTAATAAACAGCACTGTGGGTCCTTGACATTCGGATTTCATGAATAAAACTACCATTGGTTTTTAAGGTTTATCTACAGAACATCATGTGACCCCCCCCTTTGATGGCTCTTTATAACTTCAAAGGTGGCCTTAAAGACAGGTTTACCACTCCGTGTTCATCACTGATTGAGCAGTGAGAGGAAAATGTCTTCAGTTTTTATTATAAATTCTTTACAACTGCTCTCCATATTATTTAAAGTGATTAGAAAACAGCACTGATATTGTCAGCTTTTGTTTCATAGAAATGTGAGTTATATTAATAATTACACCTACATTAACCTTTATGGCTTTTCACTGGTTAAGCATGGCTGGTGGAAATGACAATCAAGCATCAGTTATTGATATGGGATTTTAATGGTATGCTTCAATTCAAATAATAAAATGATTGAACTATAAGTCTTTATATAAAAAAAGACAGCAAAAATAGTGCCAGTTATGAACTCCACTTATAGCCTGAGAACTCTCTACCTATTGCTGTTCCTCACTGCTGGGTCATGGTGTGGAAAGGAAGGGGAGGGCTGGAATTTTGTGTCCCCCCCAATTTCAATGAGATGTGGCAATGATGCTGAAGGATGGCTGTCCTTCAGCAAAGCCTGCAGGGGGCCTGCAGGCAGTATGTCACCGAAAATCACATTACGGGTTTATTCTAACAAAAATATCTGCTGCTGCTTTCACAGTTCTAGTCCTAGAAATTATTTTCCTAAAACTGTTTCTTTCTTAAAGAGTGAGGTATATATTAGTATTCAGTGCCTGGGAAGAAGCCAAATATATCCTGATTGCTATTCTGTATCATTCATTTTAGCAAAATTATTCTATTTCAGTTATATCTGCAATCTACAATGGGTAGGCATGAACTGAATCTCTCATGCAGAATTAGCCCATTTATATAAACCTCTTCTGAAATACTAATTGTTTCCATGGGTGAAATTGTAACAATTACAAATCACAGCTTAGAGGAGAACAAAAGAAATAGTTCAATAATTTGAATTAATGATAAGCATGAAAAAATTTACTAATTGGAGCTCTGAAATTTGCTTTCCAAATGGAGGTTTTTCAAGCTGGCTCTTGTTTTTAAAAAACTCTGTTAAATCCCTTATTTTAATCACACACACTTTTTCTGAAGGGGCGGCTTTCTTCTTTTTCTTGGGTAATAAAGCTAAATTTGGGATATGAAGTTAAATCTATTGCAGCCTTACAATTTAAACTTATTCTTACATTTGGTGATTAGTTAATATAAAGATATCACTCGAGGGAGGCTTTTCACCTGTTTAATTATCAGATTTGTATTAACAAAAAAAATTAGTGTATATAGAGAAAATACCTTAACTAAAACACATTAGAGAAGAATTTCTCATCATGGATATAGACCAGTGCTGCCCAAAATAAATATGTGAGTAAAAAATGTGAGCAAGTAGCCACATTAAAAAGTAAAAAAGAAATTGGTGGAATTAATTTGACTTATATAGTTTATTTAACCCAACATATCAGTGCAGAAAGAGTTAACATTATAGCAGGCCTGAGGGTGCTACCTTTGAAAGGTTCTGATTGCAAGACTGGCCCTTGGGTGCCATCCATTCCCTAACAGATAAGGGTACTTCATTGTACCTAGACTTTGCATAAAAGATGTCATTTATGCCAAATACTTGCTTTCCTGCTAAGAGTCTGAAATTTTGATATATGCAAAGCAGAGGGTGCCTATGTGACCAGACTCTGATAAGAACCTTGGGTGCTGAGTCTCTAATGGGCTTCTCTGGGCAGAAACACTGCGTATGTGCTACTGCATTTTTATTTTTTTTTTGGAGACAGAGTCTCACTCTGTTGCCCAGGCTGGAATGCAGTGGCATGATTCACAGCTCACTGCAGCCTCAACCTCCTGGGCTCAAGTGATCCTCCTGTCTCAGCCTCCAGAGTAGCTGGAACCACAGGTTTGCACCACCATGCCCAACTCATTTAAAACTGTTTTGGTTTTTTTTTTTTTTTTTGTAGAGATGTTGTCCCATTATGTTGCCCAGGCTGGTCTCAGGCAATCTTCCCACCTTGGCCTCCCAAAGAGCTGGGATTACAGGCGTGAGCCACTGTGTCCAGTCCATGCCCATTTGCTGTTGTTGGAGAAACAGGCATACTCAGAATGCCCCTCATGGAAAGGACGCGATATGTGGACCTGCGCAAGGATCGGTCCAGACCCTGGCAGCCTCTCCCTGGCGGCTCCCTTTTGTTGTCCTCCATCCCAGCTGTGAGTGCAGTACAAATAAATGCTGGGTTCTAGAGTCCTTCCAGCAAGGCACCTAACATGGGGATGCTGTTGGAAGCCCCGAAACAATTTCCAAAACATTCTCATTTTAACATATAGCATAAAATACTGTTAGTGGGATACTTTACATTCTTTATTTCATACCAAGCCTCTGACATCTGGGAGGCGTTTTTATAATGATAGCACACGTCGGTTTAGACGGGCCATGTTATAAGTGCTCAGAGGCTGCAGGTGGCTGGCGGACACTGGACTGGACAGCACAGGTGCACAGAAACCGAGGGAAAAATAAGAAGGCTAAAAGCCTTTCTTGTTAGCTACGTCTTTGTATAAAGCACTGATTTGTAGTTATTTGACACAGTGAAACAGCCTCTGCATAGTTTTTTAAGTTTGAAAAGTTCTCAAATTTAAAAGGTTTTAGAAACATGCTCAGGTTCTCTCCCTGGTGAAGGAAGCAGCAGCAGCAAAGTTCACTCTCAGCAAATGCCACCGTGAGCTCCCGACATTTCCAGCTGCCCAAGGAGCTCACCATGTCCAAAACATGACACTTTCCCCATCTTGTCTGTTCAGTTTTCATCTTTCAGTCAGACTCAAAATTGTAGGTGACTGACTCACTCTTTTAGCCTTCATTGAATGGGTCATTGAATCCTGTGGATTCCGTTTCCCCACTCTTCTTTGTCCTCACTGCCCCTGCTTAGGTTCAGACCTCCATGGCTTCCCGCTGTGACTATGGAAGTAAACTCTTAACTCATATCCATGCCCCAGCTAAGGCACAGCGCTAAAGATGTTACTTTATAGTGTCAACTCCCTGATGCCTGTAAGATGAGTCTACATTTTCCCTTTGATTTTTTTCAAAGGGCTTCATCCAGTTTTAATCTACCTTTCCTGCCTCCTTTCTCTGCCACTCCCTCTACCACACTTCTTGTGGCCCACCTTAGCTCTGCTTCAATGCTTTGCTCATTATTGCTTCTGTCTAAAATAACAGCCTCAATGAACATTTCTACCTTCAAAATATATCTACTCTCAAGGACACACCCAAAGGACCTGCACTCAAAGACCACCTCCTCCGTAATTGATGCTGCCTGTTTGAAGGAACTTGGATATTTAACAGGAGAACCCTTTATGTCTCAAAGGGTCTTCGTCACGGTCAATCCTACACTGTCACTATTTGCCTAGGTCACCTTACCTAACTGACTGGAAAACCCTTTAGGGCAGGTACTGTTCCATGCATGTTTGTATCTTCCTAGCATCAAACACAGTACCTCACATGACAAATGCCAAAGAAATGCATGGAAAGCAGGTAGGAAGGCTGGTTGACCAAATTGGCTTCATAACCCAATTGACCATTTGGCATCTCATGAAGACCTTTAAAATTCTAGATAGAAGAGTTCAGCTATAAGAAAGCCTGTATATGGTCATAAACAGTCATGATTTTAATACAGAATCCATGGAATAATACAATGCCTTGAAATTATAAGATTGAGAAAAACTATTAATTTTCAAATTTGTCAAAAATATCTGATATCTTACTGTCACACTTTTGTATTTACAAACTCTGTATTTGCACAAATCATACAGCTTACCATTACACCATACTCATCAGTCAGGATATAAAGGCTAAAATATTTGTTTCTTTTCATGACAATAGATAAGATATACCACTTATAATTTTAAAATATATGTGATGTGAACATACAAACTCAACTATATCTGGGCAGTTCAGATGTGTCTTAAAATGGTATTATTCTTCATACAGGAGATGAATCTGAGGAAACAGTTGGAAGAGGCTAACCAGCCCTGCCCAAATGTAGATTAAAGTTAAGGGCCATTCAAATTCAAGTAAAAAAATGATGGTATTTTGGAAAGCAGATTTTGCCAAAGCTACTGGTAATATGATCTGCACTTATGATAAGCAAAATAAAAAAAAATTAGGAAGTACTGATATATCACTTGGATTTTTTTTTTTTTTTTTTAATCCTTAGCTAATTGGCTGAGGAGTTTAAGGAGATAGAAAAGCAAAGAAATATAACAGAAACAGTTTTTCCTGGTGGGAATGTATTCACTTGATTTTTCAGGAACCTAAAGGAAGGTTTGTTTTATTTATTTACTTATTTATTTATTTATTTATTTATTTAGAGACGGAGTCTTACTCTGTCACCCAGGCTGGAGTGCAGTGGTGCAATGTTGGCTCACTGCAAGCTCCGCCTCCCGGGTTCACGCCATTCTCCTGCCCCAGCCTATCGAGTAGCTGGGACTACAGGCGCCCGCCACCATGCCCGGCTAATTTTTTGTATCTTTAGTAGAGACAGGGTTTCACCGTGTTAGCCAGGATGGTCTCAATCTTGTTGACCTCATGATCTGCCCGCCTTGGCCTCCCAAAGTGCTGGGATTACAGGCATGAGCCACCGCGCCTGGCCATTTATTTTTTGAGACGGGGTCTTGCTCTGTCACCCAGGCTGGAGTGCAGTGGTGCAATCTTAGCTCACTCCAACCTCTGCCTCCTGGGTTCAAGTGATCCTCCCATCTCAGTCTCCTGAGTGGTGCATACCACCACGCCCAGCTAATTTTTGTATTGTTAGTAGAGATGGGGTTTCACCATGTTGGCTAGGCAGGCTGGTCTCAAACTCCTGAGCTCAAGCGATCCACCCGCCTCGGCCTCACAAAAGCTGGAATTACATGTATGAGCCGCTGTGCCTGGCCTAGGAACCCAAAGAAGAATCCTAAAATCTGTCTTCAAAATTTCTCCACTTTTAAGTTGTGGTGGTTGTCTGTGTATGAGCTACAACCTTTAATAAGAAAAACTTCCCACATGCTTACCAAATAGTGAAGATAACTTTTAAAAACTTAAGCAGTTCATAAAAACACAATCTCCATAGTAACCATAAGAACATATCTATAAAATATACACAAAAGGAAATGCGAAGGGAATCAAAACTTGTCACTACAAAAAAAAATCAATTAAAGAAAAGAAGGCAGTAATGGAGGAAATGAGAGACAACAAAGCTATAGACACACAGAAAACAAGTAGCAAAGTGACAGAACCTTCCTCATCAGCAATTAAACATAAATAAACTCTCCAATCAAAAGAAGAGATTGCAGAATTGATGGGAAAAAACAAGATCCAATTATATGCTGCCTGTAGGACACTCACTTTAAAGATATAAAAAAGTTGAAAGTAAAAGGATGGACAAAGATATTCCATGCAAATAGTTGCTAAAAGACAGCTAGGGGGTGGCAAGACTAGTCTTGGATAAAAAAGGACACGGTATATTGATAAAAGGGTCAATTCACCCAGAAGATATAACGATTATAAACATATATGGACTAAAAACAAAGGAGCCCTAAAATATATGAAACAAACATTGATAGAACTGATGGGAGAAGTAGACACTTGTACAATAGTAATTGGAGACTTCAACATTGCACTTTCAATAAAGGATAGAATGACCAGGCAGAACATCAATAAGAAAATAAAGGACCTGAACACCACTATAGACCAAATGGACCTAACATATACAGAAAATTCCACCCAATAACAGAAAAATGTAATTTTTCTCAATTACACATCAGACAGTCTCTAGAATAGACTACGTATGTTCAGCCACAAAACAAGTCTTAATATATTTTAAATGACTGAAATATAAAATTTATTTTCAAATCAAAATGGAATGAAACTAGATATCAACAACTGAAGGAAAATGAAAAAATTCACAAGTCTGTGTAAATTAAACTACACACTCTTACACAACTTTTAAAGCTGTGATTTCAAAAAAGAAATCCACGGGAAATTATAAGATACCTTGAGACAAATGAAACCCAAAACATGCCAAAACTTATGCAGAGTACTAAAAGCAGTAGTAAAAGGGAAATTTACACCTGTAAATGCCTACATTAAAAAAGAAGAAACAACTTAGATCAATAGTTTAACTTTATACCTTAAGGAACTAGAGAAAGAAGACAAACTAAATCCAAAGCTAGCAGAAGTAACAAAATAATAAAGATTTGAGTGACAATAAATAAAATAGAAAACAGAAAAAGAGCAAAAACCCAAAACTTGATTCTTTGGACAGATCAACAAGACTGACAAACCTGTGGCTAGAATTATTAAGAACAAAAAGACTCAAATTATTAAAATCAGAAATGCAACTGGAGACATTACTACAGATCTGACGTATATAAAAAGAATCATAAGTGAATACTAAGAACAACTGTATGCCAACAAACTGACAACCTAGAGGAAATGGATGAATTCCTAGAAACACACAATCAAAACTGCATAATGAAGCCAAAGAAAATCTGAATAGGCCTAAAACTAGCAAGGAGATTAAAAAAAGAATCCAGAACTTCTCAACAAAGAAAGGCTCTGGATCACATGGCTTCACTGGTGAATTCTACTAAACATGTAAAGAATTAACACCAATCAGTTGATTCCTGGGCAAGATGGCCGAATAGGAACAGTTCCAGTCTGCAGCTCCCCATGAGATCAAGGCAGAAGGCAGGTGATTTCTGCATTTCTAACTGAGGTACCCAGCTCATTTCACTGGGACTGGTTAGACAGTGGGTACAGCCCACGGAGGACGAGTAGGAGCAGGGTGGAGGGTCACCTCACTTGGGAAGCTCAAGGGGTCGGGGAACTCCCTCCCCTAGCCAAGGGAAGCCATGAGGGAACGGCGCATTCTGGCCCAGATACTACACTTTTCCCATGGTCTTCACAACCCGCAGACCAGGAGATTCCCTCGGGTGCCTACACCACCAGGGACCTGGGTTTCAAGCATAAAACTGGCGGCCATTTGGGCAGACACCGAGCTACCTGCAGAAGTTTTTTTTCATACCCTAGTGGTGCCTGGAACGCCAGCGAGACAGAACTGTTCATTCCCCTGGAAAGGGGGCTGAAACCAGGGAGCCAAGTGGTGTAGTTCAGCAGATCCCACCCCCACGGGGCCCTTCAGACGAAGATGCACTGGCTAGAAATTCTCACTGCCAGCACAGCAGTCTGAAGTTGACCTGGGACGCTTGAGCTTGGTAGGGGGAGGGGCATCTGCCATGACTGAGGCTTGAGTAGGTGGTTTTCCCCTCACAGTGTAAACAAAGCCACAGGGAAGTCTGAACTGGGCAGAGCCCACCGCAGCTCAGCAAAGCTGCTGTAGCCAGACTGCCTCTCTAGATTCCTCCTCTCTGGGCAGGGCATCTCTGAAAGAAAGGCAGCAGTCCCAGTCAGGGGCTTATAGATAAAACTCCCATCTCCGTGGGACAGAGCACCTGGGGGAAGGGGCCGCTGTGGGTGCAGCTTCAGCAGACTTAAACGTTCCTGCCTGCCGGCTCTGAAGAGAGCAGCAGACCTCCCAGCACAGCACTCGAGCTCTCCTAAGGGACATACTGCCTCCTCAAGTGGGTCCCTGATCCCCATGCCTCCTGACTGGGAGATACCTCACAGAAGGGGTCGACAGACACCTCACACAGGAGAGCTCCAGCTGGCATCTGGTGGGTGCCCTTCTGGGACGAAGCTTCCAGAGAAAGGAAAAGGTAGCAATCTTTGCTATTCTGTAGCCTCCACTAGTGATACACAGGCAAACAGGGTCTGGAGTGGACCTCCAGCAAACTCCAGCAGATCTGCCGCAGAGGGGCCTGACTGTTAGAAGGAAAACTAACAAACAGAAAGGAATAGCATCAACATCAATAAAATGGGCGTCCACACATAAACCACATCCAAAGGTCACCAACATCAAAGACCAAAGGTAGATAAATCCATGAAGATAAGGAAAAAACACTGCAAAAAGCCTGAAAATTCCAAAAACCAGAACTCCTCTTCTCCTCCAAAGGATCACAACCCCTTGCCAGCAAGGGAACAAAACTGGATGGAGAATGAATTTGATGAATTGACAGAAGTAGGCTTCAGAATGTGGGTAATAACAAACTTCTCCGAGCTAAAGGAGCATGTTCTAACCCAATGCAAGGAAGCTAAGAACCTTGAAAAAAGGTTAGAGGAATTGCTAACTAGAACAACCAGTTTAGAGAAGAACATAAATGACCTGATGGAGCTGAAAAACACAGCATGAGAACTTCGTGAAGCATATGTAAGTATCAACAGCTGAATGGATCAAGTGGAAGAAAGGATATCAGAGATTGAAGATCAGTTTAATGAAATAAAGCGGGAAGACAAAATTAGAGAAAAAAGAATTAAAAGGAACGAACAAAGTCTCTAAGAAATATGGGACTACGTGAAAAGACCAAACCTACGTTTGACTGGTGTACCTGAAAGTGACAGGGAGAATGGAACCAAGGTGGAAAACACTCTTCAGGATATTATCCAAGAGAACTTCCCCAACCTAGCAAGACAGGCCAACATTCAAATTCAGGAAATACAGAGACCACCACAAAGATACTCCTTGAGAAGAGCAACCCCAAGACACATAATCGTCAGATTCACCAAGGTTGAAATGAAGGAAAAAATGTTAAGGGCAGCCAGAGAGAAAGGTCGGGTTACCCACAAAGGGAAGCCCATCAGACTAACAGCGATCTCTCTGCAGAAACCCTACAAGCCACAAGAGAGTGGGGGCCAATATGCAACATTCTTTTTTTTTGTGTATGTGACGGAGTCTCGCTCTGTCACAATCTAGGCTCACTGCAACCTCTGCCTCCTGGGTTCAATGGGTTCAAGCAATTCTCTCAGCCTCACGAGTAGCTGGGATTACAGGCGCCCACCACCACACCTGGGTAATTTTTGTATTTTTAGTAGAGATGGGATTTCAACATCTTGGCCAGGCTGGTCTTGAACTCCTGACCTCGTGATCCACCTGCCTTGGCCTCCCAAAGTGCTGGGATTACAGGTGTGTGAGCCACTGCGCCCAGCCTCAACATTCTTAAAAGAATTTTCAACCCAGAATTTCATATCCAGCCAAACTAAGCTTCGTAAGTGAAGGAGAAATAAAATCCTTTACAGACAAGCAAATGCTAAGAGACTCTGTCACCACCAGGCCTGCCTTACAAGAGCTCCTGAAGGAAGCACTAAATATGGAAAGGAAAAACTGGTACCAGCCACTGCAAAAACATACCAAATTTTAAAGACCATTGACACTATGAAGAAACTGCAACAACTAATGGGCAAAATAACCAGCTACCATCATAATGACAGGATCAAATTCGCACATAACAATATTAACCTTAGATGTAAATGGGCTAAATGCCCCCAATTAAAAGACGCAGACTGGCAAATTGGATAGAGTCAAGACCCATCAGTGTGCTGTATTTAGGAGATCCATCTCATGTGCAAAGACATACATAGGCTCAAAATAAACAGATGGAGGAATATTTACCAAGCAAATGGCAAGAAAAAAAAAAGCAGAGGTTGCACTCTAGTCTCTGATAAAACAGACTTTAAACTAACAATGATCAAAAAAGACAAAGAAGGGCATTACATAATGGTAAAGGGATCAACGCAACAAGAGCTAACTATCCTAAATATATATATGCACCCAATACAGGAGCACCCAGATTCATAAAGCAAGTTCTTAGAGACCTACAAAGAGACTTAAGACTCCCACACAATAATAGTGAAAGACTTTAACAACTCATTGTCAATATTAGACAGATAACGAGACGGAAAATTAACAAGGATATTCAGGACTTGAACTCAGCTCTGTACCAAGCAGACCTAATAGACATCTATAGAACTCTTCAACCCAAATCAACAGAATGTACATTCTTCTCAGCACCACATAACACTTATTCTAAAATTGACCACATAATTGGAGGTAAAACACTCCTTAGCAAATGCAAAAGAACAGAAATCATAACAAACAGTCTCTCAGACAACAGTGCAATCAAATTAGAACTCAGGATTAAGAAACTCACTCAAAACCACACAACTACATGGAAACTGAACAACCTGCTCCTGAATGACTATGGGGTAAATAACAAAATTAAGGCAGAAATAAATAAGTTCTTTGAAACCAATGAGAACAGATACAACGTACCAGAATCTCTGGGACACAGCTAAAGCAGTGTTTAGAGGGAAATTTACAGCACTAAATGCCCACAGGAGAAGGTGGGAAAGATCTAAAATCGACACCCTAACATCACAATTAAAAGAACTAGAGAAGCAAGAGCAAACAAATTCAAAAGTTAGCAGAAGACAAAATAACTAAGATCAGAGCAGAACTGAAGGAGACAGAGACACAAAAAAAAACAAAAGCAATGAGTCCAGGAGCTGGTTTTTTGAAAAGATTAACAAAATAGATAGACCGCTAGTCAGACTAATAAAGAAGAAAAGAGAGAAGAATCAAATAGACACAATAAAAAATGATAAAGGAGATATAATCACTGATCCCACAGAAATAGAAATTACCATCAGAGAATACTATAAACACCTCTACGCAAATAAACTAGAAAATATAGAAGAAATGGATAAATTCCTGGACACATACACCCTCCCAAGACTAAACCAGGAAGAAGTTGAATCCCTGAGTAGACCGATAACAAGTTCTGAAATTGAGGCAGTAATTAATAGCCTACCAACCAAAAAAAGCCCAGGACCAGATGGATTCACACCCAAATTCTACCAGAGGTACAAAGTGGAGCTGGTACCATTCGTTCTGAAAGTATTCCAAACAACAGAAAAGAGGGACTTCTCCATAACTCACTTTATGTGGCCAGCATCATCCTGGTAACAAAACCTGGCAGAGACACAACAAAAAAGAAAATTTCAGGCCAATATCCCTGATGAACATCGATGTGAAGATCCTCAATAAAATACTGGCAAACTAAATCCAGCAGCACATCAAAAAGCATATTTACCACAATCAAGTCAGCTTCATCCCTCGGATGCAAGGCTGGCTCAACATAAGCAAATCACATAAACAGACCCAATGAGAAAAACCACATTATTATCTCAATAGACGCAGAAAAGGCCTTCTATAAAATTCAACACCCCTTCATGCTAAAAACTCTCAATAAACCAGGTATTGATGGAACGTATCTCCAAATAATTAGAGGGATTTATGACAAACCCACAGCCAATATCATACTGAATGGGCAAAAGCTGGAAGCATTCCCTTTGAAAACTGGCACAAGACAAGGATGCCCTCTCTTACCACTCCTATTCAACATAGTATTGGAGGTTCTGGCCAGGGCAATTAGGCAAGATAAAGAAATAAAGTGTATTCAAACAGGAAGACCGGAAGTTAAATTGTCTCTGTTTGCAGATGACATGATTGTATATTTAGAAAACCCCATCGTCTCAGCCCAAAATCTCCTTAAAGCTGATAAGCAACTTCAGCAAAGTCTCAGGATACAAAATCAATGTGCAAAAATCACAAGGATTCCTATACACCAATAATAGACAGAGAGCCAAATCATGAGTGAACTCCCATTCACAACTGCTACAAAGAGAATAAAATACCTAGGAATACTACTTACAAGGGATGTGAAGGACCACTTCAAGGAGAACTACAAACCACTGCTCAAGGAAATAAGAGAGGACACAAACAAATGTAAAAACATTCCATGCTCATGGATAGGAAGAATCAATATCGTGAAAATGGCCATACTGCCCAAAGTAATTTATAGATTCAATGCTATCCCCATCAAGCTACCATTTGACTTTCTTCACAGAATTAGAAAAAACTAGTTTAAATTTCGTAGGAACCAAAAAGGAGCCTGTATAGCCAAGACAATCCTAAGCAAAAAGAACAAAGCTGGAGGCATCATGCTTCCTTACTTTCAAACTATACTACAAGGCCACAGTAACCAAAACAGCAAGGTACTGGTATCAAAACAGATACATGGACCAATGGAACAGAACAGAGGCCTCAGAAACAACGTCACATATCTACAACCATCTGATCTTTGACAAATCTGACGAAAACAAGCAATGGGGAAAGGATTTCCTATTTAATAAATGGTATTGGGAAATCTGGCTAGCCATATGCAGAAAACTGAAACTGGACCCCTTCCAGAAACTGGACCTTATATAAAAAGTAACTCAAGATAGACTAAAGCCTTAAACATAAGACCTAAAACCATAAAAACCCTAGAAGAAAACCTAGGCAATACCATTCAGGAGATAGGCATGGGCAAAGACTTCATGACTAAAACACCAAAAGCAATGGCAACAAAAGCCAAAATTGACAAATGGATCTAACTAAACTAAAGAGCTTCTGCACAGCAAAAGAAACTATTATCACAGTGAACAGGCAACCTACAGAATCGGAGAAAATTTTTGCAATCTATCCATCTGACAAAGGGCTAATATCCAGAATCTATAAGGAACTTAAACAAATTTACAAGAAAAAAAAAAAAAAACAACCCCATCAAAAAGTGGGTGAAGGATATGAACATATGCTTCTCAAAAGAAGACATCTATGCAGCCAAGAAAGACATGAAAAAAAGCTCATCATCACGGTCATTAGAGAAATGCAAATCAAAACCACAATGAGCTACCATCTCACACCAGTTAGAATGGCTATCACTAAAAAGTCAGAAAACAACAGATGCTGGAGAGGATGTGGATAAACAGGAGCTCTTTTATACTGTTGGTGGGAGTGTAAATTAGTTCAACCATCGTAGAAGAGTATGGAGACTCCTCAAGGATCTAGAACCAGAAATACCATTTGACCCAGCAATCTCATTACTGGATATATATCCAAAGGATTACAAATCATGCTGCTATAAAGGCACATGCACACACATGTTTATTGTAGCACTATTCATAATAGCAAAGACTTGGAACCAACCCAAATGCTCATCAATGATAGACTGGATAAAGAAAATGTGGCACATATATACCATGGAATACTATGCAGCCATAAAAAAGGATGAGTTCATGTCCTTTGCACGGACATGGATGAAGCTGGAAATCATCATTCTCAGCAAACTAACATAGGAAAAGAAAACCAAACACTGCATGTTCTCACTCATAAGTGGGAGCTGAAATATAAGAACACGTGGGCACAGGGAGGGGAAGGAACGTCACACACCGGGGCCTGTTGGGGGATGAGGGCCTAGGGTAGTGATAATATTAGGAGAAATGTGGATGATGGGTTGATGGATGCAGCAAACCAGCATGGCAGGTGTATACCTATGTAACAAACCTGCATGTTCTGCACATGTATCCCAGAACTTCAAGTATTGTAATAATAAAAAAAAATTAACACTAATCCTCAAACTCTTTGAAAAAGTTGAAGAACAAACACTACTTACTCATTCTATGAGGCCAGAACTAGTTACTCATTCTATGAGGCCAGAATTACTCTGATACCAAAGCTAGAAAAAGATACACAAAAAAACCTAAAGACCAATATCCCTTATGAATATTAATATAAAAATCCTCAAGAAAATTATTACTTCAGAATTCAGCAACATATAAAATGATTATACACCAAGAACAAGTGGGAATTATTCCCAGAATGCATGAGTGGTTCAATATACAAAAGTCCACCAATTTAATACATCACATTTACAGTAAGGGAAAAAAACTACATGATGAACTCAATGAATTTTTAAAAAAGCATTTGACAAAATTCAACAGGCTTTCATAAGAACATTCAATTAACTATGAATAGAAAAAAAATTTCCTTCACATGACAAAGGCCATATATGAAAAACCCAAAGCTAACATCATAATCAGTAGTGAAGGACAGAGCTCCACTAAGATCAAGAATAAGACAGATACCCAATTTCACTTCTATTGAATATATACTGGAAGTTCTGGTTAGAGCAATTAGGCAAGAAAAGGAAATAAAAGGTATCCAAATTGGAAAGGAAGATAAAAGGTTTTCTCTGTTCACAGACAACACAATCTTATATGCAGAAAACCCTAAAGATCACACCCACCCCCACACCCACACCCCCGTTAGAGCTAATAAACTAAGTCAACAAAGTTGCAGGATGCAAAACCCGCATACACAAATCCGTTGCATTTCTAAACACTGCCAATTAACAATTAGAAAAGGAAATTAAGAAAATAATTCCAGTATAATAGCATTAAAAAGAATAAAATATTAGGAATAAATTTAACTAAGGGGGCAAAACATTTGTATGCTGAAAACTACAAAACATTGCTGAATGAATTACAGATGAAAAATCAATGGGAATATACATCCTGTGTTCATGAATGGGAAGACTTCATACAGTTAAGATGACAATATTACTCAAAGTGACCCACAGATTTAAAATGATCCCTATCAAAATCCCAACAGTGTTTCTGCAGAAATAGAAAAAGTCATCCTAAAGTTCATGAAATCTCAATGAACCATGAATAGCCAATCCAGTTTTGAAAAACAAGAAAAAAGTTGGAGGACTCATACTTCCTGATTTCAAAACTTACTACAAATCTACAGTTATCAAAACAGTTGCTACTGGCATAACAACAGACATATAGACCAATGGAATTAAGAGGCCAGAAATAAATCTTCACATAATTTCTTTTTTTTTTGGACAGAGTCTAGCTCTGTTGCCCAGGCTGGAGTGCAGTGGCACGATCTCGGCTCGCTGTGACCTCTGCCTCCCAGGTTCAAGTGACTGTCCTGCCTCAGCCTCCTGAGAAGCTAGGATTACAGGCGTGTGCCACCACGCCTGGCTAAATTTTGTACTTTTAGTAGAGATGGGGTTTTGTCATGTTGGCCAGGCTGGTCTCAAACTCCTGACCTCAGGTGTTCCACCCACCTTGGCCTCCCAAAGTGCTCGGATAACAGGCATGAGCCACTGTGCCTGGCCTTTTTTTTTTTCTTTTTTTTACTTTTTTAAAGAAAAATAGAGATGGGGTTTTGCTATGTTGACCAGGCTGGTCTTGAACTCCTGCCTAGGCTGGTCTCAAACTCCTGGACTCAAGCAATCCTCCTGCCTCAGCCTCCTGTATAGCTGGGACTACAGGTGTATGCCACTGTGCCCAGATCTAATTGATTTTTGACAGGGGTGCCAAGACCATTCAATAGGAAAGGACAGTGTTTTCAAAAAATGATCCTGGGAAAGCTGGATATCCACATGAAAAAGAATGAAGTTGGAGCCTTAACTTACACTATATACAAAAATTAACTCCAAATACATCAAAGACTTAAATGTATTACAAGAGCTAAAACTATAAAACTCTCAGAAGCAAACATATGAGAAAAGCTTCATGACATTGGTTTTGACAATGATTTCTTGGATATCACACCAAAAACAACAACAAAAAAAACCCACATTAATTTGGGCTTCATCAAAATTCAAAACTTTTGTACCCAAAAGGACACTATATCAAGGGAGTGAAAAGACAACAAACAGAGTGCAAAAAAGTCTGCTAATCACATACACAATAAGGGATTAATATCCAGAATACACAGAGAACGTCTACAACTTAAAAAAAAATTCAAAAGCGGGCAAAGGATGTGAAGAGACCTTTCTGCAAAGAAGATGTATGAATAGCCAAGAAGCCCATGGAAGAATGCTCAACATTACTAATCATTAGGCAAATCAAAACCACAATGAGATGTTACTTTACACATATTAGGATGGCTATTATCCAAAAATATGAAAAATAACAGGTATTGGTGAACATGTGGAGAAACTGGAACCCTCTGTGCACTGCTGGTCGGTGTGTAAAATGGTGCAGCCACTGTGGAAAAGTTTGCCGGTTCCTCAAAAACTTAAACACAGATTTCCCATATGATCCAGCAATTCTACACAGCAGCAGTACTCATCATAGCTCAAAGGTAGAAACAATCAAACATCCATCAACAGATGAATGAATGTATAAAGAAAATGTGGCATTTACTTATGGAATATTATTTAGCCTTAAAAAAGAATACAATTCTGATACATATGACCACATGGATGAACCATGGAAAGATTTCATGGATGAACCATGGAAAGATTTCATGGATGAACCTTGAAATCATTATGCTAAGTGAAATAAGCCAGACATAAAAGGACAAATATTATATGATTCTACTATGAGTTACCCAGAATATGGAAATTCACAGAGACAGAAAGAAGAATAGAGGTTACCAGGGTAGGGAGAGAGAAAAATGGGAAGGAACTGTTTCATGGGTATAGAGTTTCAGTTTGGGATGATAAAAATGCTCTAAAGACAGTGGTGATGGTTGCACAACAATGTGCATGTACTTAATGCCACTGATTTGTACATTTAAAAGTGACTGAGGGTAAATTTTATGCCATGTATATTTTGCCACAGTTGAAAAAAAAAGCTACAACCCTTCCGGAAGGGTTTTTGGCAATATCTAACGAAATTACACAACTTTTTAAACCAAACAATCCCACTTCTAGGAATTTATCCTGAAGATATGTCTCTAACAATACAAAATGACATACGCATAACATTATTCACTGTAGCTTCTTTATAACTGCAAATATTGGGAATAACCTATATGCCCACCATAAGTAGAAGATAAAATAAAGTTGGTGTATACAATGCTGTACTATGCAGCTATAAAATAAAAATGTGCTCTATGAATTGATATGGAATGGTTTCCAGGATATAATTTTTTTTTTTTTTTGAGACAGGGTCTCACTCTGTCACACAGGCTGGAGAGTGCAGTGGCCTGATCTCAGATCACTGCAACCTCCACCTCCCAGTTTCAAGCAATTTTCATGCCTCACCCTGCCCAGTAGATGGAATTATAGGCGCGTGCTACCATGCCCCACTAATTTTTGTATCTTTAGTAGAGATGGGGTTTTGCCACATTGCCCAGGCTGGTCTCAAACTCCTGACCTCAAGTGATCCGCCGACCTTGGCCTCCCAAAGTGCTGGGATTACAGGTGTGAGCCACTGCACCTGACCAGGATATACTTTTAAGTTAAAAACATAAAGTGTAAAAGAATAATGCTGTCCTTCACATAAGAAAAAATGGCACATAAGAAAATACAGATGTATCTGCTCATTTGTGCAAAAAGAAATCCAGATAGAGGTAAGAAATGGAAGGCAGAGAATGAAGGAGGCAAGGACACCTCCAAGTGTCCCTCTTGGGATGTGGGCTCCTAGGAACAACAATTATGTTTCCACAACTCCCACATAAAAACAATGTACAGACACCATGATGTTGGGGGGGTGCACAAAATGAAATATAAACCACTAGCCTGAGTAACTGGAAAACAGTATCTTGACAGTAAAGTTAAACATAGAAAGAACTGTACGTAAGGTATTTTGTTAGGAAATTTCTCAAAGGGATATGGATTAGCAATTGTGAAGTTACTTTTTGTGTATATTAGGATTAAACAAATTAATCCATTTCAGATAATTAGTCAGGTTTCTCGCTGTTTAAGATGAAGAAAGGGCTCCTTGGAAATGCGGCTGGTCCAGCGTTGGGTCAGGGAAAACACTAGTTGAGCCTGGTTCATCCAGCATTGCCGTAAAGTAAGAAAATAATTTAAAAACTATTAATTCGGTATGTTGAGAGGACAGAGGAGGCAAACTGAAGGAGCTTCCAATGGCTGAAGCTCGGGCTTTGAGCAACAAAATAGTGTTAGTATCATAGAAAACAATAATTTTTTTTTGAGACAGTCTCACTCTGGTCACCCAGGCTGGAGTGCAGTGGTGTGATCTTAGCTCACTGCAGCCTTGACCTCCTGGGCTCAGGTGATTTTCCCACCTCAGCCTCCTGAGTAGCTGGGACTATAGGCACCTGCCACCATGCCCAGCTAATTTTTGTATTTTTAGTAGAGATGGGGGTTTCCCCATGTTGCCCAGGCTGGTCTCGAACTCCTGACCTCAAGTGATCTGCCGCCTCGGCCTCCCAAAGTGCTGGGATTACAGGCATGAGCCACGATGCCCGGTCACAATAATAATATTATTAATATTATAACAATAGAATAAAATAAAATATCCATGAGCCCATACTGATGTAATTATTAATAACTGAATAAGTGAGGAAAAAGGGATAGTTTTTCTCACAGCAGAATGTTAATTAATGTATACAGAAGGTATGATGGAAATGGAAAATCATGATTAGGTAAACGCTACAGTAGTAACTGTTACAGGCAGAAGCCAACAATGGATGCTAAAATTAGTGGGTTAGAAGATATTGGCATAGTCTCAAAGAGACTTATTAATTAGAAAGGAAAAAAATAGCAACTTTTTAGTGAAGAAAACTGGCAGACAGCACCTTAATGAAGTGATCAAAGTTAACATCACCAGCAATAAGACAAAATGGTACCATGTACCCCTGCTTCACTGACATGATGTAATTAGAAGGGCACAACATAGTTTCTGTGGTATTCCTGACAGAAATACACAGCCTCAATGGAATCCCTAAGAAACATTAGACAAACCCAAACTGATGGACATTCTACTAAACTGGCTAGCTAGTACTCTTGACAATGTGCCAAGGAAAGATGCAGACAGAGTAACTGTCACAGATGGAGAAGGCTAAGGATACTTGACAACTAAAAGCAATGTGGGAAACTGGATCATAAAAGGACCTTCATAGCAAAACTAGAGATACCGGACCGGTCTATAGCTTAGTTAATAATATCGTATCTGTGTTAATTTTCAGTTTTACTCTGGCTTTGAGAGATGTTGGCATTAGTGGAATCTGAGTGAACGGCACATAGGGAATCTATCATTTTTACAATGTTCTGTAAGTTTAAAGTTATTTAAAAAGAAAAAGATCTATGGCATATCTAAATCTTTGATGACCATAGTTTCATGGATTCATAACTATTCACCAAGCTAAATTAATACTACTACTAAGTTAGAAAATCTTGAGAGAAAGTATAAGTCTTCCCTGTCTGCAATCTCTACCATTTGTTTACACCTTTATAATGAGTGTTCCAATTGATATGTTAACATGGTTTTTTCACCCATACCAGTCCATTCCAAGAGAACAGGGACCAAGATATAGTTGCTCCTACCTTGTGACTTGCACATTTTTGTCAAAAGTAAATGCTGCCTGGTATAGTGCCGTGTGCCTGCAGTCTCAGCTACTTGGGAGGCTGAAGCAGAGGATCGCTTGAGCCCAGGAGTTTAAGGCCAGCCTGTGCAACAAATCAACACCCCACCTCTAAAAATTAAATAAAATTTAAAATATTTTAAATTTAAATAATATTCTTGCATTAAAAAGAGCTGTAGTAAAACAAAAAAAAACATCCTAAAATAAATATTTTAAAAAAGTAAATGCTGAGTGTACTGTGAATGAGTGAAAAATATGTAAAAGATCTCAATACTATAGGAATTATTTACTTACGCTCCACAAAGGAAGTAAAGAGCATTCGAAACCTGCTAAGCCGACTACCTTCATCTGCCCACATTCGAATCACTCCAATTCCTGTTTTAAGCATTACATCATTGGCCACAGTGCTGCAAAACTTGGCCTTCAGGTTTTCAATAGAACTGCTTCCATCATAGACTGCAACGAAGTTTCTCTTGCATTCATTTGAGTGCTCCATTTGATAATCTAGGAACCTCAAATAAATCTGTAATATTAACACAAAAACACTGCTTTTAAAAAGATATATTAATTTGAATTTTTCTATTTCTATTTTCCACAGACAACATGGGACACCGAATGACAGCTGACAGAAAACCATAATCGATAAATGGCTGATGCCTAAATAGTGAGAGGAACTAAGATTAATGATCTGTTTCTTTGGTTGTCTTTATAATGGAACCAAGCATTAAGGAACTTACTTTGTGTTTTGTCTATAAAGAGTAGAAACTTTTTGCTCACAAGGCATAACTATCTCACATTTTTCTCATTATAAAAGCAATCTCATGGTACTGGACAGGGGAGAAAATAAAATAATCACTCATATTTCTATTATTCCAACAATGCATGTGATTAATTGGTGAGTTTCTTTTCACTCTTTCTGCACATTAAAAAAACCTGTGTTTAATTGTAAGATATACACATCCTACTTTAGCTGTAACATATAAAAATGTTTTTATCTATACTCTTAGCCATACCTATTCCCGGATGTCCTATTATTTATTTACACAATATCCTACTGTTCTACATGGTTGCTTTATTTCACCTCTTAACAATACCTGCATTTTCAGACAGGCAGACGTCAACTGTACTATCAAAGGAAGCTCTATTAGCATCCCCCATTCAAATTTTATAGCTAAATGGTTCTAAGTTATTTCCTAAACACTCTTGACCCATTCTTGTTTGGCGATTTCTCTTACATTGTGAATTTAGATTTTAAGCATTAATCTCCAGAAGAGCCTAATGAAGTAGGTATCATGTTTTTTTGTGGGCAGAGATGAATCTGTTATTCGGTGGCAAGGATTAAACCCAGGTTGGTCTGACTCTAAATGTGCGTCCTTCTCATTCCATGAAGCGCTTTACATACTCACACAGTGTTCCCTGTTTGGGCTCTAGTTTCTCATATGTGACTCTATCATTAAAATAAAATTTGAGTGAGTGAATAAAGATTACCTTTGAATTGCCATTCAAGACATCTAATGAGTATTCACTTCCTAGCTATTATTTCTGAGGGAGCAGTATGCCACATCTACCCTTTAATTCGAAGAGATTAATAAAACAAAAATGTCATGTCATATATTCCCCCCCCACCCCACCAAATACCTTGATGGCATAAAACTAAGAGAGAACAACTTACAAAATATAGCTTAAAGAATTACATTTTGACTAAATAATTTTGGTTTATTTGAAATGACTGGTTCACCACTTCCGTGAGAATGGTGGAAAATTGGTAATGAAATAGGATTTCCAGTTCAAAACTTTACAAAGTCTTCATGCGTGTATTTTAACAAAGAAGCAATATGTTTTCTTAAATATATCAACAGTTCTCATTAGTTTTCCATCACTTATATAACCCAAACCCTCCGCTCACACTCTGGTAGCGAGCTCTAATGCTGTAATGACTTCCCTCTTCCACTAGACTGTGATGTCTTCCAATGGAAGGTCACTGGCTCAGTTTCATCCAGTATAATTCTTGCTCATGGCAGACAATGAGAAAGTGACTAGGCTTGTAAAACTATGACTTGGTAGAAGTATCAGTAGAATAATCAAGCTGTCTGAAGTATTTATATTTACTCTCTGCTTTTCTTTTAATCCAAATAAATATGGTATTATATAAGGCTATAGTAAATGCTCTTCAAAGACATATTTTTAAAAAAACATCGAGTTAAAGATAAATAATAACAAGATCACAGCACTTTTCTACTGTAAATACAGCTAAATATTGAATTGTTTAGTTCAACAAATTTTTGGGAAATATTCATAACGTGAATCTGACAAATTGCAATGTTGGGAGAAGGGCATAAACTACTTTTCTTTTACTCCAGATTGCATGAGAAGGGATCTTTTACTTACAACTTTCATCAAGTAAGTGACCTCTTACCCTATCCCTATATCCTACCCAGGGAGGCAGGGCAAGTTACCTGGATGGTGGGAGTTTGGTTTCTTTTTCCCTCCCCTCATAGGAAGTGGGACTGGGTAGGCCGGTCTGCTCTGCAGATGCGAACTTTCCCTGGAGTGGAATGGGCTGTTCTAGACTTAGGTGAGACGTAGAACTGGTGGGCAAGGAGTTGCCAACACTAATTAGATCATCTCTCTGCGTTGCTCTCTCTATCCTAGCCTTCACTGTGGTAAAGAGGCTTTTCCAACTCCCTACACACTGACACTTTTATTTCTCAATTGGTTCAGCACTCCACCAGGGAAAAGGGATGCTATTTATTGGAGCCCCTGAAGACCCCAACAGAAATGAAATCCCCAGAAAGCTACTATCATGAAAAGGCCACTGATAAAAGTGGACTAAAACACTATTTGTATACTCTTAAACATCGATGCCTTCTTTTGTATATTTATTTTTAAAATATATTTTTAATTTTAAAAATAGAGACAGGGTCTTGCCATGTTGTCTAGGCTGGTCTTGAACTGCCAGGCTCAAGTGATCCTTCCGCCTCAGCCTCCCAAAGTGCTGGGACTGCAGGCATGGGCCACCGTGACTGGCTTCTTTTTATATTTATAAATGGATATTTTTCTTAAACATCACCCATGAACTAGTTTCTCACATTTAGTATTCAAGGGTAATGGTGACTTTTAACATTTAATTTAGATTTCTTAAATAAAACCATCTATTTACACTTTTTTGTTTGTTTGTTTTCTTTTTTTAGACAGAATCTCACTCTGTCTCCTAGGTTGGAGTTCAGTCGCGTGATCGCGGCTCTCACTGCAGCCTCCACCCCCAATTCAAGAGATTCTTGTGCCTCAGCCTCCTGAGTAGTTGGGACTACCGGTGTGCACCACCACACCTGGCTAATTTTTTGTATTTTTAGTAGAGATGGGGTTTCACTATGTTGCCCAGGCTGGTCTCGAACTCTTGACCTCAAGTGATCCGCCTGCCTCAGACTCCCAAAGTGCTGGGTTTACAAGCGTGAGCCACTGCGCCTGGCCTATTTACACATTTAAACATTCAAATTTTAAAATTTGATCCAATTCCCATGTCAACTGTAATAATTTTTTTAAGTTTAACTGATTTACTTTTATTAAAAGCAATACAACATTCTTCTATAGTCAATATTCCAGGTAACGCTCCTAAAAATTTGTGAATATGGAATTATCTTTTCAAGGAATATTTCAATGAAGAATGAGATCTAATAAATATTGTTTAATTTCACTTAAAGCACACTTAATATTTTCATACTTACATATCTATAAAAATATGTTGTATTGTTCCATATATTTTAAAACCTCATACCAATTATAGAAATAAATCACTATGTATCCATTCTCCTATTGGGCATTTAGCTTGCTTCTACTTTTATAATTAGCTAATACTGCTGTAAACATTGTTGTCTTCTCTTTATGCACAGGTATGACGATTTCATTTGGGTATACATCTAGAAGTATACTTGTGTAGTAGCATGTGACCATTTTCAGCTTTACCAGAGCACATCCGAAATAGCTCTCCAAAGTGGTTGTACCAATTTATATACATTTTTCTCTTTACAGTTGAATTCTAACGAGACAATTTATACTTCTAAAGCAAATTCTTTGAGTCTGCTTGCTCTACTCAATCCACTACTCAGTCCTTGCTGACACTTCAAGAACAGTTCCACAACCCACTCAACTTCTCTTGTGCTGTCACTGTGCAGTCAAAATCCATCTCCAGTCTTCATCCCTGGTAAGCAATGATCTGTTCTTTGTCCTACAGTTCACTTTTTCCAGAATTTCATATAAATGAAATCACACAGCATGTATCCTTTGAGTCTAGCTCATTTTATTTAGCATGATGCATTTGGGGTTACTGCATGTAGCTGTAGTTTATCCCTTTTTATTGTTGAATAGATGTTACTATATGGATGTACCACAGTTTATTCTTTTTTTTTTTTTTTTTTTTTTGAGATGGAGTTTTTGCTCTTGTCGCCCAGGCTGGAGTGCAGTAGTGCAATCTTGGCTCACTGCAACCTCCGCCTCAAGGATTCAAGCAATTCTCCTGCCTCAGCCTCCCAAGTAGCTGGGATTACAGGCACCTGCCACCAGGCCCGGCTAATTTTTTGTATTTTCAGTAGAGACAGGGTTTCACCATGTTGGTCAAGCTACTCTTGAACTCCTGACCTCAAGTGATCCCCCCACCTCAGCCTCCCAAAGTGCTGGGATTATAGGCGTGAACCATCGCACCTGGCCTATTCTTTTAAAAGCTAAAGAACACTTGAAACATTTCTAGTTTTTGGTTATTACAGATAAAGTTGTTATGAACATTTACTTATAGGTTTTTTTCCATAAACATAAGCTTTCATTTCTCCCGGGTACCCATCCAGAAGAGACGGCTGAGTCACACAGTTACTTTATAGGAAACCACCAACCTGTTTCCCAGAGCGGCTCTATCATTTTGCACTCCTACCAGGACTGTATCAGAGTTTCAGCTGCTCTACATAGTTCCCAGCACTTAGTGATTTTTCTAAATTACAGTTATTCTAATGGAGAATAGTGCCATCTCATTGTGGTTTTAATTTGCATTTTTGTAATGATTAAATCTTCTGTGGTGAAGTATCTGTTGAAATCTGTTTCATAATTGGGTTTTGTTCTTATTGTTGAGTTTTGAGTTCTGGATGAAAGAAATCTTTTCATAGGTGATTTTTTTTCTCCCAGTCAGTGGCTTTTTTTTTTTTTTCTCACTCAACAGTGTCTTTCACAGAGAAAAGCTTTTTCATTAGTCCAATTTATAAATTTCTTTTTTTTTTTTTTTTTTTTTTTTTTTTTGAGATGGAGTCTCGCTCTGTTGCCCAGGCTGGAGTGCAGTGGCATGATCTCGGCTCACTGCAAGCTCCGCCTCCCGGGTTCATGCCAGTCTCCTGCCTCAGCCTCCTGAGTAGCTGGGACTACAGGCCCCCGCCACCATGCCCAACTAATTTTTTGTATTTTTAGTAGAGACGGGGTTTTACCGTGTTAGCCAGGATGGCCTCGATTTCCCGACCTCGAGATCCGCCCGCCTCAGCCTCCCAAAGTGCTGGGATTACAGATGTGAGCCACCGCGCCCAGCCTGAATTTTTCTTTTATGGATACTCTTTCGGTGTTGCATCTAAGAACTCTTTGTCTAACCCAGTAAGATTCTTTTCATATATTCTCCTCTAAATGTTTTATAATTTTACATCTATGTCCATGATTTATTTTGAGTTAATTTTTAAATACAGTGTTGGATGTAGGTGAGGCAACACCTACACTCAACAGGTGAGGGTTCATTTTTTTTTTCTTTGAATATGGAGGTTCAATTGTTCCAGCACCATCTGTTAGACTATCCTTTCTCCACTCAATTTCCTTTGAATGTCAAAAAAATTAACAAATCATATTTGCAGAAATCTAATCTCTGGACTATCTTGTTCCATTGATCTGTGTGTCTGTCCTTTGTCAGTACCACAGTCTTGGTTACTGAAGCTTCACATTAAGTCTTGAAATCAGGTCATGAGTCTTCCATGTTTGTTCTTTTTCAGAATAATTTTGGCTTCTGTAATCCCTTGCTTTTCCATTACATTCTAGAATCAGTTTGTCAATCTTTACAAAAAATATAGCTGTGATTTTGATTGAAATTGTATTCATCTGTGTAGATCATTTTCATAAGAACTGACATTTTAGCACTACTGGGCCTATCAATACATTGACACAGTATATTTACTTAGGTCATCTCTGAATATTTTCATTATGGTCTTTTAAGTTTTCAGTTAACAGATACTACACAGTTTTTTTTGGTGGAGTAATATTTTAAATGGTACTGTTTTCTTAATTTTGAACTACAGTTTTCATTGCTAGTATATAAAAATTCAACTGATTTTTTTTTTTCTTGAGACAGGGTCTCAGTTTGTTGTCCAGGCTGGAGTGCAGTGGTGCGCTCTTGGCTCACTGCAGCCTCCGCCTCCTTGGCTTAAGTGATCCTCCTGCCTCAGCCTCCCGGGTAGCTGGGACTACAGCTGCAGCCACCATGCCCGGCTAATTTTTATATATATATATATACATATATATATATATATACATGTATATATATATATTTTGTAGGGGCTGGGTTTCGTCAGGTTGCCCAGGCTGGTCTTGAACTCCTGAGTTCAAGCAATCCACCTGCCTTGGTCTCCCAAAATGTTGGGATTACAGGCGGGAGCCACAGTGCCTGACCTGCAATTGATTTTTGTATACTGGTCTTCCATCCTGCAACCTTGTTAACCTGATATATTTGTTCCAGGAGCTTTTCAGATGCTATGGAAATTTTTATATAGACAACGATATCTTCAAAAAGATTGATTTCTTCTTTTTCCAATCTGTATGCTTTTTTGTACTGGCTACAACTTCTAGTATAACATTGAATAGGACTTAGCTTGCTACAGATTTTGAAGGGGAAAGAATTCAGGTTTTCACCACTAAGTATGGTGTCAGCTGTAGGGTTTTCTGTTTTTTTTTTTTTTTTCTAAGAGACAGGCTCTTACTATGATGTCCAGGCTGGCCTTGAACTCCTGAGCTCAAGTGATTCTCAATCCTCTTGTATCAGCCTCCTTAACAGCTGGAACTATGGATGCATGCCATTGTGCCTGGTTTAGCTGGTAGGTTTTTGTAGATACCCTTCTTCAGGTTATGGAAGTCTCATCTGTTCCTATGTTTCTGAGATTTTTATCATGAATGGGTGATGAATTTTAACAAATGGAGACAATCATAGTTTTCTTTAGTCTTTATGGTGAATTACATTGATTTTTCAAATGTTGAACCAGACTTGCATTCCTGAGATAAACCACGCTTTACTATTATGTATTTTTTTATATTGCTGAATTAGATTTGCTAATATTTTATTGAAATTTTTGCATCTATTTTCTTGACGAATACTGATCAATAGTTTCCTTATAATGTCTCTTTGTCTGTTGGTATCAGGGTAATGCTTATCTTACAAAGTAAGTTTAGAAATGTTCCCTGCTCTTTCATTTCCTGGATGATACTAAAGAATTGGCATTATATCTTCCTTGAATGTTTGGTACAATTTGCCAGCGAACCCATCTAGGCCTAGAGTTTTCTTTGTTAGAAGGTGTTTACGAATTCATTTTTTGAATAAGCACAGGATGATTTGGGTTGTGTATGTCTACTGGGACATGTTTGGGCAGCTGTGTAGCTTTTAAGAGATTTACCCATTTCATCGAAGTCATCTGATTTTCTGGCATAGAGCTGTTCCCTGTATTTTCTTACTCCTTTTAATATTGGTAGGGTCGGTAGTGATAGAATTCTCTCTTTCATTCCTGATACTGGTAAAATGGTTGAAATTTACCCAGATATTTACCATTCGTTTCCCTTTAGTCATGAAGTTTCATGATTTTTTCTAGTATCATTTATCTTATCTAAATAACTTCCTTTATAGCAAGTGCATAGGTGATAAATTCTCTTAGTTTTATCATTCTTGAAAGAAGTCTTGCATCACAGTTCCCCTTACTGCCTATCCCAGCTTGTGAAGATTCTGATCCACTACCTTTGGCTTCCATCATTTCTAAAGAGAAAAAATAGTCATTCAAATCACTGCTCCCTTATACAAGATGCATCATTTTTCTCTGGTAGACCTCAAGATCTCAATCTTTGATTTCAAGTAATTTGATTTTGATGTGTGCAGGTATTGCTTTTTGTTTTTGTTTATCCTATTTGGTGTTCACTGAGCTCCTTAAATCTGCAGATATATGTCCTTCAAGTTTGGGACTTTTTAGCAATTTTTTCTTCAAATATTTATTCTGTGCCAATCTCTTCTCCCGCTAGGACTTAAATAACACAAACGTTAGGCCCTTTGAAACTGTCCCATAGACAGTTTTCAATTACTTTGTTTTCAATCTTTTCCCCTCTGTACTTCTGATTGGATAATTTCTACTGATTCAAGTTCAGTGACTTTCTATTTTCTCCATTTTCCTATTGAGCTCATACAGTGATTATTTGTTAAAAATTCAGATTTTTCTTTTAGTTCTAAATTTTTCACTTAAAAAATTAGTTTATTTCTCTGCTGAGTCCTATTTTCCTACTCTTTGAGAGTGTTTACTGCTATCTCATGAAGCATGGTTCTATCACTGCTTTAGAATTTTTGATAATTCTGGCTGGGCAGGGTGGCTAATACCTGTAATCCTAGCAGTTTGGAAGGCTGAGGCAGGAGGATCACTTGAGCTCAGGAGTTTGAGAACAGCCTAGGCAACATTGTGAGATCCTATTTCTATTAAAAACATTTTTTTAAATTAAAAAAAGATTTTTGGATAGTTCTTAATATTTGGGTTAGGGTTGGGATCTATTGGTTGTCTTTCATTAAAAATTAACCAGATTTTCCTAGTTCTCTGTATGTGATTTTTCATTGTATCTTGGACATTTTAAATATTATGCTGTGTGACTTGGATCCTGTTAAAAAATCCCTGGAGAATGTCGTTTTTTGTTATTTGTTTTGGTTCTGCAGACAATCAACTAAGTTGTGTTCGCACTGCAAATTCTGTCTCTCTTTGTTTGGGTGGTGGTCCCAATGTTCAAAGACTTTGCTGTGCTGGGTAGGCTTGCCCAGTGTGTGACACACTCAGGGACTCAGAGGTGGTTTATACTGTAACATGGTTCCCAACACTGCTGCCACGTTTCCCTGGATCTGTTCCACACACAGGCACCTCAGAAAGAAAGCCTGCATTAGTGCTTCCCTGCTCTAGTTCTCTCCTCTCCAAGACTTCTTCATATTCTCCAGATGACAACATGGTCTCCTCTATCTAGTTCCTCTGGCCAGAAAGACAAGTTTTCCTTAGAATTTTAGTCTCCCAACCTGTTGTGAGTTCTGATTAAGAGAGAAAAAAGCCGGGATTCCCTCCATACTCTCCAAACATCACCATTTATATATACCCTTTACAAATCTACTGACAAATCATTATTTATAATATTCTCTTATGATAGTCTAAAACATTTGTTAAAATTTCAAATATGCAAAAACAGACAAAAATATCTGTGTACCCAGCTTCCAACTTCAACAATTATAACCTAGCCAATCTTATTTTATTTGTCTCTCCTAACTTCTACCTCTTACATACTAGAGACAAATCTCAGACATTAAATCATTGCATCTGTAAACATTTCTGTATCACTAAAGCCACTTAAAAAATAACCTTTATCCTATTATCAAACCAAACAAATAAATAACTTAATATTAAATACCAGTGTTCAAACTTCTGTCATCAGTTCCCTCCATTTATAGTTTGTTTCAATCAGTAAGTTCACTTGACTTTTATATCTCTTTTAATCTATAGGTTCTTGTTTTTTCTTTTTCCCCCATTGTCATTTATTTATGAAAGAAACAGTTTCTTTCCTTTTTTGTTTGGCAGATCTACTTTCTACTTGGTTTGTTTCATAATAGTTTTAAATCCTTGCTGTAGTTGATTTATAACTTTTCCATTTCTAATATTATTTATGTTTTTTTCTTTTTCTTTTTTTTTTTTTGAGATGGAGTCTTGCACTGTTGCCCAGGCTGGAGTGCAGTGGCGTGATCTCAGCTCACTGCAAGCTCCGCCTCCTGGGTTCACGCCATTCTCCTGCCTCAGCCTCCTGAGTAGCTGGGACTACAGGCGCCCGCCACCACGCCCGGCTAATTTTTTGTACTTTTAGTAGAGATGGGGTTTCACCATGTTAGCCAGGATGGTCTTGATTTCCTGACCTCGTGATCTGCCTGCCTCGGCCTCCCAAAGTGCTGGGATTACAGGCGTGAACCACTGCACCCGGCCTATTTATGTCTTTTTTTTTCTAGATCAATCTTGGCATAAGTCTGCCTGTTGTTACCTTTTACAAAGAGCCGATGTCAGGCCTCACTGATTTATTCTTTTTGTATCTTCGTTTTTTTTTTTAATTTCTGTTTTATGATTGCCCTTTCTTTGGATTTGTTTTTCTTTTAACTTCTTGAGTCTTAACTTATTAAATTTCAGTCTTTTTTCTCAAAGTACTGTTTTAGCTGTACCGCAGTTTTTTTAAATGTAGTATTTTCATTAATGCATTTTAAATGTATTCAAATTTCCATACTGATTTCTTCTGTGACTTACAAATTACTAAGTAGTATATTATTATATTTCCAAACATATGGAGTTTTAAAGTAATCTTTGGTTGCTGATTTCTGGTTTAATTGCATTTCTGTCACATGATGCTCTGCATATATGTTCAGACTTCCTTTGTTAGCTGAGCACGTGTATCTGTTTTGATGAATGTTTTATGAATGCTAGTAGAGAATGCCTATTTTCTGGATGTTGGGAGCAAGATACTGTGTCCATTAAGCACATACTGTGTAATTTAAATCTTTTGAGCCATATTAACTTTTTGTATGCTTGAACTGTTAATTACTAAGAAGTAAAAAAAAATTACCAACTATGTTATGGATCTGTCAATTTTCCTTGACAATCAACAACCTGTTTTGTGCATTTTAAGGCTATATTAATACCTGAGATTTATCTAGTGAGATAGAGACATTCTTGATTTGTTTTAATAGTTACATCAGCTCTTTTTTGACATTTGTCTGTTATTTCTTTCCTAGTTTTGTATTTTCAAATTTTCCTGTAATTATCCCATAAACAAGATATATTTGGATTTTAACTGTAGCATTTAATTCATTTATTACTTTGCAGAGAAACATCTTAATTTTGTCCTCATTCTTTTATTTTTTACTTTTATGGGTATATAATAGCTATATGTATTTATAGGGTACATGAGCTATCATGATATAGGTATACAGTGCATAATAATTACATTAGGATAAATGGGGGATCCATCATCTCAAGCATTTATCATGTGTTACAAATAACCCAATTATGCTTATTTTAAACTGTACAATAAATTGTTGACTGTAGTCACTGTGTTGTGCTATCAAATACCAGATATTAATTCTATCTAATTATACTTTTGTACCCATTAATCATCCCCACATCCTGGCCACTGCCTTCATTCTTAAATGACAATGAACACTCTTAACACTATGAAGACATTATTCTATTGTCTTCAGGCTTCTATTTTGCTATTGATAATTCTGGTGTCAATCTTAATAGCATCCTTTTGTAGACTATTTTCTCTATTGTTTAATAACTTTTCTCCTTGTCTGTGGGGTACAATGTCAGTGTCACTTAAATTTTTTTTTCCTGCTTGGGAGTCACCCTGTGTCATGCTTTTCATTAGTTCTTGAAATTTTTTTTTTCTTTTTTTTCCTTTTCATGTCAGATAGGCAATGTGCCGACATGGTAACAAGGCTGGAGGGAGGCGCACGTCACATGTGTGCGTCAACATCCGGGCATCAGACTTACACACTACAGAGTATCAGTTATGGAAAATCCCAATAAACTGCCACCTCTTCCAGCGATACACTCTGGGTAATTTCCTCAGACACATCTTTTAATAGCCATACTTTTAACTTATAGACCTCCTATTTGGTTATTTTAAAAATGGACGTGGTCATTTTTCTTTCTCATCTCTGTTTCCTTCTTGTAGGATACGTGAAACACTCAAATTCTTGGGGATCTAAGGAACTCCTTCCTGTGTGTTATGTCGGTGAACTCGTACCCATGGTGGGCTGTGAGCATAGGGGTTTTAGAATCTGCGGGCTGTGAGCTGACCTGCAGCAGTGTTTTATCCATGCCAACCCTGCAGCTTTCTTGGTGACTTTTAGATTTATTTTTGCCAGGTGACTCAAAGGTTTAATGCACCCAGGACCATTCTGTCAGTCTTTGGACTTCATGACTCCTGGGTTGAGCAGGGAATGTAAATTCATTTCTCAAACCCTAATAAAGGCAGGGTTTCTAAGTATAAAGCTAGGGGGGACCCCAGCCTCACCTCCAACCCCACCCTGAGACTAAACCCAGAAAAACAAGCTTCTTTGTCATCAGCATGTGGTAGTGAAACATTTTTTCTAATCTATGCTTTCATGTGAGTTGCCTCCCTTTGAGGGCTCCAGCTTCATGTGAGTCTCACAAAGGCCATGTGAACCCCAGGACTCTTCTTTTCTCAGTATGGGAATTAAAAGGAAGCTCCCAGTATGTCTACCCCTGTGCAGTAACAGGTTATAAAAGTCAGCCAGGGGCATCTGTAACATCAATTTCAGTTTATTAATCTACAGTTCTCTCTCTTCATTTCTCATCCATAAGCATTACCCTCTTTTTCTCCTTCCTGGAGCTTACACATATGCTTTTAAAATAATTATTTGTCATATTTTACCCAATGTTTCCATGTGTCTTCTAGCAGATGGGTTTTCAGGTTACCTTATCTATCATATTACCCAATCTTTAAATCTGATTTTCATGATTCTTGAGAGGTATGTTTTCCCACCCTCACTCTCTCCTCTTTTCCCTCTTTTTACATAATACGCATTAAATATAATTTTAACTCTGTTGATATTCCTAGAAGTATACATTAAATGCAAAAGTATCCAATCTCAATCTGTCAGAGTTATTTAAAAACATCCTTCCCTGCAGTTCTTTCCAATAAAAGCACCCCATGAGTAGCAGAGGATGGCAGGGTAAGAACAGACTCGACACATTTGGGTTTTCGCTTTTAGATTGCTACGACCAACTCTGTAACTTTTGAGAACACATTTTCACCTCTTGTAGCCTATTTTCTTCCTCATAAAGCTGTTAATGAATCTATAATCATACTGATCAGTATGCACACTCACCAATTGGGAACTGACAGGTCTTAAGAATCTTAATCTTTTATAATTGAGAATCTTAATATATATGTAATATTCCTGAAGAATTTCAGAAATTTCAGTTTATTTAACTATAATAATGCTGGGATCTTAGTAGATGCCAATAAAGTAAGTGAAATAAAATACATTTTAAAAAGTTGCAGTATCAGTTTATGTAGTCAATAAATATTTACACAAACCAAAATTACACATTTTGCAAATCATGCCTTATCATGATGTTCTTCTCTGAAGCGACTCAATACATAATAATACCTTAGCTTTTGGAGTGGCTTTAATGGTCCAGATGCAATCAACGGCTTGGCCTGGTTTTGTTTTCTCCTCTTGTTCTACCTGACTAGAGCGCACTATTCCATCAGCTCCCGAGAGCTCGAACTGACAATCTGGAAGGAATACATGAAAGGTGTTCAAAGGAACATAAGACTAATCAAAAATGCCAAGAGGAACAAGTGGTAATATACTAAACCTGGAATGGGATTTAAAATACCTCCTAGGTAAGTAAAGTCTGGATCTGTAACAGAAAAAAGAAGAAAGTCATTGGTACTGAGATAGTTACTTTAATCCTCGATGTCTTACATTACATCTAACGTTCCATTTCATAGCAAGGTAAGAGAAGCTTTCATTGGTGAAAACTACATATCATTGGTCATTTAGGAGCTCGCTTACAGGATTGACATTTATTTAATCACGTTTATATTTTTGATTCCATAGTGAATAATTTATTTATGCTACTTGCAAACTCACATCAACTGTCAGAGTTGAACAGGTAAACGGAACATCACATATACAATATACCAGAATATTATTTGGCCTTAAAAAGGAATGAAGTTCCTTTCTGCTGAATCATATTACAATTTGTCTTCTAAACTTCGGCTTAAATGGATGGTGGTAATAGTTGCATAATACTGTGAATGTACTTAACGCCACTGAATTACACACTTAAAAATGGTTAAAGAGAGCTAGGCATGGTGGCTCATGCCTGTAGTGCCAGCTACTTGGGAAGCTGACCTGGGAGGATCTTTTGAGCCCAGGAGGTTGAGGCTGCAGACAGCAGAGACAGCACTATTGCCCTTCAGCCTAGGTGACAAAATGAGTCTTAAAAAAAAAAAGGTTAAAGGGTAAATTTTGTTATGTATATTTTTTACCACAATAAAAATAAAGTTTTAGAAATTATAAACACAGGTATCTTTAAAAAATTATTTTAAAGTTCAGATAGAACCTGTGTATATACCTAACAGCCAGAATAAAAAAAATTGCTGGGTTGTCTAAAATGTCTCAGATTTCTGGAAAATCTATTTATTTTTGTTTATTTTTGAGATGGAGTTTCACACTGTTGCCCAGGCAGGAGTACAGTGGCACAATCTCGGCTCACTGCAACCTCTGCTTCCCGGGTTCAAGCAATTCTCCTGCCTCAGCCTCCCGAGTAGCTGGGATTACAGGTGTCTGCCACCACGCTCAGCTAATTTTTTATATTTTTAGTAGAGGCAGAATTTCACTATGTTGGTCAGGCTGGTCTCAAACTCCCAACCTTGTGATCTGCCTGCCTCGGCCTTCCAAAGTGCTGGAATTACAGGCATGAGCCACTGCACCCGGACTGGAAAATCTATTTCAATACGCAATTTAATTGTGTACAACTAGAGACTCAATTCCTGTTAAAACTGTTGTTTTTAATTCCAGATACTTTAGGAAGTTATCAAATTACATATTTTAAAAAGTGGAAAAAAATTATTAGCTTATGTAGAATATATCTCAGCAACTTTTTTTTTTAACTTTATAAACAAAACTCATCCTTGCTGAAAGAGGACAATAGACACTTCTGCTCTTTTGCAGAGAAATGTCAAAGTGAAATTTAAATCTTAAACGGCATGGCGGAGGGGAATCACAGGAACTGTCTGGCAGATTAATCAGAACTATTTCATATGTATTCCAGAAATCTAGGATATTGTCATTATTGCATTAAAATGTCCATAATTATCTCAGTTATGTCCAGGAACTAACAACCCATTAAGAGCCTCTCCCTCAGTAGAGAATTTCATTAAAAAAAATGAACTTCTCACCATTGTTAATAGGTTTCTTCCAGATTTACCACCTCCTAGACAAAATTTATTTTATTAACATGACTTGAAATAACATCAGACAGACATATTTAGCTAATTATGCATTGCCTATTTATTTTGACATGTGTTGGTTTTCTCTTTTAGTGATAAAATTGTGGACTCCTCATCCACATTTTAATAAGGCTTTTCTCCAATGTGACCTCATCCACATTATAAAGGCAACATGATAGAGTAGGAAGTATTGCCTAGTGAAATGCAATCTAGTCCTGGATTTGCCATTCTATGAACCAAGAAAATCACTTAATCTGACTCAGTTTCCTCATCTGTAAAATAAAATATTACATAATCCTCCTGACATTAGTCATTAGCACAAAATTAAACATAATGTCTATCAAAACTGTGAAGCACTATAAAATGCAAATGAAAGGTGATAAACTCTAGAAATCCTAAGCATTTTATTATACTTTGTCTATATTTTAACTATAGGCCATTTAAAGTTGCTCTCATGATCTATAACATGAATAGAGGAAAAAGAGCTACTTGACTCCAAAGTAAGTATCTTTACATATGAAGTTGGCTGACTTTGTCTTTAAATATTTAAAAACATTATTCAAATAAGAGTATTCTTTGGATGTCTTTTTCTGTCAAGTAGTCTAAACTTATGTGCAGCCACCATCTATTCTAACAGTATCTTCATGACACTAATGTTTCAATTACTTCAGTTAGTTGATTTAGTTAATAAAAATAAAATAGCTGACCAATTTAATCCAATCAGTCATTTTGATATAAACTATTGGTTCTCAAACTCCTGTGGACTATTTCACAAGGCAGGATATCCTGTCTTTCTTTCTTTTCCCTGCCACTGTGAAAAAACAGCTTACTAGCTACTAGTTTTTTTTTTTTTTCTGACAGATTCTTGCTCTGTTGCCCAGGCTGGAGTACAGTGGTGTAATATTGGCTCTCTGCAACCTCCACCTCCCAGGTTCAAGCGATTCTCCTGCCTCAGCCTCCTGAGTGGGTGGGATTACAGACGTGCACCACCACGCCCAGCTAACTGTCGTATTTTTAGTAGAGACGGGGTTTTGCCATGTTGGCCAGGCTGATCTCAAACTCCTGACCTCATGTGATCCACCCACCTCAGCCTCCCAAAGTGCTGGGATTACAGGTGTAAGCCACCACATCTGGCTGCTACTATTTTTTAATTGTGGTAAATTATACATAACATAAAATTCATAATGTTGATCTTTTTTAAGACAGGGTGTTGCTCTGTCATCCAGGCTGGAGTGCAGTGGTGTGATCATAGCTCACTATAACTTTGAACTTCTGGGCTCATGCAATCCTCCAGCCTCAGCCTCCCGAGTAGCTGGAATGACACGTGTGCACCACACGCCTGGCTCCACCATTTTTAAGTTTACAATTCAGTGGCATTAAGCACATTTACAATGTTGTACAACCATCACCATTTTTTTATTTTCAGAATTTTTAATCATCCCAAGCTGAAAGTCTACACCCATTAAACATTAACTCCCCTTCCCCCTTCCCCCACATACCCTGATAACCATTCCACTTTCTGTTTCTATGAATGTTACTACTTTAAATACCTTATATAAATGGAGTCATATTTGTGCTTTTGCGTCTGGCTTATCTCACTTAGCATAATGTTTCAAGGTTCATCCATGTTGTGGCATGTATTAGAATTTACTCAAATGAATTAACTCACGTCCACACAAAAACCTGCACATGAATAGCAGCTTTATTCATAATTGCCACAATGTGGAAGCAATCAAGATGTCCTTCAGTAGAATGAATACACAAACCATGGTACATCTAGACAATGAAGTATTATTTGGTGTAAAAAATGAGCTATTAAGCCACAAAAAGACATGGAGGAAACTTATATGCATATTGCTAACTGGAAAAGGCTCCATACTGTATAATTCCAGTTACATGACATTCTGGAAATAGCAAGACTAGGGAGATACTGAAGAGATCAGCGATTGCCAGTGGTTTGGGGAAAGGGAGGGACCAACAGGCAGAGCACGGGGCACTGTTAGAGCAGTGGGACTGTTCTGTATGGTTCTGTAAGGGCGGATACATGTCATCATGCATTTGTCAAAACTCACAGAGCACACCCTACTGCGAGTGAACCCTAATGTCAACTACAGGCTTTGGGTGATAATGATGCATGGATGTTGGCTCATCATTAGTAACAAATGCACCACTCTCGTGCAAGATGCTGATGGAAAGGGAGGCAGGAGGCTTATGGTAACTCTACTTCCTGTGTAATTTTGCTGTGAACCTAAAACTGTTCTAAAAAATAAAGTCTATTAGACAATGTTTACTTTTTGGAAATATCCTTTTGGTATTGTGCAAATAAATACTTGGTTGGCTATGGAGAATATAGAAAAAAATTTTTAAAAAGAGCAGATAAACACTGAAGCCAAGCTTAAAATTTCCTACATAAGTACTAACAGGCAAACATCTGTTTTTCAGGCAAAAAAGCAGATAATAAAGTTATATGTGTACCATAATCCCAATCTTGTGTAACAAACAAAAGAAACAGATATAGAAAAACACTGGAAGGGATATACACCAAATTGTTCACACTGATTTTATATACAGGGTGGAAGGATTATGGATATTTTCTTTTCATTTCAATGTTTTAATTTTTTCCAATTAAATTTCTTGCACGAAAAATAAAAGCAAAAAGATCATGCAGTTGTCTTACTGTTATTTTTTCATCTTGTTAGTGTGTAAGCTTGGTGAAGACAGGAACAATAACTTGCACATCTGTTTCTGCATTAGGGATATGTACACGCCATACTGGACAGGGCTTTACAGTTCTCAGAGTGTTCTCACCTACTGTGGGGCAGGTAACACGGTGGAGCAGGCTGATGGTACAGTAGCCCCCCAATATACACACATTGGATTCCCCATAACCTGTGAGTAGTAGGGTGCACTTATATATGTATCTATACACACACACACACACATATAGTTTTTTAAAAGAGTAAATATTACAAGACAAAAGATGCCATTAGGTTAAGGATCTTGAAAAGAGTAGAAAGAGCTGTGAAGAGGGAGGCTGAGACTGAGGTGATGCAGCCACAGCCCAGCAATGCTGGGGCATGCACTGGAGGCTGGAAGGAGCAAAGACCGGATTCTCCCCCAGGTTCCTAGAGGGAGTGAGGCCCTGCTCAATTTTGGACTTCTGGTCTCCCCAACGGCAAGAAAATCAGTTTCTGCTGTCTGAAGTGGCCAAATTTGAGGTAATTAGTTATGGCAGCATCAATAAACTAACACAGCAGGCATTCCCATTTTACTAATGGCCAATCTCAAACATAATTCTGTGCTTAATCGTCTTACAGCTATTAGGAGGCAGAGAAAGAATTCAAACCCAGATCTTTGACATCCAAGTGCAGAGCAGTATTCTTTCTATTGCTCAATATATTCTAGAGTATTCATTCAGTTGAGTGGTTAATTCTAACAGCTAAATGAGAAAAATCATACAAAACAATTTTTGTGGGAATTCTGAAAACAAGACAATTTGTTGAATTATTTTTAAAATTATTTATTTTTAAATGTATTTTAAATGTTAGCCTGAGCATGTGCTATAAGACAGAAAAAAATCTAAGAAAATGTGGCACCATCTCTGATATGCTTCAAAATTCAAGTGATACGTTTCTATGTCCAATTTCTATTAACTTCTTATTTGTTCATGGACTAATTTCCCTTTGACTTTGCTAATTTGTTTAAAATCTTGATTTGATTAACTTGACCAAATTAATCTCTTTTCTAACCTTAAGATTCTAAAATCAGAGTTAGAGTGAGATGCCCAACCACTTAAAAGATAACTTATTCTTTACCTGGAATAAATGAATATTTTGCTCGAAATCCCAGTCCTTCAAGCTCTTCATCAGAACTAAACTTAATCCACATGAATCTCCCTGTTGATCTAATTAATGGAGGGCTTTTCACGCCACAGTAACGATCTATAAGAGGAGAGAAACCAAATGGCCCATCTCGAACTTCCAAGTGATCAAACCGACACTCAAATGATGGTTCTATATAATAATGTTCATCAAAGGTCAACTCTATTCTTTGACGTGGAGCAGCTAGAAAATAAGAGTAAGCAAATCAGGACAACACAAACAAGAAAGAATATAAATGTATTGACACAAATGAGAAAAGCAGAATAACTGTTCTGCTAACTGCTTCATAGACAAAGGTCTTAGTGAGAATTGCTATACAAGTCATGATAAATGTATCTTACATTAAAAATAATGCTACTCTGTAGAACTATAGTAATCTTTTCCATTGGCATATGCTATCTACTAAATTAAATATTTTTGAGTGATTCAAACTGAAGAGTCAAGAAGCTAATACTTAGTTCAAGATACAACGTACCACAATACACAGAAAAATAAACAGAAGAAATGAAAAGAACTCACTTATGTGGACATAAATTTGAATTAAGCCTTATAAGGGATGCCAGTAAGTTTAAGTTTCTTATCAGAGAAAGAAGTTTTTCATACATACTAATGTACGTAGTTGAATTATACTTTGGGAGATTCAAACTTCCCCTAACATTTCTGCTAGTATCTTGTTAATGTATTCAATATGCAGAAATACTTATCATTACTACAGTTTAATTCAAATACATGTTTAAATTTCATTCAAACTGGTTTACATAGGTCATTTTACCAACATATTTAGTTTTACAATAAAGTAAAAATTCATCCAATAAAAGAAATCGTTCAAATACCTTCCAAAATGTAGATACACTCCTTGTTTGGTGGATATGAGTCAGGATAATTTGGCGAAGCAAAATGACCTCCATTGCTGGTTCGAACCCAAATGCCACACTGGGTTGCAGGAATATGCTTGATTCCAATATTTTGTCCATCTTAGGGAAAAACGGCATTTAAAACACTCATTACAGCAAAAGAGAATCATTCTTCTCTTTCCCCCACCACTTTCCAAACGATTGCTCACTCTATGCTACATATATAAAATTTTCTAAGAACCACTGTCAAATTTAGCACAATAAATTGAGTACAGAAGTGAAAGAGAGGGAGGGAAAACTTGCTGGGAGAGGACAAGTTTGCCGTGTAAGAGAACAGGGAAATAAAGGGCTTATAGGCACTTAACAAAGGGCAAAACCATATGGGGGAATCTGCTAAGTCAGTAAGATGCAATACAATTCAGTTCTAACCTAAAAATAAAGGCATCCCAGGAGCTGATCTCTGATATGGGGCCCTCAAACTTAGTTTAACACAACAGTAAAAGATGATTCAAAGGTTAGAGGGATTTTAGTTGAAGACTGTAGACTAAATACATGCACGTAGCTGAGCTCCTTCCTCAAACTCCACTTAAACAGCAATAAAAGGATTTTTAAAAGGGTATAAACTCTTAAACAGAGAGGGGTAGATATAGCAGTAACAACTGGCAGTACCAGGAAGTGGGGTTGGGGGTGGTGAGTGAAATTGGGCTTTTTAAAAACACGAGGCTAGTTAAAAGTCTGTTTAGAATGAGTTGGATTTTCAGTACCCTTTCCTCCTCCACAAATCTAGCAGCTCTACAACCACATCAGAACACTAAAGGTGATTTCTTTGGAGAAGGTAAAACAACAGGGTTACTGGACTAGGGGACACCAGGAACAGTTGAGAACGAAAACAGGGAGACGAGTGAATGTTAGCACATGTCCCAGCCTTCGTTTCCTGCTTAACTCCCACAAAGGCCTCCTGGTCAGATATTGAGCCTTTAAGCAGGAAAAGAAAAGATTCTTCTCTGGGAGTCGAAACAGCCCCTAGGAAAGGCTTGATGCAGATGCAGGAGTTCCCCAGTGTCAGATCTGTCAACAGTGAGAGCCAGTAACTGATCCTTGCCCACACCTGCAGACAGTTAACGATCAGTTTTTAGTGCCCCTCTTAAAATATGAGCCCTCAAGGATCACCAGACATTGGAGGAAAATCTCTAATATAAATAAATAAATAAATAATAATAATAATAAAACTGGAGAAAAGCAACTCTGAGGAGATAAAGACTATGCAAGAAAAATATTTAAAAACCACCACCACCACAAAACAATCATTTAATATCCTGAGAAAGAAAAGCAAGTAAATCTATAAGACAAAAACAAAGATACTGTACAAACAATATTATATTCAGAAAACAGAACCAAAAAAGCTTCCAAAAACAGAAGAGATGAAAAAATCAGCAGAACATTTAGAGCAGAGTTCAGCAAACTATGACCCTGGGCCAAACATGACCTGGAGCCTGCTGTAAATAAAGTTTTACTGGAATATACCCATCCCCATCATTTGTGTGCTTTTGTTCCAGGACAGAAGAGTTGAGGAATTTGAAGAGTTGCTTCAGAGACTGTAGGACCTACAGCGCCTTAAACACTTACGATCTGACCCTTTACAGAAAAAGTGTTCTAACTCCTGGTTTAGAGGTAAAGTTGAGGAAGTCTCAGCGAATGTGGAGCAAAAAGATGGAAAACAGAAGAGCCAGAAACAAAAACCAAGAGGGCCATAACCAAGTAAAATAATAGAATTCCTGAAAAGGCAAAAGAGAGAAAATGGAGGAAAGGGAATTTTAAAAATTAAAACAGAAAAAAAAAAAAAAGATTTCCTAAAGATAAAATTCAGCTGAATGAGTGACTTAATGTAAATCCTGAATACTGAGTTAACCAGAATTATGACAGAACTGTGTTGAGAAGGGTGCTACAAATGCAAGGTACGAGAACACTCAAATATGGATGGGGTGGACGGTAGGTGCGTGAAAGAGCTAAATTCTCATCTTCCACGGTGAAAAATCATTATCTAATTTATAAAACTGAAATAACCAAGAAGTAGCAATACAGCATGTTATTTAGAGAAAGGAAGGGAAATACCAAAAGAATCAGCTAAGAGTGATTATTTCCATGGAGCAGGAAGTTAAGTAGGGCAAGATGGGGAACTCATTTTTCCTAATTAACTTTTTAGGAATGCTTTGATTTTTATCATGTGTATGTATTACTTAGATGAAAATAAAAAACAAACAACATTACACTGGAAATGTACTAAATTCAGACATAAAAATCTGGCTAAAAAAAATCACACTAGCTAATCATCAAACATAAATCAAGACAAAAGAACAGAACCAAAGGACTTTGAATAAGATATTAATTGAAGTGTTTCATTTGTTTAAATTAGAAAAAGGGACTTTTATTTTTGCTTAGTGATAAAATATAAATCTCCTTTAATTTTTGGACATAATCCACAGTATGCTAGGAGCTACTAGTGATGTCAATTTTAAAAATTTATCAGGGCAAGACTTTATGCTGACAATTTAGTTAACTGCAGCTAAACTCAGTTAAATTGAGGCTGATGGGTTGACAGAAAGCCTTAGGTCACTGGAACACCCCAAAGGGATTATGAAAATAGTACCCAAAAGTTGCAATCCTTTCAAATAAGCCAGTCCATTGTCTTAAACATGCAGTAAGTCACCAATGTAAGTACTTTACCTTGGGTTTTTTGGGCCACGGCAATCCCTTCCACTACCAGTACTGTTATTAACAACACTAGAGAAATAACAGAGAAGAAAAGTTATGAAATTGAATCTATACTACATTTTACTAAGTCAATAAATAAAATTGGATGACAAAAAAAGATTAACTAAAATCACTATTTATTACTCAAAATTCACTCTCAAGATCTTTAAGCATTAAATGTTATGTTCTGATTTGCTACCTAACCCTTAAGATAACCCAAGAAAAGACAAGTGGTTTTGTACTCATTTATAAGCATTTAATAATACATGGCATTGAAAGCATTTTTCAACTTAATAGTTTTGTTTAAAAAAAAAAAAACACTTGTTTTTTGCAACAGACCTTGCTCATCCTAACTATTCCTCTATTTACTGTAGTCCATCTCAAAGTTTACATGCAGTATAGCTGGCTCTGCAGTGTGCTATGGCAGTGAAAGTTCAATTAGATTATATCTGTTTTCTGAGAACATTCTTAATCAAGACAGAAGTAAGGGGGCAGCAGTCTCCTAGAAATCAATTCAAACTGTCTTATCATTGTGCAGTACTATGCTGTGCTCTGTGCTACAAAGGCTAGCCATATTTAACACTGAAGCTTTTTTCCATGTTGAACATTTCTGAGACCCAATCAACAACATATTGAATTGTTTTGTGTATGTGGTTTGAAGATTTAAAGAAACATTTTCATGGATGCTGCACTCTCCCTTTCAAAGGAAACCACACTGCCAGCCTGTCCCGAACTACTGCGTGAACTGGAGTTATTCATTCAGTGAATAGGCACTTACAGAGTATCCACTGAAGAGCGGGCACCAAGGATGCACAGGTGTGGAGAGAGAAATCGAGCAAAATGGTTAAGAGTATGGACTTAAGGAGTTTCATGAATCTAGGCTAGGGTTCAAGTTTTGCCTTCTACCAGCTGTGAGGCCTTTTCAGCTCAGTTTACTTATTTGTAAAATGGAGATGACGTATAAATAGGTCAACCTCATTGGTGGTTGTGAAGATTAAATGAGATAATGTATATAGTATTTTTATGTGCCAGACATTCTGCTAAATAAATGATGGATATTAGGACAAACCAGCATCCACAAGGAATCAATGTATTGTTGAATCTACAATACAAGGTGAAACGGAGTTTAACAGGAGATATGCAGAAGGCATAATGGAAGCAGAAGGTCCATTCTGCTGGGGGTTAAGGGAAATAGAATGAGGAAAACTCCCAAAAAAGAAGGCATACTCTGGTTGGACCTTACAGTCCTTGAGCCCAGGAAAAGGAGAAAGAAACAGCTTAAATAAGAACATGGAGGGCAGGGCGCTGGTGGCTCATGCCTGCAAATCCCAACACCTTGGGAGGCTGAGGCGAGAGGATTGCTTGAGCCCAGGAGTTCCAGAGGCCCTGTCTCTACGGAAAAAAAAAAAAAAATTAGCCAGGCATGGTGGCATGTGCCTATAGTCCTAGCCACTTGGGAGGCTGAGGCAGGAGGATCACTAGTGCCCAGGAGTTAAGAGGCTGCAGTGAGCCATGATCGTGCCACTGCACTACTGCCTGGGCGAAAGAGTGAGACCATGCCTCAATAACATAAAGTAACATAAAATAACATAACATAAAATGACATAACATAAAATAAAATAAAATAAAATAAAATAAAATAAAATAAAATAAAATAAAATAAAATAAAAACATGGAGGCATGAGCTCTAACCTACAGCAGGTTTTAGGGAACTCTGAGTAATACAGTGTGGTTGGCAAGTGGAAGGCTACAGCAGTATAGTAGGTTAGAGAAAAGTTGGGTGAGATCTGATTGTAACAAGTTTTGAATGGCATGCTAAAAAGTGTGGACTTCTAACTATAATGAGAAGCCCTTGTAGGTTTTTAAACAAGTGTATGACATTATCACTTCTGTGTTTTAGACCAATAATCCTAATGGTTGTGTGGGGTCTATACTTTTAATGAGAAGAGAGAAGATTAGGAAGGAAAGGTGATCATGTTTGCATTACCATCTTTGAAGCAGAGTGGTAGCAGTGGAAAGGGAAAGGAGGAGAAACTAATGACATGGTTCAGGTGTAGAGTCAAGTGCAACTTACAGGACGTGAGGGGTGAGGGAGGTGGAGGCACTGGAGTCTGCTAGTGCAAGTGGTTGGTAGACAGTTACCACTGTTCACTCAATAGCACGTACTGGGTGTCTACTACCAAAGTCACCAACGTAGAAATGGTTAAGAGGTAGCTCTTGTTATTCAGTTCGTATCTTAAAATCTAATTCTTTGACCTCTTCATCCTTGGTTTCTTGCATCCTTGCTGACCTCTGTGTCTCCTCTGTCTTTTCTCAATAACGTTAATTTCCCCCTTCCCTTTTTTTGGTTGATGGTAGTGTTGAAGATCTCACGTTATGCTGAGATCTTGAACTCTTCACATCTTTACACTGGATCTGATTAGAAGAATGGAGTTTTGAAACATTTTTTAATACAGAAGATTTATGATCAAAAAGAAAAGTCAGGTAATAGTAGGTATTTGATAATTCAGCAAATAACCCAACCATTTGTGTCAATTTATCTCATTAGTAGACACTATCTCCCCAGGCATATCATTCAGATCATATGCCACTGGTCAATATTTCGTGCGCAGTATACCATTCCTCCTTAATCACAGGTGTAACTATTTACCAGTTTGACATTTACAAATCCATCTATAAGCAAATAACCACACAAAGCCAGCAGACAGGGCATGTAAGAGGCCAATAAACTGAAGGCAAGACAGCAACGGCAACTATGGCAAAGGGATGAACTGTGCCAGCACAATTACGGTATACAATGACCAATAAAAATGTGCTTGTATAAAATAACTGCTTTATGAAATTTGCACAGAATACACAAGTAAGGCAGAACAATCATACTGAAAATAAAGTTGCAAGGCCAAATAGCCTATTATATTCTTTTCAACTTTATTTAGAGGGCTGCACAGTTTTCTTTTTTTCTCAAGTAATTACTAGCTATTCACAACTCAATCGACCAAATGAGCTGTGCCACTAAATATAAAAACGACGTATAAAGAATAGGGCGAATCTGCACAGCAATTAGGGATAGAAAGATGTACTGATACAGTTTTTGGTAATACAGTTGTGACTATTAATCCATTCTAAATTCTGTATCATTATAAACACAGTTTCCTGAGTTGTATAACAAGGTCTTTGTACACTGCTTGAGTTATAATCAGGCTGAGATATTAAAACAAATTCCATTAATGCTAAACCCTGCAATTATTTAGCACATGAAGCAGTTCTGTGGTTCTTTGTTCTGTCTTTATTCCCAATCTAGGTGCCACTGTTTCCTCTTACCAAAAGGATCAATTATATCTCAAATACAGGAAGACCTCACACTTTGAATTCAATGATAATGTATATAGGAAGGCGCTAATTCTATAAGGCAGAAATCTACACAAAAATAATTCTAAACTCTTTAACCATGCAATTTGATTGTACAGAGAACTGCTTGTGATTTGATGCTTGAAAAAGGTAATGTCCACCATTTATGATGTTACTCCTGGTTCTAGAGTTGAATTTAGTCTTATTTAGTCAGACCTGTGTACAGATCTGACCTAAAATGAAGTCACTCAGATGATAAAAGACAGGTGCTATTCAGGCTGTTAAACAATCCTCAAAGCCACTCCCTTTATTCCTCCTCTTTTTACCCTGAATCACTGTCATTTTAGCTCTAAGCAGACAATTCTGTTCCTAGGCCTTCCAATTTTAAGGCCTACTTTCCACTGTAAAAAATAAAAAAAAAAAGGTCAAATTTATTCTTTTCACTATTACTTAATAGTGGCAATTCTAGTGAATGCAATAAATACTGGAAAGAAGACAAAATTATTATTTATAGATTTCAATGTTATTGAAAACCTAAAAACCTCAAGAGAATTATTTGAAAAATTATTACACCTATTAAGGGAAGAAAGTAAAACTAAAATAAATAAACAATAAATATACTGAATAAAACAGAGCAGTAACATGTTTCTGAGCAGTAAAATAATGCTGCAAAGATAATGAGTCTTTCCAATAGGCCATACATTTAATATTTTAATCAAACTCTTAGTGGGTCCTGTTTTTGGACTTAACAAAACGTTTCTGATGCTCATCTTGAAGACTTTGTTATACTGGCCAAAGAAAATTTAGAAATCACATAGAATAAATAAAAACAATATATGATATATTTATTGTAAAGCTACAGTAATTAAAAAATGTAGCAATGACATAGGAAGAAACAGATGATCTGTTAAATACATGCAGGAACCCATTGTCTAACAGGTAGTGAGTCACTTCCTGGTGGCAATGAACCAAACAGACAAGGTCCTTATTCTCCAGCACCTTACAGATAACAAAATGGAAAAAAATTAAAAGCTCAGAAATAGATATATATATCCAAGAATTAATTTTTATTTATTGACTGATTGAGACAGTCTCACTCTGTCGCCTATGCTGGAGTGCAGTGGCGTGATTTTGGCTCACTTAACCTCTGCTTCTGGGTTCAAGCAATTCTCGTACCTCAGTTTCCTGAGTAGCTGGGACTACAGGCATGCGCCACCACGGCCAGCTCATTTTTTCTATTTTAGTAGAGACGGGGTTTCACTGTGTTGGCCAGGCTGGTCTCAAACTCCTGGCCTCAAATGATCTGCCCGCCTCAGCCTCCCAAAGTGCTGAGATTACAGGCATGAGTCACCACACCCAGCCCCAAGAATTTATTATGATATACATGGTATTTGAAATCCTTGGTGAAAGGATGGATTTAATAAATGGTTCTGGGATAACATATTAATTCTTTGAAATAAAAATAGATCTCGCCTTCAAGCTAAAAACAAAAAATAAATACTAGATTGGGAAAAAAAAGGTGAATTATGTATATATTTTGAGGTGAAGAGCACCTTCATTTACTAACGACAGACACATAAATAAAAACTAATAATAAATGGGGGAAAAAAGATTAGACCATCATAAAAATGTGCCAAAACCCAAAAATTCAGCCTTACAAACATACAAACATACATACATATATACATGTACAGATTCTAGTGTTGGTCAGGCTATAGGAAACTGACATACTCATATAATGCCACTGGATTACAAACTGGCACAACTTTTTGGAGGTTAATCTGGTAGAATATATTAAGGCTCAAAAATGTGCAAATCCCACCAGCATTTCTACTTCCAGGTGTGGGAACTGAATCACTGTGACCGTGGTCCTCAAACTTTAATGTGCATCATAATCACCTTGGGTTTATTAACTCACAGATGGGAGTACTTTCAGAGACTCTGATCCACTGGGTCTGAGGCAGGGCTTGAGAATCTGCCTTTTAACAAATTCTCTAGGGATGCAGAAGCTGCTGGAGCTGGGACCACACTGTGAGTACCACTGCAACAGGAGCATGGCAGATTACTGAAAGCAACAGTGAGAGGTGGCCTTTTCCCTCCTTTGGTAGTGGCAGGAGACATGTTTGGACCAATATGGATTGGGCAGGGCAGGGGTGGGCGAAAAGGAGTTGAGTCGATTTTGGAAACGTTGAACTTGAGGTGAAGGCTCTACTATCTATTCTTATAAGGGCTCCAACAAATACTTCTTGTTTCTGAACATCTGCACTTGCCAGGGACCTTGGACCTCTTTGCTTCCATGAAAGTACATTTTCTAAAACCTGCTTTCTCCAGGAACCCTTTCCAGATTAATTTTACTTGACTGCATTCAGACTTTTCACTTCTGATCATTCAACAGCTCTCCATCTGTTTTTTAATTTTTTTGTTCTTATACTGATTTTGCACACTTCTATGTTAGCATTAGGTTTGGCATGAGTAACAGAAATACCTAAACTAACAGTTTAAAACAAGATAGAAATACATTGCTCTGTCATGCGAACAAGCTGGACATAGGGAGTCAAGCATCAGAGTGAAGGCTCTATAAATACCAGGACCTGGGTTCCTTCTGTCTCACTACCCAGCTGTGAGAGGCTCATTTCCAAGGTCACCCTATGGTCCAGTATGAGGCTGGAGTGCCAGCTATTCTATCTTCATTATAGCTCCCATGTCTGCATTCTAGTTATCAAGAATGATGACTTGATAAAGGGCATTCTCTCTTTCTTTAAAAACACTTGCCCAGGGCCAGGCGCGGTGACTCACGCCTGTAATCCCAGCACTTTGCGAGGCTGAGGTGGGCGGGTCATGAGGTCAGAAGTTCAAGACCAGCCTGAACAATATGGTGAAACCCCGTCTCTAATAAAAATACAAAAATTAGCCGGGCATGGTGGCACACGCCTGTAGTCCCAGCTACTGGGGAGGCTGAGGCAGGAGAATCGCTTGAACCTGGGAGGCAGAGGTTGTGGTGCGCCAAGATCGTGCCACTGCACTCCAGCCTGGGTGACAGAGCAAGACTCCATCTCAAACAAAACAAAACAAAAACACTTGCCCATAATCTACAATGATTTCAAAATAAAAGTTTAAACAACAAAAACAACAATTCCCCTAAGTTGCACACATCATTTTCTACTTATATCTAACTGGCTAGACTTAGTCACATGGTCACCTAAACCAACAGGAAACTGGTAAATAGTCTTCATTTTGGGGAACTGTGCGCTCAGTTAAATTCAGAGAATTACTGACAAATAGTTAAATGGACATTTCTAGACAACTGGAAGTTTCTGCCACAGTCCCTATAGTGTATTATGTACACAGCAGCCAGTGACCTTTTCAAAATACAAATCAGATCACATCACAGCCTTGCTTAAAATCTTCCAGTAGAGTCCCATTATAGTTAGAACAACTCTGTGCCCCTTACTCTGACTTCGGAGGTACTATGTGACCTGGAGCCTGCGTGTCTCTCTGGCCTTCCGAGCGCTCTCTACTAGAACACAGGCCGCCTTCCCATCACTCAAAACACATCAAGCTAATTCTTGCCTCAGGAACCAGCTGTGCCTTCGGCCTAGAATCTCTTTGGCTGATTCCTTCCTGTTGTTCAGGTCTTGTGAGGCTTTCCCAATTTCTAAATAAGCGCTACATTTTCTCCTTCATTTTGCTTTACTTCATTATTATATTACCTGGTATTTTGAGTCTTGTTGGTTGTCTGTCTCTTCTCACTAGAAAGAAGGGCCTTGTCTGTCTGATTCACTGATGCATCTCCACAGCCTAAAAGACTGTCTGGCCTCAACAGTATTCAATACAGACACGATGAACACATGGGGGTGACTGAGCGCGACTCCAGTGCATCTTCTTTGTAACCGCAAACACATAGCACAGTAACTGACAGGCACACATCTTGGATGAACAAACAGTAGCCACACATGTGACCTTGCTTTTTTAAATGCGAGCACAAATCAGGGGATGGGAAAAGAACTGAGATTCCCCCCCACCCTCCTGAGATACCCTGCCACCACTGTTATTTTCCTCAAGCTGGCTCAATTTACCTTTGTTAGTAATTAAGTGTGTCTCTTTCTACATCTTCCTGTGTTAAGCAACTCAGTGGTAAACATAAAGCTTTTAAAATCCAACACAGAGAACCACCTACCTGGTCTCTCTGCTCATTACCATTTCCTATAATGACAGCAGAACAGAGTTCAATTAGAGTCCACATACTATTTGACATGGCAGTCACTTGTTTTTGATAAACTATGTTCCAAAGAACAAAAAAAGTACCCAAATTTAATCAAACTCAATCATACTTTACTAGTTAAGAACAAAGATGGATGGTGAACTTTGGGATCACTCCAGCCTACATATGCTAATGACATGCCAATCACTTTAGTAAGAAAGAGTAACTCTATAGCAGAAGTGCTTTCTCTTTCCTGCAGAATGTGACAAACTCCTCCTTAGTCGAGCTGATCTGAGATGGCGCTTTTGTAAGCTGTATTTTAATTACACATCAGTCCTCCTGACTGTACAGTGACTACCATCACCTTCTAACATGATCAGGTCATATTTGAAAGACTACTTGGTATCTTCTAGTGCTGTAATTTCCAATGTTACTCCAGGCATATTTAAACCAACATGTCTTAATGTCATTTTGATTAGAAAGGACTGAACTTTCAGATTAGTATACCCTGTAATTTTGGAAGCAATATAACAAACCCGTTGAAGTGTCAGTTCTTGGAGCCACCCTGGTGTTTGAGGTGACTGAGAGGGCAAGGCCTCCCACCAATCACAGCAACTCTGTTCTGTTGTCCTTTTTCCTTTTTTTTTCAAGTGCTTCCTCACAAAAGTTCCTCTGAAGTTTGGAAACCATTGGATTAGACCACCTCTTAAGATGCTCCTTTCCAACTCAAAGATCATAATAATTTCAATCTCCAGTGCCTCAGGGAGACGTATTTCTAAGTATAAATAATTATTCTACAGGAGCGTAAGTTGAAAAATGATAGGAGATTGTGCTGGATGGGTGGTACCCCAAGAGAAGGAGGTAGTCTATTGTTTTAAAATTTCAGATATGAACTTTATTTCTAGTCTATCATTTTTCTATCTTTTCTAAAAAGGACTGAAAATGGCTTTGATTTCAACTTGTTTTGTCATGCAGGGTTTTTCCTAAATAGTGATTTTAATTTCAAAATGAAAGATAAACCAGATTGCAGTTGAGGATTTACTACAAAAAAACCATTATTTAATAAGACTTTTCAATTGACAGTGTTAAAACAGTTTTTCCCAACCCCTGGAAGGAAAAGCCAAAAAGTTGATTTTTAATAAGGCTTTAGTATTAAAGGACAAGTTTTTCAGTACCACACTTATTTCTGTATAACTAGTTTATAGTCCTGGGTGAAATGTAAGAATGAAAAACGAGTTAATACTTGCACCGTCTCAGACAAGATTTTTAAATACAGTGCCAAGGAATATTTTTGCTGTTACATTACAAATTTAACCAGTTTCTACAGCTTGAAATATTGCTGAGTCGAACAGATTCTCCTGAAGCAAGTGTGCAGAATAAGAACAAAAAATGGATTTATAATCCTCATGTAATATTTTCATGAGACTATAATGCTTAGTTAACCTTGACAGAAGATTAACTCGAATTCTGTGAGGCCTAGAGTGATCACAGCTAAAAGTGAATTTTTTAGTTTCAACAACATAGGAAAGGTTTAAAAGCCTAGTAAGGTTATTCTTTTGTCTTAATGGCTGAAAGTAAAACAAGAATAATCAGTGGCATCTTAAAGAACTAAAATTACTTTCTACTTAAAATCTCACACACTCATTATGGCTGATTTATTTTAGTAGAAACTGACCATAATATTTCAAACAAGGCTTCTGTGGGTAATATCCACAATTATGTAAATGTTAAATAGCTGCTTCAGATAAGAACCTCTTTGATGTTAAAGCAATTCACTTTATAGGATAAAAGGAAAACTTCTTCATGCCTTGGGGCACACAATGAGTAGTTTGTAATGGGAAAGGCCAGTATCTTTTTAAAGGCAACTTTTTAAAATTAAAATATTGATTTTTAAATAAATTATACATGCGTTTGGTAAAAAAAAAAAACAAAAACAAAATCAAGTGATACAAATGGGTGTGCAGTGAAACCAGTCTTCCCTTCATTCCTGTCTTTTAATCCCCTAGATTTCCGTATTAGAATCAACTACTGTTAACAATTTATTGAATCTTTCCAGACCAGTTATTGGCATTTACAAGTTGATACCACAGACGACTTTAAAAATAACTTGCTTTCTCTCTAGGAAGCCGCCACCAATAGCAGCAACAACAATAATAATTCAGCTTGAGCTTTAAAAATACTCCAGCATGTAAAAATAGTGTAGGCTAACACTGAAAAAAGAAAAGCCAGACACTATATTGTTTTCACCGTAGCTCTGCCATCACCAGAATCCTTTCCTGAAAGGTACAACACTCAACGCTTCACCACGATGGCCAGAGAGGGCAGTGTGCACCCACGGGAAAGGCAAAGGCAGAAACGCTGCAAATCCCTTCACCATTGGAGGAGGCGCTACCAGCCCCTACCCTATCCAGCTCGATTTTATCAAGTTCTGCAGGTAAAGCGGTGTGACAGATCTACGCGATTTCATCCGGGGGTGCTCTCGGATGCACGGTCAGTAGCATGCTGACAACCTTACCGTAGTGAGGGCGCAATCCGACAACGGCAGAAAATTCAGATAAGCAACACGATCAGAAATCCTAGTGTGCATACGGTTTATCACGAAAGAGTAAAAACATTCCTTTCCCAGGAATGACTGTAAAAATTAGGAGTTAGAGATATGAAAGCCACAGGATGAATTTCAGAGTTGTTTTCAATTGTAATAAAGAAATCACTACGGATTTACGGTTTGTGAAATATTCATCAGCTAGAAAGTCCTAGGTTACCTTAGTACAAGCTGTAGATACGTTTACAGTGGGGTAGTTAAACGTTTCGAATTACTGAAATCTCAATTACGAATTTAGGAATATGTGGAGAGTAGACAATGTGTCCAATTAAAATCAAAAGCAAAATTACACTGAACTTTCTAATAAAACAAATTTGAAAAAAGTGCTGTTAGGGAGCAGGAAAAAAGTCACTCTACAAATATTAAGATACAGTGCTGAGTTATACATAACACCGTTAATAATGCCTCAGCCGTACCCTCGAAATTTTTAAAAAAAGAACATGTTACGACATTACAAACACGTCAGCTTTCAATTTAAATCAGCAGGGGGAAAAAGGGAAGTCCTTTACTGAGTGGTGGTGCTGTTTTCCCTCTGGAAATTGAAAAGACGATTTATTCAGTCCGAGTTTCAGGAGCAACTTTGTATCCCAATCCTAATTATCTATGTATATAAATTTTCATCTAAATTACCACCTCCTGGGAAATGCAAAGCCGGTGGAGTAGGTTTTAGAGCTCTGTGCTCTGGACAAGCCAACTGTTTTAATTCCCAGTACAACAAATTAGTAAGAACCGAACACCAGCGGCGGGGAATTCTGAGACCTCTGGCGGAGCGCGAGGAGCGCCGCGTCCCGGGAAGCACCCGAGCAGCAGCGCTCCCCGGGGGCCGGGACAAGCCGGGTCCGCGGCGCCCGCGCGCCGCCCCCGGAGCCCGCAGTGGTGCCGCAGCCTCCGTGGCCGCAGCAGGTGGGACCCGGCTGGCCCAGCAGGCCCCGTTCCCCGCCGCGAGGTGCAGGCGCCGCGGGGCTATTCGAAAACCACTGCACGACGTCACGGCCGCGGCTTTTATTGTTCTCGTGGAATTACTTTTTGCCATCACATCTGGAGAAAGAGCGGCCTCCGCTCCACGACAGGAATCTCACAACTTTGCAAAGGGATGCGCGGAATTCTACGGAAGCGGCGCGAGGGCGCAGCCCGGAGGGCCCTGCTGGGCCCAGGGGCCTCCTGGCCGCCTTCCCGACCCGATCCCTCTTCCCACACGCGCCCCGCGAACGTCGGCCGGACTCGCAGGGGTCGGAAGCGGCGCGCCCGGAGAGCCGGCGGAGCCGGGCAGGGCTCGCGCCCCGCGGTCCGCTCCGAGTAGCCGCGAGCCCCGCCAGACAAAGAGGCGCGTCGGGTCCCGGGCGCGGGTAAGGGACGCAGAGGCGCGGGCAGGGCGGCGCGCCAGCCTCGGCCCGCAGGGGGCGCCGTCCGTGGCCCCAGCCCCGGTCCTTACCTTTGAGGACCGAGCAGAGCCGCTCCAGGGCCATGTTCCCGAGCTGCCCGGCGCTTCGCGAAGGGCTGAGGTAGCGGCGGCGGTGGCTCGGCGCTCACGGCTCGGCGCGGCGGCGACGGCCCCACTCCGTCCCCATCGCCGGCCAGCAGCTGCCTCCCCGCTCCCCTGAGGAGAGCTCAGGTCCTGCGGCCCGCCATGCCCGAGCCCCACAGTGGGCTCCCGCGCGGCCCGAGCACCCCGACGGGCGCCGCCTCCTGCTCCGCGGCGCCCCGTCCCATCGACCGCCCGAGGGCCGAGGAGTGCGGACGCGCGGCGCGGGACCGGCAGGCAGCTCCGCCCGCGGCCCCGGCGCGGGATCCACTGAAGTGGCGGGCGCGGGGCGCCCAGGCTCATTTAAGGAGGGAGCGCGAGCGCCGCGTGCCGGCTGCGCCGCCTGTGCGCATGTGCCCGCCCCGCCCCGCCCCGCGCCGCGCCTCGCGCGCCCGCCGCGGCCTCGCGCCGTGGGACGGCGTCGCTCCCCGCCGGCTGCCGTTAGGGCTGGGAGCCGGCTGGGCGCGGGGGTAGTGAGGGTGCCTCTCGCCGTGGCTGCGCGGCGGCCTCGTCCGAGAGGCCGGCGCCGGGGCAGTGACCGGCCCGTGCCCAGCCGCCGCGCAGGGCGCCCGGGGCAGCTGGCCGAGCCCTCGATGCCTCCCGTCTGACGGAGGCGCCCGGGAAGCGCCGCCCACCTCGGCCCCGCACCCTCGCCGGCCTGCCGGGTCTCCGCCAGCCCTAGCAGACAGAGAGGGGCGCCGGTCCCTAGTCCCCCAGACCTCCATTCAAGGTCAAAACTTTGCCCAGCTCAGCCTTGCTCGACCCTGGGCAGGGAAGCGCGGACATCGGCAGAGGGAGCCCGAGGCTCTCCGTGCCCTTCGCGCCGGTGAGTTCCCGACCCGCGGCGCTGCCGGCGTTTCCCTAGCGCCCGCCAGGTTGACAGGCACTTTAGTACCAACTCCTCAGACTCCCCCTCATGAAGTAGGTTTTAGGGGATTGGAAAGTCGAGGCCAGAGAGGTGAAGCCCTTCGTCCAGAGCCGCGTAGCGAATGAGCGGCAGGGCTGTGCACCTCCCCCGGGGCTGCCCTCCTAGCAGCTAACCACTACGCTGGGCAGCTTCGCCAGCTGATGGGAGTCTCCAGGTCTGCCAACAACTGCCTGGCTGTTGGTGGTATTCATGATCCTGCTTTATTTTCTCCACAGCGGTTATCACACTGATATGACCTTCCTCATTTATTTATTTGTTCATCCTTTATATCTCCCTCACCCTCACACCATTAAAATATCAGCTGCTTGCAGGCAGGCCGACTGCATTCATTTTTTTCACTCCACACATACGTATTGGGTGTTAATTATGTGCAGAAGACAATGATTGGTGCTGGAGATAACAACCGTGATCAAGGCCTTACCATAATAGAATATTTATGCCTGTCTCTGCGTGTAGTAGGAACTCTGTAAACGTTTGTCTAACCAATTGTAGCTAAAGACAATGTCAGGCAACTGAAACATTTTTCAGGTGTTAAGCTCTTCTCTCTCACTTTGTATTCCTTCAAGAAAGGTACAAAAGCATAAATAATTCATGAGATTTACAAAGGAAAAACATACTTAACACCAATTAATATCGAGGTGTTTCACCCTTTGCCATGTGCTGTGAATGGGGGCATAAAAGATGGGTAAGTTTGGGTTCCTAAAGGTAACCACCTACTACAGTTAAGATCGCACACGAGAACCAATTAGGAAATAAAACATTTAAGAACTTTTTCCCACGGATATGAAAAGGTGGCTCACGCATGTAATCCCAGAACTTTGGGAGGCTGAGGCAGGCGGGTCACCCGAGGTCAGAGGTTTAAGACCAGCCTGGCCGACATGGTGAAACCCCATCTCTACTAAAAATACAAAAATTAGCTGGGCGTGGTGGCACGCGCCTGTAGTCCCAGCTACTAGGGAGGCTGAGGCAGGAGAATCGCTTGAACTGCACTCCAGCTTGGGCAACAGCGAGACTCCGTCTCAAATAATAATAATGATGTAGCATATTAGTAGAATAGGAGAGTAAGAAGACAATATTAAGTATAGGTTACAGACAACAGTGAACCAAAAAAATTTGAGAGGAAGGGGCTCTCAAATTAACATAATAGTTTCTTAATGTGAAGTTGTTGACTGAAGGAAAAATCTGCGTGTCATGTCATCAGAGAAGACTTCCTGAAGGAGGTGACACACAAACCATGGAAATGCTTGGGGTGGCGAGAGGAGAGGAGGCAGAAGAAGAGCTCAGCAGGCAGGGAGCAGGATGAGCCTGGAACGTGGGGCAAGTGTTGTGTTTGGTATAAAGAGGTTGGACATGGTGGGCTTTGATTATGGAGATAGGTGCTCAAATGCTAGTTAGGTAAATGATTACTTTTAATAGTGCAGTAATGGAGTTCTGGGAAGATTTCATCTGGCAGTTGAGGTTGTAATAAAAGGGGAGAGATTAGAGCAACCACAAGAATTCCAAAAGTAGATCTGTAATACTTCTACGTTTACTTTAGAAGCTCTTACTTGTATTATTTTGATTAAACCTAAAAAATCTTTTTTCCTCTAGAATGTTGGCTTGGGAGTAGATTCCAATTGGGAATGTTCATTTTGTGGCTCCCTTTTAAGACACCTATCTTTTTTAGATGTGCTGGTGGAATCGTCTGCAGTCGATTTTTCGAGGAATGTAGGAAAGCACAGATCATAGCTGAGACTACTGTGTGGCCATATGTTAGCCAAATCAAAAGGGAAGCGTTTTCATATCTCTCACTTGGGTTCTGTATTTGAATTATTATTTTCCTGGAAGATCACCCAGTAGCACCCAGTCTGTTCCCAGATTACCTGGCAGTTTCCAGGTGACTGAGGGCTCGGCTTTCCTTGCATCCTGCCAGTCTCCCAGGCATCCATTCAGGCTCTCCAACTCCTCACAATCATTCCTATAGTTTGAACTGGGTTTTCTCTGACCAAGTCCCATGTAGTACTTGAATGGTATTGCATGGCATTTACTTGTTACTAGAATGAACCTTGTTTTTTTTTTTGAGACGGAGTCTCACTCTGTCACCCAGGCTGGAGTGCAATGGCTCACTGCAACCTCCGCCTCCCAGGTTCAAGCGATTCTCCTGCCTCAGCCTCCCTTGTAGCTGGGATTACAGGCGCCTGCCATTATGCCCGGCTAATTTTTTTTTTTTGTATTTTTAGTAGAAACGGGGTTTCACCATGTTGGTCAGGCTGATCTCGAACTCCCGACCTCAGGTAATCTGCCTGCCTCGGCCTCCCAAAGTGCTGGGATTACAGGTGTGAGCCACCACGCCCGGCTGAATGAACCATTTTTTAAAAGGAAGCATTTTATTGTCAATATTTATACACTTAACAGATTTTTGTTGTGTCTCTGTTTTGCTATTGTTTGGGAGTGTTAACATTTTATTACATGACAGCCGAGGAAAGCAGGTTGTTGCGTTTGGAGATTGTTACTTACTGTCTGTGTCCCCTCCTAGTTCATATGTTGAAGCCCTAACGTACAGTGTGGCTGTATTTGAAGAGGAGGGCCTTGAGGGAAGTAATTAAGGTTAAATGAGGCCGTATGGGTGGGTCCCTGATCTGAAAGAAATAGTGTCCTGATGGGAAGAGATATCAGAGAGCCTGCTGTCTCTTCATGCACAGGCACCAGGAAAGGCCATGTGAGGACACAGCAAGAAGGCAGTCATCTGCAAGCCAGGAAGAGCATCCTCATCAGAAACTGAATTGGCTCCTGCCTTGATCTGAGACTTTAGCCTCCAGAACTGTGAGGAAGTATGTCTGTTGTTTCAGCTACCCAGTCTATGGTATTTTGTTGTGGCAGGCTGAACCAGCTAATACAGAGATTATAACTAAGGAAGGTAGAGGAATTTAAAAAGAACCAAACTTTTATGTGCAGAAACTATTTGTAGTAAAATATAATATGGATCTTTACAGGGTGCAAATATGGCTACAGCAATGGTGACATTTAGTGAAAAACAATCAGGTGGGTTCTCAGTATATGAAGATTTCAGTGTTTATTACACAACTGTAGGGTTTTTTTTAGGGAAGGAAGAGAGGAAAATTGTAATTTTTAAAAAGTGCATTCTGTTAGTCTGCTCAGGCTGCCATGGCAGAATTACAGTGTAGCTATAGACTGGGTGGCTTATAGTGTAGAAATGTATTTTCTCACAGTTCTGGAGGCTGGTTTCTGCTGAGGCCTCTCTCCTGGCTTGCGGACCGTTACCTTCTCACTGTGTCTTCAGCGGCCTTTTACTCTTTCTGTGTGCACCCCTGGTCTCTTCCTCTTCTAATAAGGACACCAGTCCTATTGGATTAGGGTCCAACCCTTCTGACCTCATTTAACCTTAACTATTTCCTTAAAGGCCCTGTCTCCAAAAAGTTATATAGAGGGATAGGGCTTCGACATGTGAATTTGCGGGAAACACAATTCAGCCCATAAAATGCAAGAGCCACAATCATTCCTGTGTTATTGATATTGAAGAAGAGCTGTCAGGGGGTCAAAGAATTCTTTCAGTAACACTGTCCCCTAAACTTCTAAATTTCTGGTTAGCATAATTTTAAAGAACGCTTTTAAGAAATATTGCTTCCTATTAATATAAAATATTTCATCTTTACCAGGAAAATTTCAAATTGTCAAGAAAATTTCTGGTCATTAGTTACTTTCCTTTGATTGTGAAAAACTAAGAAATGCCCTAATTTTAGTCATGTGCTGCATAATGACCTTTTGGTGGATGATGGACCACATACACAACTGTATAAGCTTATAATACCATATTTTTACTGTGCCTTTTCTATGTTTAGATATCATTAGATATACAAATACTTACCATTGTGTGTAGGAAGTAATTGCCTACACTATTCAGTACAGTCACTTGCTGTACAGGTTTGTAGCATAGGAATAATACGATAAACTGTAGAGCCTAGGTGTGTAATAGGCTACACCATCTAGGTTTGTGTAAGGACACTCTATGAAGTTTGCACAATGATGCATTTCTTAGAATGTATGTCTGTCATTAAGTGACATATGACTGTGTATTTCTTAGAATAAAGTTACTAACATATATGGTATCTTTTTTTTTTCTTTAAAACCAAAATCCCATGTTGAAAAGAGATATGTTTGCTTAAACCTATTTACTTTCTAACCTGGTGTTCTTTCATTGAAATCAACACCCCCTCCTCCAAAAAAAAAAACCTATTTACTAAAAGCTGAAACAAATGCTAGTTTATTGGTGTAGTATGAAACCATAAGTGTAAATTCTTGATGCAGTTATTTGGTAATGTTTGTTAAATAATAAAAATTGTTAAAAGGCCTTTCATATTCCTCTGCTCTGTGGTGTTACCTCCTTCCTGAATCAGACTTCCATGTGTATGAGTCTTTCTCTGCACTCTCTAATATGTTCCATTGGTCTGTCTATCTCTTCACCAATACCGCACTCTGTTAATCACCCTAACTTTTTCTTTCTTGAGACAGAGTTTCGCTCTTGTTGTCCAGGCTGGAGTGCAATGGCATGATTGGGTCACTGCAACCTCTGCCTCTTGGGTTCAAGCAATTCTCCTGCCTCAAGCCTCCCGAGTAGCTGGGATTACAGGCTTGTGCCATGACGCCCGGCTAATTTTTGTATTGTTAGTGGAGACAGGGTTTCACCATGTTGGCCAGGCTGGTCTCGAACTCAGATGATCCACCCGCCTCGGCCTCCCAAAGTGCTGGGATTACAGGCGTGAGCCACCATGCCTGGCCTAATCACCCTAACTTTATTATTTTGTTACCTGGTAGAGCAGGTCCTTATTCTTTTTCAAGATTGTCTTGGCTGTTCTTGGTCTCTTATATTTCCGTGTACATTTTAGAAACCTCTTAGCAAGCTCGGCAACACAACACCCCGTTGGGATGAGTGGAATTGGGAGGGCTTTGACATCTTTACAATTTTGAGTCTTCCTGTCCATTAACATGGTTACAGATGTGCATTTATTGAAAATTTCCTTAGCGTTTCTCAGAGAAGTTTTATAATTTACCAGACAGAGATGTATGCTACATCTTGTGTTATACTAATTCCCAGGTACTTGACTTTTTCGATGCTGTTATAAATGTTACCTGTTTTTAAATCCCATTTTCTAATTGTTCATGCTGGCGTATAAAAATGCAATTGATTTTAGAAAGTGCCAAACTGTTCTCTAGAGTGGCTTTCCTATTTTGCATCCCCACCAGCAATATATGAAAATTCTAGTTTTTCCTCATCCACATTAGCACTTTGAATTGTCAGTATTCTTTGTTTTATCCATGAAAGCACTTTTTATTCATGATAGATGTGTATTGGTATCTCTTCATAGTTTTAGTATTCATTTCCCTAATGGCATATCCGGTTGAACATCTTTTCATATGCTTGTTTGCTACCTATATATCCTCTTCAGTGAAGTATCCTCAAATTATTGCCCACTCAAATTGTTTTTTATTTTTACTGGTGAAAAGATGTCCATTTAGAATTAGCCAGCTGGACTCAGTTTAGATGATTCCAATTTTGTTGGCAACATCCAAAGCATCATAAGCAGGAGCCAGTCAAACACACGCCTTCTCTCCATTGGGCCTGATTGATCAGGCTACATCAGTGTTGCAGAGCTTCCCCACATCCTGTTTGCTCTGGTGCTTGTTGGCTTTGCCATCCACGGTGACCTCAAGTGTGTTGTTATCTTCTGTCTTCTTCATGGCACACTCAATGCTCAGGGAATCGGGCAGAGTGATGAAGCTTGTTTCTCCTGGGGGCACTCTTCTGAGGATATCTGGGTTGTCTCTAGAGCTGTAGTGTTTTGGGGTGCTGGAAGGTGGGTGAAGTGCAGATACTCCTTTTTGTGTGTGGCTGTGGATGCTTTCCAGCACTGCCTTCTTGGCCTTCAAAGCTTTTGCTTTGGTTTCAGCTTTGGGAGAGGCAGGAGCTTCCTTAGGTGTCATCTTGTCTGAGTTTTTGTATTGTTGAGTTTTGAGAGTTCTTTATAGATTCAGGATACAAGTCTGTTGTTGGATATGTGATTTGAAAATATTTTCTTGGCCGGGCATGGTGGCTTATGCCTATAATCCCAGCACTTTAGGAGGCTGAAGCGGGTGGATCACTTGAGGTCAGCAGTTCGAGACCAACCTGACCAACATGGTGAAACCCCATCTTTACTAAAAACACAAAAATTAGCCAGGCATGGTGTCACACACCTGTAGTCCCAGCTACTTGGGAGGCTGAGGCAGGACAATTGCTTGAACCTGGGAGGCAGAGGCTGCAGTGAGCCGAGATCACACCACTGCACTCCAGCCTGGGTGACAGAGCAAGACTCCATCTCAAAAAAAAAATTTTTTTTTCTTTGCATATATAGCTTGTCCATTCTCTTGGAAGTGTCTTTGTCAAAGCAAACATTTTTAATTTAGATGAAGTCACATTTATCAGTTTTTAAAAAGAATCATAACTTTGGTGTCATTTCTAAGAACTCTGCTTACCCCTAGCCTATGAAGACATTCTATGTGTTCTTTTAAAGTTTTATAGTTTTACATTTTATATTTGAATTTATGACCCACTTTGAGTTAATTTTTGTGTAAGGTGTGAGGTTTAGATCAAGGTTCTTTTTTTCTCCTTTGCCCTTTGTATTTATGGCAAATACAGATGATCAATTGTTCTGACACTATTTGTTGAAAAGACTGTCTTCCACTTAGTAACTTTTACATCTTTGTCAAACATCAAATGTCTATATTTGTGTGAGTTTATTCCTGGACTCAATTTTATTCCATTGGTCTATGTGTCTCTCTTTGCCAATACCACACTATCTTTATTACTCAAGCTTTATAATAAGTTTTAAAGTCACATAGTTTGATTTCTTCAACTTTGTCTTCTTTTTCAACATTGTTTTAAACTAGTCTAGTTTATTTTCTCTTTCATATAAGTTGCACAAAATCCTGTCCATGTCCACAAAAAGATACTGCTGGGATTTTGATAGGGATGGTGTGAAATGTACAGATCACTTTGGGGAGTACTGGCATCTCCTAATCCATGAACACACTGTCTTTCCATTGAAGTCTTCCTTGGTTTCTTTCATCACCTTTCTTCTTTGTTAATATGTGCATTTAGTGTTATAAATACCACCCCCCAGCACTGCCTCCTACAAATTTTGTTACATTGTATTTTTCATTTGGCTCAAAATATTTTAAAATTTCCTTTTGAGACTTCCTCTTTGACCCTATGGTTATTTAAAATATCTGGGTATTTTCCATGGATCTCCCTAGTTCAATTCTATTATAGTCTGATAATCTACTTTGTATGATTTCTATTCTTTTAGATTTGGTAGGACTTGTTTTATGGCCCAGAATATGGTCTATCTTGGTAAGTGTTCCATGTGCTCTGAAAAAGACTATTTTGCTGCTGTTGGTTAGAGTGTTATATAAATAGCCACTAGGTTAGATTGACTGAGTGCTTTTCAGGTCAGCTCTAAGCTTTCTGATTTCCTGCCTACTTTTTCCTTCAGTTACTGTAGAAAAGTGTTGATGTCTCCCACTTAAATCGTGAGTTTGTCTGTTTCTCCTTACAGGTCTGGCGGTTTTTACTTTTTAGTTTATGAACACTTAGGATTTTTATGTTAAGAAGAGGGGCCTGATCTTGGGTGAGTCTGCTCTCCAGATGAGGCTGGCAGATGAACAGTGATGACACTCCCAGAAATTAGGATAATAAGTCCTTTATTCTTGATGCCGGATCTGGACACTACACCACAGCATCCACTAGAAGGAATATTTAGGGTTTTGTTTCTTTTTGAGTATGTTTTGGTGATATTTTCCTAGGAATTGGTCCATTTTGTATAAACTTTCAGATACACTGGTGTTGGGAACAGGCCCTCCAAAATCTGGCCATCTACTGGCCCCAAAACTGGCCATAAACAAAATCTCTGCAGCACTGTGACGTGTTCATGATGGCCATAACGCCCACACTGGAAGGTTGCGGGTTTACCAGAATGTGGGCAAGAAACAACTGGCCCACTCAGGGCGGAAAACCGCTTAAAGGCCTTCTTAAACCACAAACAATAGCATGAGCGATCGGTGCCTTAAGGACATGTTCCTGCTGCAGATAACTAGCCAAACCATCCCTTTGTTTCCCATAAGTGATACTTTTAGTTAATCCCGTTTCCCATAAGGGATACTTTTAGTTAATCCAGTATCTATAGAAACAATGCTAATGACTGGCTTGCTGTTAATAAATACGTGGGTAAATCTCTGTTGGGGCTCTCAGCTCTGAAGGCTGTGAGACCCGATTTCCCACTTCACACCTCTATACTTCTGTGTGTCTTTAATTCCTCTAGTGCCGCTGGGTTAGGATCTCCCCGACTGAGCTGGTCTCGGCACATTGGTATAAAGTTATTCTCAAAATCTTCCTAGTTTTAATAAATAGATTATCTGTAGTTATACCCTTTTCATTTTTGATACTGGTTATTTGTACCAGTTTTCCTTTTCTTGTTAGAGGCCTTTGGGGCAGCCTGTGCCCTATAACTGATGAATGTGGGAATGTAAAGGCCCAGCCTTCATATTCTAACTTGGGACAGGTTAGGAGATAGGAAAGGTCATCCTATCTCAGAACTCGATGTAGGGTTGTATGAGGCATTTCATTGAGAATGCATCACAGTTCAATTTTTCTGCCTAATTTTGTTTCCTTCCTTTCCCTTGTACGGTTGTGGATCAAAAGCACTGCCTAATCTACTGTCTATTTAATTAGCCTTTTAAAATAACTGGTCAGGTGCAGGTAATCACAAGGGCTGGTTTTAATTCACCTTTATCCTGAGGAGTAAGCCCTTAAGTATCCTAGATCAATCCCAGGTATACCATTGAGGTCTGCGGGACATGATTTAAGTTTTTGTTTCTTTTTATGAGGTATTCTAGCTACTTGCAAGGATGGGGAAATGTAAAGGGCTAGTTCAAATAAATGGTGTATTAACATATTTACAGTATCTTCAAAATGATTATGAATTCTTAATTACTCTTCCTAGCTCCCCAAGGATGGATAACACTAACATATAGTCAGTGGGAAAGAAATCTCAGAAAATAACTGTTAGTTTGTCACTGTCATGGGAAATGGGAAGGAAGAAAAACAGCACTTATCAAGCATCTTCTGTGTACAAACTGCCATTTCAGACTCAGAGCAGTCCTTGAAGGTAGGTATCACTCATTACCTTTGTTTTACAGATGAAGAAACCAAAGTTCAAAGAAGTGACTGATTCAGAGTCATGAAATCGGGGAGCTGGGCCCTGAATCCAGACTGGTCTGACTTCAAAGCCTTGCTCTCTTTCCACTGCAATATTCAAAATCAAAACAAAGGTTTTTGTTAGTGATTCTCAATGTTGTGATACATTTTTTACCTGCTGTCCCTTAATAAATGATATTAAAGTTGCATTTGGAAATACAGAAGCAGTATTAATGTCACTGATTGTAGTTTTAATTGTCATTAACATTTTATTTGTCTTGTAAACTCTGATTCACATGAGTTTGAAGACTCAGGCTATATCAATAATGATCCCAATTATCTTTGAGAAAGTGTCACGTAGTGCCTGGGACAGTGCTGTGGGCTGATAACTAGTGAATTTAACTGAGTATTACAGTCAGGAGAATCCTATCTTGCCCGTGACCCACAGAGAGGCAGTGGGCAAGTCACCTTACCCTGGTCTCCCAGTCCAGATAAATGCTTTCATAAGCTCTAAGGTCTCTTCATGCTCTAAAATAATTATTTAAAAACTCACTGAAATACTTTGTTTCAATAAGGAATATTTATTAAGAAGACATGTTAACATGCTTAGATACAAAGTAAAAACACATGCCAATCTCAGTGAACTATAAAGAAAAAAATAAGAACAAAATTGTTTTCAGAGAAATTTTTGTGTTTTATAGGCATCACATGTCCATTTGCATACTAGAAAATTATTAGCATTGATAAACTTTTTTTTTTCAGTCTTAAAGTCTTTTTAAAGTAACTTTTTGGAAATGTGAAGTTCACAATACAAAATTTGCATTGAAGTCTGAATGTAAATTATAGACTTCTCCAAGTGTTTGAGAATAGAAATGTGATTGAAGATTTGCATTCCCAGATGCTGCCTACAGCAGTTTCCTTTCAAGAAATCAAATGTTCTTCATTATCACATGATAAGGATAAGTTTTTGGAGGAAAATTTTTAGGGCACATTAATTCTTGGAGAGTACTATAATTTTTAGTTAATATGAGCAAGTAAATCTTTATGTCAATCACCAAAAATTTAGCTTTTCCAAAGAATATTTCTTCATGCCTGAAAATAAAATTCTATCAAGTCTATGTATTTCTATAATTAGATGTATAAGTCTAATAAGATCATCTAAAATATTAATAATGACAACTACCACATATTGACCACTTACTCTGTGCTAGGCACCAAGCTAAGCACTTCACATACATCATCCCATTTAATGTTTACAGTAACTCAAGTATTAGCCCCACTGAATAAACAAGAAAACTGAGGTTTACAGAGGTTAAACAAGAGCCAAGTTCAAACAATGACTTTGTAAGTGGTTGAATTAGGAGTTTAAGGCAAGTCTGTCTTACTGTGCTACCAAGTCAGAGTACCCGATCACTATATTGTATGCCATCAGTGAGACCCCTGACCTGCTGTGATGAAGCTGAATGCCTAATGACTCCGTGATATATTCACAAAAGTATAATTTGCATCATTAGAATAAGAAGCAAGACCAAGTCAAGTGGACACAAAAATTCCTGCTCATTTAATTATTTTTATTTACACAACTTTTTCCATCATCATGATGCAAATAAGATTATAAATACACAAACACTGGAGTACATGCAACACATTCCACAAAGGAACAAAAATGTACAGCACTACAGAATAGAGAACCCAAATTTTTATATACAAAGTGCTTTAAAAAAAAAGACCTTGTGACATATTCAAACCATATTTATTTGAATACTTTCCAATAATTACCATGGGATACATCATTTATAAATAATATTTAATCTCCCCTATTTTTTCAAGCCAGAATTTGTGTTTCAACTAATCAAGTGAACAGCCATTCCATTATGTAATATTAAAGGCAAGTCACATAGCATCAAAATGAAACCGGTGGGCTTCTTGTCGTTTTTCTCTATCATCTGCTTTCTGAAAAAGAATTTTAGACTCGTTTATAAATGGTAGAAAGATGTTATGAAAAGACTCATTTCTGAAATACACAGTGATTCATTTTTAAAAGTCTCCAGCAATTAGCAGATAATAGATATGATTTCCTAATTCAACAGTCCTAGTATTTTTGTAGTTTATAGTAGCTATTTTATAATTAATGATCTAATTGATTAAAAAACAATAAATACTTGAATACTTAAGGCACATTAAATACTTAGGGTCCTTAAATACTTAGCTTCTTATCATTTATTATCTACTTGAAAATAGGAATAAGTATTAGATTCTATAAGGATGAATCAATGATTGCATTTTTCTGTCATTTTTAACAATGATGTTAATAAACAAATCTAATGGCTGGGTGTGGTGGTGGCTCATGCCTGTAATCCCAGCATTTTGGGAGGCCAAGGAGGGCAGATAACTTGAGGTGAGGAATTCGAGACCAGCCTGGCCAACATGGTGAAACCCCGTCTCTACCAAAAAAATACAAAAATTAGCTGAGTGTGGTGGTGGGCACCTGTAATCACAGCTTCTTGGGAGGCTAAGGCAGGAGAATCGCTTGAACCCAGGAGCGGAAGTTGCGGTGAGTCAAGATTGCACCACTGCACTCCAGCCTGGGTGACAGAGTACTAATGTACTAATTATTTTTTCATTAACTTGTCAATTTAGCAGATATTCATTGGCCCTTTGCTTCTAATACTCCCAATACCAATACTGTGTTTGCTATTTTAATATTAAAAAAACCTCCGTTTTGTATCTTGTTCTCCAAAAAGACAAATGCAAAACATATTGTATAACTGTAGTTCAAGATAAAAAGTGAAAAATGTTACCAAGTCTAAGAGACTACTTCTAGATCCGGGTGAGGAAAGGGAAAGCTTTGAAAAGACAGGGAAAGCATTTGAAAGTATGGAAATGGGGAGAGTGGTATTCACTCCAAGCTGGGGTTACAACATGATCAATCATGAGAAGGCTGGAAGGAGCACGGATATGTGAAAGCAACTGGTAAAAAATACGACTGTGGAGTCACATGGAAGTCATATGCAGGCCAGGCCAAGGATTTTATACATAAAAGGCAATGGATATTCACTAGAGCTTTTTCAGCAGGGGAGTGACATGATGAAGGCTAAACAGAATGAATCACTGGCAGCAGTGTGCTAAATGGAATGGAAAGGGGAGAGAATGGAAAGGGGAGAGAACGGAAAGAAAGAGACCAAGTAGGATGTAAGAAGGGGCAGTGCAGTAGGAATGTAGAAGTGGAGTCAGCTGTAGAACTTCTTACAGAGGCAGAGTCCATAGGCAAGTGATGAAATCTTGTAGGTTAAGTAAGAGAGATGAAGCTTTAGAATGCTGGTTTTGAGGTGCTGTAAGTCATCTAGGTTGAGCTATCATGGTGACAGTTGGAAATGGGGAAGGACCTTTAGAGATGAGAGCTGGGGATATCTGAAGCCATGATTTTAGATGAAATTGGCAGGGAAAGTGTTGAAAGAAGAGGGCCAGGGGCAGACACTGGGGAAAGCCTGCATTGAGAAAATGGTAGAAGGAGCCAGCCTGCTTAAGTAAAAAAGTGGTTAAAGAGGTTCTACCTCTTTGAGATACCACAGTGCCACAGGAGATACAGTATATATATAGTCAAATATATACTTGTACTTAAAACTTTCATTTTTGGCCACTGCATAATTATTGTTATAAGCACGCAATGTTTATGCTGTAATCAGATCTACTGAGGAATTAATGAAATTCATTTCCTTTGCTTCACAGGTCAAGAACTGTGGAATCTTTCAGATGATATTCTGATACTTCTGGACCAAGTATGTATGGTTGTCCTTGATCTTACTCTTAAGTTGCAATCTTAAGGTTAATTGAATATGTAACTTCATGTTACTGTTTTTGATATGTAAAGGAGTGATTTTTTAAAAGTGACAAGCCTATGAGCATTTATAGAACAACTAATATGTTCTTTTTCATATGTTAAAAGAACAAACACGGTAATTCTAGCAAAAAATGATTATGATGGCATGTCAATCCAGAGTGTAGGTGCAAAAAAAGAAAAACACCTTTCTTTGGGGCCACAAAGCAGCCCTTTTTTGAGGGCATTGATTGGAACCCATATATAAATAGAAACTAGCTTTTTCACATATATCTAAACTGCTAATTTACAGTGATAGCCTCTTTTTTCTTTGCATAAAAATCTTTTACATATTTGGGAGTTTTGTTTTCAATTATTATTTAGAGTATTATACTAAAGAACAGAAATCAGTTTAATGCAAAGAATACTTGATAGATGAAAAAGATGTTTATGGCTTTTTTCTTTTTTTGAGACAGGGTCTCACTCCTTTTGCCCAGGCTGGAGTGAAGTGGTACAATCGCAGCTCACTGTACCCTCAACTTTCTGGGCTCAGGTGATTCTCCGACCTCAGCCTCCTGAGTAGCTGAGATTACAGGCTTGCATCATGGTGCCTGGCTAATTTTTGTGTATTCTGTAGAGACGGGGTTTCATCATGTTGCCCAGGATGGTCTCAAACTCCTGAGCTCCAGCAATCTGTCCACCTTGGCCTCCCAAAGTGCTGGGATTACAGGCATGAGCCACCATGCCTGGCTGTTTATTGCTTCAGTTGTTACCTTCCACCTAAACCTCAAGAAAATAATTTAACCTCTTTTCACTCTAATTCTTTTCAAAGAGATAGCTGATAATCCTAGCCAAAGAATGTCCATGGCTTTATCAGTACATACTGAACACACGTTCATTTTTTAAAATCATTATTATTTTTCAGGTCATTATGAAATTGTTTCTAAATGCCTTTTGATTTCCGGTTGATCACTTTATTACTACCGTACTGCATCAAACTTTTAAAGTAGACATCTCTTGTGATTTGTATGAATTGATAGGAGACATTAGTAACTTCCAGGGATAAAAGAAATTATCATCAATAAAATGATGCTTTGAACAGAACTTGAAAAATGATGAAATTCTAGTCATATGAAAAAAGTTTAAAATAAATATAGTGTTTTTAAAGAGCAATGTATGTATTACTAGAATAAATTAACCAAAATTAATGCTTCCTTTAAATGAACAAACCTTTTCCTGCCAATGTAAAATGCCAATTATTGCCAAGATGAAAACACAGACACCGATGAGAGCTATAGCAGTAAGCAGAACAATATTACTTGGTGTAAGATACAGTTTGGCACTCCAACTGTAGATAAAAACAGAACAAATTAAAATTACAAATTTTATTTAAAAATAACAAAGTTATATTGAGACCCCAAAGCAAAATAGCTTATTAATTAAACAGTCAATGTATTCATTAAACCATTCATTCATCAGTCCATTCATTATAAATAAAACAAAAACAATTAAAAATCAGATAGTGCTGAGAATATTGATGATTCTGCAGTTTATATTTTACCTAGACAACTGAAATAGAATTTTTGATGAGATATTTCAATATTTTTCATTTTCCAAGTTTGATCCTATGAGAATTATTTTTAGGTAAACATATCCAAGGGTACTTTGGATAATCATAGACATCTTTTTTACATCTTGATTTACCTGCTTAATTTGAAAACCTGAACTCTAAAGCAAGGTAGTCACATGATCCTAGAAGCCTTCTGTATCATCTTATTTTTGACCTGTGTCACATATATAATGTGACCAAGTAAAACATAAATGTTGATGGCTTGTGCAAAACTTCTATAATTTTTATATCATGTTGGAGTGTTTACATTACTACAATGACTTTTAGGTTCAGATCACTTACAAAATCATCTTTAGTCCCTCACTGTTAATGGCAATATACAGACTAGAGGTCTTTAGTAAACAGAACTAGTTCTTTCCTTCTAAAACAGTCCATGTAATATAGCATTTGCACACCCTGAAAGCCTAAAACTAAGGACTGTATCACCAAGTGTGAAGGTTGTTATATACACATAACTTTTTGTTCTTCCTAGAAATAGGTAATGGCTATATTTTTATTTTAAAAGTTTAATAAAGGTAAGACTGTTCTGGTAAATAGCAAGTAGCTATTGATTTATTCTGGGATAATTAAAATTTATTGATCCATAAGTTAGCTTCTAGTCAATAACCTCAAAATACACCTCAAAAACTAAAATCAATTTGGTTTTTATTATGTACATAAATTTGAAAAGAACATTTCTTTGGAAAGAGTAAGAGAAACATGAAAAATGTTGAGATTACGGAAAAAAGCTATGGTATAATTTTCTGGAAATTCAGAAGAGTAAGTAAACCTTAAGAAAACAAATACTGTTAATTAGTTGAAAGCTACTCTTAGTGTTATACTCATACTTAAGAAAACAGTTCTTTTATGAGATGTTTTTGGTAGTTCTACTTTTAAAATAGATTTTTAACAAATCAGGAATGTAAGTGTTTTGGTAAAAAAAAAAAAAAAAAAAGACAAAAGTCAATCCTCAGTTTTCTCCTCAGAGGCAGTCACTCTTACCAGTTTCCTGCATATCCTTTCAGAGATATTTTATACATGTATGAACATGTATGTATAGATGGCTTCTTTTTAAATCACAATGGCTGCTTATTATACATACTCTTCTACATTTTGCTGTTGCTTCTTTTGTTTGTTGTTGTTGTTATTGTTTTTTGCTTACCACTCCATCTTAAGAGACTGTTCTATGTCCGTGGCAGTGAAAAAAAATCATGCTACTGAGCTGTATAGAAGTACCGTACTTTATATAGTTTCCTACTCATGGTCCAGATTTTCTAGTTTTACTGTAAATTTCATCTATAGAAAACTAACACAAACATACAATACAGGCTCATTAAAAAAAATCTGAACCAGGACTATAACTGTTTCAATGATGTCATCTTATTCCAAGCATAAGGCTGTGATAAAGTTTATTTTCTTAAGCAGTTTGGTTCTGAAGCCCATTAATTTACCATAAAATGCATCTGCTGGTATGCTGGTAAACTGGCTCTGAGGTAGAGAGGGGTTCGGGAAGCCTTGTTTATGGTACTTGCCAATTTTCATGGAGTAGATTCTCCTACCATAACTGATTTCAGTGTGACTTCACTGAATAGAGATGCACAGAGTCAGGTCATGAAGTGGCATAAGCTGGTTTTGGCAATCAATACATTCGATCGAGATGTTTAATAAAGAATGATGAAGCTGGTATTTTCAGAGGGAATGTAACAAGCAGGGGACCCCACTGGTTACATATTCATAGATAAATTCACCATTTCTCTTTGGTTATTTTCTCATATTGATATTTGTCTAGCATATTTTTCCCTATGAAATTTAAATGTTAGTGAATACTTTTATCGCCTAATTTAAAAGGAATAGAATCAATCTAGGAATTTAAATAAAAATGAATAAAATTTAAGGATTTAAAGTTAAATGCTGTATTATGAAATGAATGTATTCTGTTAATAAGGATAAAAATACCTACCATTCGCTTACCACATGCTTGGCACTGTGTTAAGTATATTTCACCCTCAGATGCAGAAAGTGAGTCTTGGAGAGGACAAAGGACTGGCTCCTACTCTTGCAGTCAGCCAGCAATGGAGCTGAATCATTTTAGCCTACATCTATTTAACTCCAAAATTTGTGCCCAACCACTGTGGGATATATACTACTTCTCAAATAATTTATTTAAAAGATTAGTGCTTTATACAAAGATTTAGTATCCTGAAAGTTTGAATTTATAACTAGTAAACTGAAGAGCAGTTTATTTAAGCAGAATACATATAAATCCCTAATTAGTTAACCTCCTGTTTTTCTAATAGGATTGAATTTGTTCTTCATGAAAAATGTCTGGGACCTTTTATGTAAGTATGTTTAGTCATTTAAAGTTTGCCGTAAGCAAATTAAGGGATGGGCACTCATGGGAACACAGCAGGAATATGAGAGAGCTTAAAAGACATCACTGTATGTATAATTCAGAGTTAGCAGTGTCTTTACCAAATCGGTTCAAGCAAGTACATTACCTTCGAGGGACATTGTGAGGGTATGGAATGACAATTAGCTGGGAATTTGGAATGATTGCAGTCCACTCTTGTTTTCGTATAGACTGGAAGAAGAATTTAAGAACATTTAACATTCAGCACATTTAAAAAACACAATTATTATTCTAAATAAATAATGAAAAATCTAGCTACTTTGAGAAATTCAAATTCTAGGTATGGATTAAGCTATGTTTACCAATATTAAGCCAAAAATAAGGCTTTTGTGCCATCTGTTGGAAAATTTTCTCATCTTTTTGGGAAAGATTATATTTGTGTTTTATGAATTCATTCATTCAACAAATATTTATTAGACACTTACGTAGCAGGCACTGTTCAAAGGGCTATGTACAAATGCTGCTTGGAGCTAAAATTCAAATTGAGACTGACAATAAACAAAGCAAGTAAAATAATATGATTTTACATATTATATAAATAATACACATATGTATAATAATATTATTTATGTTACTAAAATATTTATGTACACGTTAGGTGGTGAAAAATGTTAGGATGAAAAAGCAGGATAGAGGGATAGGTGACGTTTATGGGAGAGGAGAGGGAAAAACTACACGGTATCTTAAAATCATGATGTGCTCTAAGTAAGATAAGCTTAGGTCACTACCAATAAATTTTTCTTTATTCTTTAAAGGGAATAAAAATATTTGGTTTATTTGAATTCAAATTCAATTAGGTTCAAATTATTTAATTTAAATACTTAAATAGTGAATATTAAAACATAGATTAATTGTAAACAAAATGAATTTTTACTCACTTTTTCTCCAGATGGACGGGGAATACCAACGTAGAGATGGTCAAGAAAATTTGCGCTCCGACCTAAACCAAGCACGTTGTATGGTAGTTGGAGAGCTAAATGTGCGGATTGGCTGAGTTGGCCAGCTAGAGTTATTCAATTAAAAAAAAATTAAAAACATCTCTGGAAACATTGCTCCCATCAAATATTAAAATGATAAAATGTTAAAAATTTAGGTACTGGAATGTATCACGTTTCAAAATGTGAAATGAAAGATACAGGTCATTAATATTAATGATTCACTTTTTTCTTTTTTTGAGACATGGTCTCACTCTGCCACCTAGGCTGCAGTGCAGTAGCACTGCACTGAGCCTTGACCTCTCAGGCTCAAGCTATCCTCCTTCCGAGCCTCCCAAGTAGCTGAGACCACAGGCATGTGCCACCAGGCTCGGCTAATTTTTAAATATTTGTGGAGACGGGGTCTTACTATGTTGCCCGGCCTTGAACTCCTGGGCTCAAGTGATCCCCCTGCCTCGGGCTCTCAAAATGCTGGGATTACAGGCGTGACCCACCGTGCTCAGCCAATGATTCACTTTTTAAAGAAAACAGCGTTACTGAGATATAATTCACATACCATACACATCACCCGTTTAAAGTGTACAGTTAAGTGGTTTTGAGTATATTCAAAGAATTGTTCAGCCATCACCACAATCTAATCTTAGAACATTTTTATCACTTGAGAAAGAAACTCCATACACATGAGAAGCCATGTCTGTTTCCAACCTGCACACTTCCAGCTGTATGTAATCACTAATCTGCTTTCTGACTCAATAGATTTGCCTATTCTGAAGATTTCATATAAATGCAATCATACAATGTGGTCTTTTGTGACTGGCTTCTTTCACTTAGCATGTTTTCAAGGTTCATCTATATGGTAGCATGTTTCCATACTTTATTACTGTTACTTGCCAAATAATACTCCACTTTGTTATATATACATTTTGTTTCATTAATTAATTTCATTAATTGATGGACATTTCAGTCATTTCCATTTTTGGTTACTATGAAAATACTGCTGTGAACATTCATATACAGGTTTATTTTTGTATTCACTCTTGTTTTCCTTTCTTTTGATTATGTAGCTAAGTGTTTAACATCATTAGGAACTATCGAACTGTTTCCAAAGTACCTGCACCATTTTATGTTCCCACCAGCAATGGATAATGGTTCAAATTTTTCCACATCCTCAATAACACTTTTTGTTGTGTCTTTTGTATTATAGCCATGCTCATGGTTGTGAAGTGGTATCTCATTATGGTTTTTACTTGCATTTCCCAAATGACTAATAGTTATTAGCCATGAAAATGGTCAATAAACACGTGAAAGAAGCTCAACTACACACACACACACACACACACACACACACACACACACATACACACACACACACACCAATTAAGTAAAGCATCTGGCCCTGTAGGCACATTTTCTGTTGTCTTTTTATTTTTTTAAAGAGATGTGTATTAGCCTACTTTCCTGTTTCTTTGTATGTCTTATAATTTTTGTTGAAAACTGGACTTTTAAGATAATATTGATAACTCTGGTATCGCTTAACCCCACCCAAGGGTTTGTTGTTTTGTTACTGTTTATTTGTTTAGTGACTTTTTTTTTTTTTTCATGTAGTGAATTCTGTGGATTCTGTATTCCCTGCAGCAGTTGCCCCAGGGTCTTTTTAATTTTTATTTTTAAAGTTTTTATTCTACATCTGGCTTCCTACTTGGCATACCTGGGTCAGTATTATTTAGTGGTCAGCCAGTGATTTGTTGTAAGATTTCCCTAAATCTCTTGCCTGTACATCTCCCACCCTTTGTCAAAGTGATTTGTGTGTGAAGGCATGCCTTCAAAGTTCAGAAAATGACAGCCTTAGTTTTCATTTCCTGCTTACGCAGGGCTTCATGGTGAAGCAGAAGGGAGCTGATTATTTGAATGAGGTGTTTTCCTTTCTAGGAATTTGCAAAGTCTTCTAGATCCCCAAAAATATGTTGTAGCTTTTCAAAGCTGCGTATGTTTTCCAGTTTTCTAAGAATTCCTCTTATATTTTGATCAGGATCTTGTTTCCTCCACCTTTAATCACATGCTTAGGTAGCTGAGATGTTGCCAGCAGATTACTGTTGTTTTTGGTAATGCCCTAGTCAAATGAAATAGCCAAGATGCTGAGAATGAAGATTTTCCAGGGAGCTGCTAGTTCAGACAAAATGTTGATAGTAATAGGGATGGAGATTTTCATGCAGCTCCAAGGAGGTCAGTCATATCCATTGGCTGTGAAGCCGCTGGCTTTCCATGGCTACTGCACTACTCAGTTGAGAAGGGGGGCAGGATGGGAATTGCTCCAAGATAAAAATGCCATAGATTCGGTGTCTTATCAAGGATCAGTAGTTTTCCTTAGAATAGACAATACTCAGTCCATTCTGTGGCTTTGGTTAATTTCCAGAGTTCTGAAATGGTGGATATTATATGGTTGGCCAGTATTTTTGTTGTTGTTCTTTTTGGGGGCTCTGGGAGAGCAAGTTCATGTGGTCCTCACACTGCCATTCCAATAGTCAATCTTTCCCTATTGTAATTCACTTTTATACAATATATGTATTTTCTAGGTATTTTTCTACATGCTTAAACTTAACATTTAAATGACAAAGTTAATTAATATATAAATATTTTAATATTCAAGGGGACTCTGCTAAACATCACTAATGTTATCCAAAAATATGCAATCACTGGAAAGTATATTTACCTGATTATTTATATAGTTCTTAAGTTGGAAACAGTAAGGTATAATGAAAAGGAACATGAATTTAAGGATAGGCATTAACAATGTGTATGAAACTGGAAAACAGTATAGTGAACAGCATGGGCTGCAGAATTAGTCCACCTTGTGGAATTGAGCTGATTGAAAGATAATGTTTAAAAGTAGAGTATCTCACATAGTAAATAATAATGTTAGCTATCTTTATTAAGATAAAATTTATTCTTACAGAGTTGAATTAAAAATTAAAAGCAGGCCATTTATGCCTGTCATCCCAGCACTCTGGGAGGCCAAGGCAGGTGGATTGCTTGAGCTCAGGACTTTTCAGACCAGCCTGGGCAATGTGGTGAAGCCCCACCTCTACAAAAAATACAAAAATTAGCCAGGCATGGTGGCATGTGCCTGTAGTCCCAGTTACCTGGGAGTTGACCTGGGAGAATCACCTGAGCCCAGGGAGGTTGAGGCTGTAGTGAGCTGTGATTGTACCACTGCACTCCAGCCTGGGAGATAGAGTAAGACCCTGTCTCAAAAACAAACAAACAAACAAACCCAAAATTAAACACAAGCTGATTTCATGACACTACTAGCAAAGACTGACTTAACAGAAGTAAACCAAAAATAAAACTCTAACTGATGGACCCTCCCCTCAGGCATTCAAAAGTTAACCTGAAAAAGTAGTTCAGGCCATGACCGGAAGTGAGGGTCAGATATGCCTCATTATATGCTCCTTTCTTTTGGAATTCAGGCACAGCTGACCAGCATTAACATCAATACAAAGCCCTTAAGACTGATAGAACAGACTCTTTAAGTCTGAGAAGAAGCATTTATAATCTACTGTCACTGAAGCCTGCTACCTGGAGACTTCATCTTCATGATAAAACCTTGGTCTCCACAACCCCTTATGTTAAAAGACTTATTTTGTCTACATGACATCAAACTAGGCTTCTGTTTTCCTGTTTATACTATTAAAATTGCCTATGCAATAAGCAAGCTTAAAAGTATAAGGAGAATAATCTAAGTAAAATTATCCAACAACTTAAAATGAAGAGATAATCATTATTACATTTTAGCATACTTTTAGTCACATACTTTTTTTCTCCAAGGCAAGTGCATGCATAAATAAACACATTTTAGCATAGTTTAGTATTATTTTCACTCAGTATTATTTATGAGTATTTAGTCATCATGAAAATTCTTGAAAAATAAATAAGCAGAGAGAAAAATGATGGAAACACCAAAATCCCATTAAGAGAAAGCCAAAGGAAACAGCGTAAAAGACATGTATTATTATGTATACTTCTAAAATTATTTTTCTAAAGTGGTATCTACACAGACATTACAAAAATATAATTTTCCTGCCTATATCTTATTTAAAAATTAATTCCATATTGTTGGAGGTAAAGGAATTTTCCTAATCCTTCACTATTAAAAAAAGAATGCTTTAGTTTGCACCCAAATTAGTTTGCACCCAAATTAGTTTCTTTCATTCCTAGATACAGAATACTGGATCAAAGAGTAGTAAGTTTAGAACTTATTCTTGAATATAGAAACCTTGTTTCCTAAGGAGAGGGTTGCATCACTTTACATTTCCATTAGCTTTCAATGAAAGCATCCATTTCAGTCCATTCTTATTTTCTAATTGAGCTGAAATTCACATAGCATACAATTAACTACTTTAGAGTGTAGAATCAAATGGCCTTTAGTGTATTTGCAATGTTGTGCAACTATCAATTCTCTCTTGTTTGCAAACTTTTTCATCACCCTATAACAACACCCTGTACTCCCCCAGTAACCTCTAATCTGCTTTCATTCTCTATGGATTTGTCTACTCTAGATACCTCATATAGAAGGTACCATACATGTGACCAACTGTGTCTGGCTTCTTTCACTTAGCATAATGTTTTCAAGGGTCATATAAGTTATAGTAAGTATCAGTACTGTCAGGCCTCTGAGCCCAAGCCAAGCCACTGCATCCCCTGTAACTTGCACATATACGCCCAGATGGCCTGAAGTAACGGAAGAATCACAAAAGTAGTGAATATGCCCTGCCCTGCCTTAACTGATGACATTCCACCACAAAAGAAGTGTAAATGGCCGGTCCTTGCCTTAACTGGTGATATTCCACCACAAAAGAAGTAAAAATGGCCGGTCCTTGCCTTAAGTGATGACATTACCTTGTGAAAGTCCTTTTCCTGGCTCAAAAACCTCCCCCACTGAGCACCTTGCGACCCCCACTCCTGCCCGCCAGAGAACAAACCCCCTTGACTGTAATTTTCCTTTACCTACCCAAAGCTTATAAAACGGCCCCACCCTTATCTCCCTTTGCTGACTCTCTTTTCAGACTCAGCCTGCCTGCACCCAGGTGATTAAAAGCTTTATTGCTCACACAAAGCGTGTTTGGTGGTCTCTTTACACGGACGCGCATGAAAAGTACTTCATCTCTTTTTATGGAAAAATAATATTCCATTTTATGTATACACTTTGATTTGTTTATCCATCCAGCTGTTGATGGCCATTTGGGTTGTTTAGTACCTTTTGGCTATTATGAACTATTTGGCTATTATTGCTGCTATGAATATGGATGTACAAATACCTCTTTGAGACCCTGCTTTCCGTTCTTTTGAGTATATATTAGAAATTCTGGATCATATGGTGATTCTAGGTTTAATTTTTTGAGGAACTGCCATATTGTTTTTCACAGCAGCTGCACCATTTTACATTCCCACCAGCAATGTATGAGGGTTCCTATTTTTCACAGCCTTGCTGACATGTCATTTTCAGTCTTTTAAATTAAAACCATCTTAGTGGTTCTGAAGTGGTAACTCAGTCTGGTTTTGACTTGCATTTCCTTCATGACCAATTATGTAGGACATCTTTTTCTGTGCTTATTGGCTACTTTGGAATTCTTTGGAGAAATGTCTAGTCCTTTGTCAATTTTATAATTGGGCTTTTTTTTGTTGTTGAATTGTAAACATTCTTTTTATAGTCTGGATACTAGAACTTTATCAGAGATAAGATTTGCAAATATTTTCTCCCTTTTCAGTTTGTTGAAAAGAAAAAAGACTTTTCTTTTGAGACAGGCTCTTGCTCTGTCACCCAGGCTGGAGTGCAGCGGCACAATCATGGCTCATTGCAGCCTCGATCTCCTGGGCTCCAGTGATCCCAGCTCAGCTTCCCAAGTAGCTTGGGAGCACAGGCCTGTGCCACTGCCTCTGGCTAATTAAAAGTTTTTTTTTTTTTTTTTTTTTTTCTAGAGACAAGGTCTCACTATATTGCCCATGCTGGTCTCAAATTCCTGGGCTCAAGCAAGCCTTATGCTGTGGCCTCCCAAAGTTCTGGGATTACAGGCATGAGCCACTGCACCTGGCTGAAAATGTTTTTTAATGCAAAAAAGCTTTACATTTTTGCAGAATCTAATCTATTTTTAAATTTTGTTACTAGTGCTTTTGGTGTCAAATCTAACAATCCATTGTCAAATCTGAGGAAATGCAGATCTACTTCTATGTTTGCTTCTAAGAATTTTGCAATCTTACCCCTTACATTGAGGTCCTTGATCCATGAGTTAATTATTATATATGAGTTAATTATTTTATATGGAGTCCCACTTCATTTTTTTTTACATGTCATTATACAAATGTTCTAGTATGATTTGTTGAAGGTACTCTTCTTTCTCCATTGAATGGTTGTGGTACTCCTGTCAAAAATTAATTTGCCATAGATATTTGGATTTATTTATGGGCTCTCAATTCTATTCCATTGGTTTATATGTCTGTCTTTTTGCCAGCACTATGCTTGTTGATTACTGTAGCTTTGTAGTAACTTTTGAATTTGGAAAGTGTAAGTCCTCTCAGCTTTGCTTTTGTTTTTCAATATTGTTTTGGCTTTTTGAGGCCCCTTACAGTTCCGTATCAATTTGAAGGTTGGCTTTTTATTTCTGCAAACAGACCACTTGAATCTGTAGATTGTTTTGGGGAATATTGCTATCTTAAAGTTTTCCAATCCATGAATATGGGATGTCTTTCCATTTATTAGATTTTCTTTAATTTCTCTCAGCAATGTTTTTTAGTTTTCAGTGGATAAATCTTTCAATTTTTTGGTTAAATATATTCCTAGGTGTTTTACTCTTCTAAATGTTGCAAACTGAACTATTTTTTTTTTCTTTTTTAAAAATTTCTTTGCTGGTATATGGAAACAACTGATTTTTGGGTGTTGATCTTGTTCCCTATAACTTTGCTGAATTTGTTAATTAGCTGCAGTATTTTTTTCTGTGAGTTATATGATATTTTCTGTATACAGAATCATGTCACCTGCAAATAGAAATCATTTTGCATGTTCCTAATTTAGAAGATTTTTATTTCTTTTTCTGGCCGAATTGCTAAGTGTAGGAATTCCAGTAAAAAGGTGAATAGCAGGAGTGAAAGTGGGCATCCTCATCTTCTTCCTGATCTTAGAAGAAATGCTTTCAGCTTTTCATCATACAGGATGATATTAGCTGTGATTTTTCTTATAAATGCCCTTTGTGATGTTAAGGAAGTTCCCTTCTATTCCTAGTTTGCTGAGTGTTTTAATTATAAAAGGATGTTGAGTTTTGTCAAATTTTTTTTAGTATCTATTGAAATGACCATATATTATTTTTCCCTTAGATCTATTAATGCCATGTATTACATTGATTGACTGTCTTAAGTTGAACAATCCTTGCATTCCTGGGACAAGTCCCATTTGGTCATAAAGTATAAATACTTTTAATGTGCTGCTGGATTTGCTTGGTAGTATTTTGTTGAAGATTTTTGTATCAATATTCATATGGGATACTGGTCTGTAGCTTTCTTGTAGTATCTTTGTCTGGGTTTGGTATGAGAGTAATGCTGGTCTCACAGAATGTGTTAGGGAGTATTTGCTTTTCTAGTTTTTGTAAGAGTTTCAGTAAAAGTGATGAAATTCTCCTTTCATGAAATTGTTGGTAGAATTTCATCAGTGCAGCCATCTGGTCCCTGAGTTTTCTTTTTCAGGAGGTTTTCAATTACTGATTCAATCTCTTTACTTGTTACAGGTAGGTTGACATTGTCTATTTCCTCTTGGGTCAGTTTTGTATTGTGTGTGTTTCTAGGGAACACTTTTTTTTTTTTTTGAGACAAGAGTCTTGCTCTGTTGTCCAGGCTGGAGTGCAATGGTGTGATCTTGGCTCACTGCAACCTTTACCTCCTGTGTTCAAGTGATTCTCCTGTCTCAGTCTCCCAAGTAGCTGGGATTACAGGCATGCATCACCACACCCAGCTAATTTTTGTATTTTTAGTAGAGACAGGGTTTCACCATGTTGGCCAGGCCGATCTCAAACTCCTGACCTTAGGTGATCTGCGCCTGCCTCAGCCTCCCAAAGTGCTGGGATTACAGGCACATCTTTGATTCATCTAGATTATCTTTTTTTTTTTTTTTTTGAGATGGAGACTCACTCTGTCACCCAGGCTGGAATGCAGTGGTATGATGTCAGCTCACTGCAACCTCTGCCTCCTGGGTTCAAGTGGTTCTCCTCCTCAGCCTCCCAAGTAGCTGGGATTATAGGCATACACCACCACACCCAGCTAATTTTTGTATTTTTAGTAGAGGTGGTGCTTCGTCATGTTGGCCAGGCTAGTCTCAAACTCCTGACCTCAGGTGATCTGCCTACCTCAGCCTCCCAAAGTGCTGGGATTACAAGCATGAGCCACTGTGCCTTTTTTTTTTTTTTTTTTTTGAGACAGGGTCTTGCTCTACCACACAGGCTGGAGTGCAGTGGCACAATCATGGCTCACTGCAGCCTTGAACTCCTGGGCTTAAGCCTCCTGAGTAGCTAGGACTACGGGTGCATGCCACCACACATGGCTAATTTTTTTGTAGAGACAAGGACTCACTGTGTTGCCTAGGCTGATCTCAAACTCCTGGCCTCAAGCATTCTTCATGCTTTGGCCTCTCAAAGTGTTGGGATTACAGGTGTGAGCCACTGTGCCTGGCCTAGATTGTCTAATTTGTTGATATGCAGTTGTTTATAGTATTATCAATCCTTTTAACTTCTATAAGGTCAGCAGCAAAGTCCCATTGTTCATTTCTGATTTTAGTTATTTGCCTTTTCCCTTTTTTTTTAAACACTCAGTCTAGCTAATAGATTGTCAATTTTGTTGATCTTTTCAAAGAACCAACTTTTGATTTCTATGATGATTATTTTTCTCTATTTCATTTATCTCTGCTGAAATCTTTATTATTTCCATCCTCCTGCTGGCTTTGAGTTTAGTCTGGTCTTCTTTTCAAGTTCCTTATGGTATAAAATTAGGTTGCTGATTTGAGATCGTTGTTTTTTTTTAACATTGCATTTACAGCCATAAAGTCCCTCTGAGTACTGCTTTTGCTTCATCCAATATGTTTGGTTTTGTTTGTGTTTTGTTTTTAGTTATCTCAAGATATTGTTTAGTTTTGTGATATATGTCTTATCTTCCTTAAGTTAACCATTCATGCAAAGTAGTGGCTGGATTACCTAAATACTCAGAGAGTATATAAAATATATGAATAGTTTTGTATCTGCTTGCTAATGAATGTTTATTTCATTAATGTCTTTATTTGCACAGAATTTGGTTAGAGATTTTCTTTTATGTTTACTGGCAGTAAGGAAAGTAGTTACCAATGTTTGGTAACTGTTACATTCTTTAATGGCTACAGTTATTGCCAAAAGAACCTAAGACTTATATATAATTAACTTGACTTAGGTTAGTCCCCAACACTCCCAAATGTATAATTCCAGCATAGACTGCCAGTCTCTGAACTCTAGGCTCTCATATCAAACTAAATGCTAAACATCAATATTTTCATGTCTAACACATATTACCAAGTTAATATATTCAAAACATAATCCCCAGGCCTGGGTGTGGTGGCTCACACCTGTAATCCCAGCATTTTGGGAGGCTGAGGCGGGTGGATCACCTGAGGTCAGGAGTTTGAGACCAGCCAGGCCAACACGGCAAAACCCTGTCTCTACTAAAAGGTACAAAAAAATTAGCCAGGCGTGGTGGCGCATGCCTGTAGTCCCAACTACTCGGGAGGCTGTGGCAGGAAAATCGCTTGAACCTGGGAGGCGCAGGTTGCAGTGAGCCATGATCGTGCCACTGCACTCTAGCCTGGCCAACAGAGTGAGACACCATTTCAAAACAAAACAACAACCAAAAAACCCCCCATAATCCCTGATTTTATTCCCCCTACCTGCTCTCCATCTCAGTTATGGCCATTCCAACTTTCCACTTAGTCATGCCAGTAACCCTATAGTTATAGTTACAGGCCTCTCTTTTTCTTATACCCTATATTCAATCTGCCAAGAAATTGAATAAATATCCACAATTTAAAATATATACAAACTCTAGACACTAATTTCTATTTCCACTGCTACCACCTTGGTCCAAGCCACCACCAACTTTTGCCTGAATTATTCTTATTATTTACCCCAAATAGGTATGTTCCTAAACTGAAGTATTTTAATAGCTTCTAGTTGGTCTCATTGCTTTAACTGTTGTTCCTTCTAGTCTGCAGTTTCACTCAGATTACAGTCTTGTCCTATGTCCTACTTAGTGTACACTCTCCACTTCCCATTTAACTGTGTCTTCATTTTCTACTCTGTAACCTCCCTCTTTCATTCTGCTGCAACTTACTGGCCTCTTCACTGTTCCTTGGAAAATCTAGGAGTGCTTATATATTAGGGCCTTTGCACTGGCTTTCTTCTTTGCCTGGAATAGCCTTCCAAAGATAACTACATGTCTAACTCCCTTACCTCCTTCAAATCCTTGTTCAAATGATATGTTCTCAGAGAGGCTTGCTCTGATAATCCTACATACAATCAAAGACCCTCTTGCCCAGCAATCCCAATCCCTTTTACTCTGCTTTATTCCCTCTTCCTCCCACCCACAGTACGTTAACACTGCCTAACACTAGATAGTATTAAATAACTTACTTAGTATGCCTATTGTCTGTCTTCCCCCACTAGAATGCAATCTCTATGAGGGCTGAGATTTGAGTCTGTTTTATTCACTTCTGTATTCTAAGACCCTAGAACAGGCCTAGCATATATTAGCCACTCAATATATTTTTGTTAAATTAATAAATAATTGAAAGAAAATTTAATCCTCCAAATGTGTCAGACCTAACACTTGTAACATATTTCAGTTGAAATATGGTATTAGACAACAAAAAATACTATATCAATTTATACCACATAAATGTTAGCACATCACGATTGTCTACCAAAAGTATCTGTGATAAGTTTTTAATATTTTATAATAAATACATTAAAGGCATTTGTGATATCAGACACTCCAACCACCAGATTCAAATGCCTGTGTGCTTTTGTCCAGGCTTGCATTATAGTCTGATTTTCCAATATACTTCAAGTACATGTTATTTATGTAATTTTTAAAAAATAAGTTTTCGCTGGGCGCAGTGGCTCACGCCTATAATCCCAGCACTTTGGGAGGCTGAGGTGGGTGGATCACTTGAGGTCAGGAGTTCGAGACCAGCCTGACCAACATGGTGGAACGCCACCTCTACTAAAAATACAAAATTAGCTGGGCATGGTGGCACGTGCCTGTAGTCCCAGCTACTTGGGAGGCTGAGGCAGGAGAATCACTTGAACCAGGGAGGTGGAGGTTGTAGTGAGCTGAGATTGTGCCACTGCATTCCAGCCTGGACAACAAGAGCAAAACTGTCTCAAAAAACAAAACAAAACAAAAAACAAAAACAAACAAAAAAAGTTTTCAAGGTTGCTTTGTTCTTATTCTCCATGAGAATACTACACTGACATGCAACTTTGATTAATGTCATTCAGGTTATGTTGTAATTTAGGATCCTGAATTAATTAACAATGCAGTATAGGAGATATATTACATTGTAATAATTCCCATGCATTCTATTTTTAGGCAAGATATTGAAGCCAACTTTGCTGTCTACAAATACTAGATATGAAGTATTAGATTCTAGCGCTAGAATACTCTAGCTCTGACATCTATTTGTCAAAAATAGAACTTAAATAATACATACACGCTGATATAACAGGTAGGAAGAGGAAGACCCACTAGCTGAAGAAAAAAGTCACTGAAAACTTACCTTTCTTGGTATGTGAACATGAGTGTGTGTGCGCGTGTATGTGTTTTTCTCTGAGTCAACATAACACTGAATTCTATTTCTCTGAAAGGTTTTTATGTTTTTTTTAGATAGAGTCTTGCTCTGTCTTGCCCAGGCTGGAGTGCAGTGGTACGATCTCGGCTCAGTGCAGCCTCCGCCTCCCACGTTCAAGCAATTCTCCTGCCTCAGCCTCCTGAGTAGCAGGAATTAGAGGCGTACACCACCATGTCCGGCTAATTTTGTATTTTTAGTAGAGACAGGGTTTCACCATGTTGGCCAGGCTGGTCTCGAATTCCTGACCTCAGGTGATCCACCCGCCTCTGCCTCCCAAAGTGCTGGGATTACAGGCATGAGCCACCGCGCCCGGCCTCTCTGAAAGGTTTTAAACCACAAGGAATTTTCATCTAACGGTAATACCTACAACTCTACTGGCACTGCCCTGAGTCAAGGAAAAATGATATCTCGATGAAAAGAAGATATAAGATAAAAGGACACATTCAGATAATCAATATTTTGTGTAACTCGAAGAGAAAATTGTTCCAAGAAGTTGTTAATCTCAAACTGACAGTAACAATATCTGAAACAGTCTGTCATCTTATCTGATAATCATGGTATCTGAAGCAATACTATACTGACATTAATTAAAATGGAGACAAAGAACACCAAAAGAGAATAAAGGATAAAAATTAGAATATTTTCTGTAAGAAATAATAAAAGATTTGACAGGTTTTGAATGATTATAATGTGCCAGAATCTGTGGCAAGTACTTCTTGTGTACTATTTCAACTATTCTTAACAATAATTGTATGAGGGTAGATAATATTATTATCTTTATCATGAGGAAATTTAAGAAAATTTAAAACTTTAATTTTAATTAAATTAATTATATTAATACATAAATTATTTAATAATTTAAATTTAAATTATTTTAATTTTAATTAAATAAACAAGAAAAGTGAAGCTAAGACTCTGAAAGAAAAATATATTCACAGATAGCTTTAATATTATTTCATTACATAGGGCTGGGATTTAATTTCAGCAGCCTAATTCCAAATCCCATGCCCTTTAGCCTTTATCATCATCCAAGATTTTGTCTTCAGAAGAAAAAGAAGTGCAGTATTTGTCTTACTGCTCTATGAAAAGGACTTCTAATGACAAGGAGCAACCTCTCCAATGCCAGTTGCTCCTATTACTCCTTGCCTCTCTATCCTATTTGTGGGGTCTTATGATACATGTTCTGGGAATCGGGAACATTGTATACCCAGTCAAAGGTTCCAGCTACCATGGCATGTTTTGACTTTTGTGGCAATTTTTTGTGATGCAGTCTTGCTATGTGGCTCAGGTAGGAGTGCAGTGGTTAGTCACAGATGTGACTGTAGATCACCACAGCCTAGAACTCAAGGGATTCTTCTGCCTCAGCCTCCTGAGTAGCTGGGAGTACAGGTGTGTACCACTGTGCCCGGCTAATGTTTACAAGTCCAGGGTGTGCTTCATTGGTGTGTCTAAGCTCACTGAGCACACCTTGAGCTTTGGGAGGTTCCTATTGTAGACCTAAAGTTGGGCTGTTGATGCAGTTCTCTGGGGAATGAGCCTGGTTACTCTTGTTGATCTTTAATGAGGGACGCCAATTTGCTCAGGAAGAGTTTAATCCAGTTATATCCCTGCAGGGTAAGAATATGAAAAAGACACTGTGGCTATGGACTAGCCTGTGACCTACACTACTAAGCTGAAGTTCTCTGGCTCATTCCAGATAGTTCAAAGGGTTACACTTGGCAGAGTGAAAATTTCAGGACTGTTCTCATTACTCACAGGGGAATTCTAAGAGAAACACCATGTTTTTGTTCCACCTGGTGTGACTGTTAAATTACATTTTTAAATAAGAAAATATGAGTAAGAGAATCAGATAAAAGACAATTTTTTTTTTGTGAGGAAGATATGTAATTTGGAGAACGGCAAGCTGGATAATAACAGGAATGGCAGAAGTTAAGAAGAGTGAAGCGAAGACTCTGAAAGAAAAATATATTCACAGATAGCTTTAATATTAAACATATGTCATTACATAGGGACTCTAACCTACAAATGATTTGGCCAGTGGCATTTCCTCTTACTAACTAGCATGTACATTTTAATGGCCTGTTTCTAATTTTCTAGCTGCCTAAGAGAATCATACATTTGTTATATTGTCACATCTGCCTTGAGTCTTTCAACTATAAGTGACAGCTATTTCCTAATCAATGTGTTCTTTGCCCATTAGGTGACTGATAGGTTATTCTTCTTTCTGGTAGCAGGATGGGATGGAGAAAGAGACTGTGTTCCAAGTATTGATATGTTTGTTTTCTCATCCCAAAATTATCAGAGTAATCAGTATTCTATTAAAGTCAATGGTTCAAGCCTTTTTTGATAAGTGATAAAATTAACAATTAAAAAATACACTATCACTTGCTTTCCTTTGCTGCTAGTCTAATTGCATTGCTAAGAGGGTTTCTCATACATCTTCTTCTTCTTTTTTTTTTTTTTTTTTAAACAGAGATGGGGCCTTGCTCTGTGACCCAGGCTGGAGTGCCTATGATCACACCATAGCTTACTGCAGCCTTGAACTCCTAGGCTCAAGTGATCCTCTGGCCTCATCCTCCAGAGTAGCTGGGAGTATAGGCACATGACATCATATCTGGCTAATTTATTTTTATTTTTTAAAATTTTTAAGGGAAGGGGTCTCACTGTCTTGCCCAAGCTGGTTTCGAGCTCTGAGCTACAAGTGATCCTCCCACCTCAGCCTCCTGAGTAGCTGGGATTACAGGTGTGAGCCACATCACCAGGCTGATATATCTATTAAAATCTTCCCGGCTATACAATTATCATACTCCCTTGTTTCTAAATGCCAACTTGGGGTAATAATTTGTGTTATTTAATGTGATGAGACTCATTATAAAGTGTATAGTATTTGATATAAAGTATATCAAATCAGATGGTCTAGCCAGAAAAAAGGCTAGCAATTAAATTGGAGTTTATGGTCTACTCTGATAATGTGACTATTTCCTTGATATGTTTAAATATGTACAAAAAAGGTGTTCCATGTATCAAACAACTGACATGTAAACTTTTAGAAAAGAATATGTATGTTAAATGCCGCATATACATATTGTAATTCTATAAGATATCAATTAAAAAATATAAAGTGATTTTAATGACTTCTTATTTAAATATTTGTTTTGATCTGAGAACCCAATGCCCTGAATATTCTGGATAACAGAAGATCATGGTTGTTATACTAATTTCCAGTAAAATCCCAGGGACCACCTTTTAAATAAAAATTATCAACTAGGCTAGAATATTGGCCAAAGAAAGCAAGTGATGAAATGTATTACTGCAGTGATGATTTTTAACATTTAAATTAATTGCTGAAGTATTTAGCTAGCTAATTCCTATATATAGAGTACAGTAATTGCTAAGGGACTATTTATTGTTAACAGGATAAACTTAATTGTACAATATCATAATTTGACACCCAGAATTCAGAAGTGAAAACAAAAAAGGACAAAATAGATTTTGAATGTAAAAAGACGCCAAAAGATATTATGACTGAGAATAAAGATATTAACATTTAATTTTAAAATTTGGAGATGTTTTAGGCTATAGTCACCTGACATTTAAGACACTTGTTAAATCATACAGCTTATCCTCTTATTTTTCTGTTTTAAAATTCACTGACTTTAATTAAATGGATGGTTACCCACATAGAAAAAAGAACATAGCAGCTGGGCTCTGCCTGATGGTAAAATCTTCTCCTGGCCTGTTCAACTAAGGCACACCATTTTACTTGGACTTTGGGAAAATCTAGTTTCCAATGTGAGTGGATTTTGTGACAAAATTATAAATCCAAGACCTGTGTTATTTTAGTGTCACTGTATAAATGCTCCTGGTTTTTAAACAGTCCTACTTAGTGCTCAGCATAAAGACAAGAAATAATACCACACATCTACAACTATCTGATCTTTGACAAACCTGACAAAAACAAGAAATGGGGAAAGGATTCCCTATTTAATAAATGGTGCTGGGAAAACTGGCTAGACATATGTAGAAAGCTGAAACTGCATCCCTTCCTTACACCTTATACAAAAATTAATTCAAGATGGATTAAAGACTTAAATGTTAGACCTAAAACCATAAAAACCCTAGAAGAAAACCTAGGCAATACCATTCAGGACATAGCTATGGGCAAGGACTTCATGTCTAAAACACCAAAAGCAATGGCAACAAAAGCCAAAATTGACAAATGGGATCTAATTAAACTAAAGAGCTTCTTCACAGCAAAAGAAACTACCATCAGAGTGAACAGGCAACCTACAGAATGGGAGAAAATTTTTACAATCTACCCATCTGACAAAGGGCTAATATCCAGAATCTACAATGAACTTAAACAAATTTACAAGAAAAAATCAAACAACCCCATCAAAAAGTGGGCAAAGGATATGAACAGACACTTCTCAAAAGAAGACATTTATACAGCCAACAGACACATGAAAAAATGCTCATCATCACTGGCCATCAGAGAAATGCAAATCAAAACCACAATGAGATACCATCTCACACCAGTTAGAATGGCGATCATTAAAAAGTCAGGAAACAACAGGTGCTGGAGAGGATGTGGAGAAATAGGAACACTTTTACACTGTTGGTGGGACTGTAAACTAGTTCAACCATTGTGGAAGACAGTGTGGCAATTCCTCAAGGATCTAGAACTAGAAATACCATTTGACCCAGCCATCCCATTACTGGGTATATACCCAAAGAATTATAAATCATGCTGCTATAAAGACACATGCGCACATATGTTTATTGCGGCATTATTCACAATAGCAAAGACTTGGAACCAACCCAAATGTCCATCAATGATAGATTGGATTAAGAAAATGTGGCACATATACACCATGGAATACTATGCAGCACACCAACATGGCACATGTATACATATGTAACAAACCTGCATGTTGTGCACATGTACCCTAGAACTTAAAGTATATAAAAAAATTGATCAAGAGGGATTTTATTGTGAGGGGATTGAAATGTTCTAGAGCTGATTTACAGTAATGGTTGTACTGAGTAAAGTCACTAAAAATCATTGAATTGTACACTTAAGATGAATAATTTTTTGATATGTAAAATATACCTTCATAAAGTTGTTTTTATTTAAAAAAAAAGAAATAAGCTGTCTTCACGGAAAGCCATAATCCATGAGAGAAGTGGTTAATACCTTTTAAAAGTATGTGGTGGTACTAGGATCTCTAGAATGTGGCTCCAGAAAGAAAGATCTTAAATTACCCTAAGTGAATAGTATATGGGGAATTTGTGAGGCTCCATGCTCAAATGCTGAGTTCTTAGATTTTTGGAAGTTAGGATCATCACTGTTTATAGAAAACTTCTTAAAACGACGGTTGTCCTCTTTTCCTGAAAGTTGAGTTATGATTGTGAATAAAGGAATCCACTGACTGACTGTTACTCCTTTGGCATATTTTGAATTATATCTGAACTCAGTTTATAGATAGCTGATAGGATGAAGTGATGAAATATGTGGTAGACAGAAAGAAGTTTCATTAAAAGAGGTGCTTAGATACTTCCAGTCTAGGTAATTATTCATTTTCACGCTCTATTCCCGGGGAATACAGCATAGTGGCTGGCACACAGTAGGCACTTAGTAGATGTCTGCTATAATAAACTGAAGGTTTGGGAGTAAATAAATTTGTGCAGTTGTTTTAGTTTTCCTTGAAGTCTTATGATATGCCATGTCAGTGATTACGTGGAAGACATCTATTTGGGCTTTGAATAACAACATGATATCAGCTTACCTAATGGGCTTGAACAAACGTGTAGGGAACACAGGAGACTTGAAAATATGGTATTATTGCCCTCTCCCTCTCCCTCCCCCTCCCCCTCTCCCCACGGTCTCCCTCTCCCTCTCTTTCCACGGTCTCCCTCTGATGCCGAGCCAAAGCTGGACTGTACTGCTGCCATCTCGGCTCACTGCAATCTCCCTGCCTGATTCTCCTGCCTCAGCCTGCTGAGTGCCTGCAATTGCAGGCACGCGCCGCCACGCCTGACTGTTTTTCGTATTTTTTTGGTGGAGATGGGGTTTCGCTGTGTTGGCCAGGCTGGTCTCCAGCTCCTAACCGTGAGTGATCCGCCAGCCTCGGCCTCCCGAGGTGCCGGGATTGCAGACGGAGTCTCGTTCACTCAGTGCTCAATGGTGCCCAGGCTGGGGTGCAGTGGCATGATCTCAGCTCGCTACAACCTCCACCTCCCAGCCGCCTGCCTTGGCGTCCCAAAGTGCCGAGATTGCAGCCTCTGCCCGGCCGCCACCCCGTCTGGGAAGTGAGGAGCGTCTCTGCCTGGCCGCCCATCGTCTGGGATGTGAGGAGCCCCTCTGCCTGGCTGCCCAGTCTGGAAAGTGAGGAGCGTCTCTGCCCGGCTGCCATCCTGTCTAGGAAGTGAGGAGCGTCTCTGCCCGGCCGCCCATCATCTGGGATGTGAGAAGCCCCTCTGCCTGGCTGCCCAGTCTGGAAAGTGAGGAGCGTCTCTGCCCGGCCGCCATACCATCTAGGAAGTCACGAGCGCCTCTTCCAGGCTGCCATCCCATCTAGGAAGTGAGGAGCGTCTCTGCCCGGCCGCCCATCGTCTGAGATGTGGGGAGCGCCGCTGCCCCACCGCCCCATCTGGGATGTGAGGAGCGCCTCTGCCCGGCCGCCCCATCTGAGAAGTGAGGAGACCCTCTGCCCGGCAGCCGCCCCGTCTGAGAAGTGAGGAGCCCCTCCGCCCGGCAGCCACCCCGTCTGGGAAGTGAGGAGCGTCTCTGTCTGGGAAGTGAGGAGCGTCTCCGCCTGGCAGCCGCCCCGTCCGGGAGGGAGGTGGGGGGGTCAGCCCCCCGCCCGGCCAGCCACCCCGTCCGGCAGGGAGATGGGGGGGTCAGCCCCCCCGCCCGGCCAGCCGCCCCGTCCGGGAGGGAGGTGGGGGGGGTCAGCCCCCCCGCCCGGCCAGCCGCCCCGTCCGGGAGGGAGGTGGGGGGGTCAGCCCCCCCACCCGGCCAGCCTCCCCGTCTGGCAGGGAGGTGGGGGGGGGTCAGCCCCCCCGCCCGGCCAGCCGCCCCGTCCAGGAGGGAGGTGAGGGGCGCCTCTGCCCGGCCGCCCCTACTGGGAAGTGAGGAGCCCCTCTGCCCGGCCACCACCCCATCTGGGAGGTGTACCCAACAGCTCATTGAGAATGGGCCATGATGACAATGGCGGTTTTGTGGAATAGTAAAGGGGGAAAGGTGGGGAAAAGATTGAGAAATCGGATGTTTGCTGTGTCTGTGTAGAAAGAGGTAGACATGGGAGACTTTTCATTTTGTTCTGTACTAAGAAAAATTATTCTGCCTTGGGATCCTGTTGATCTATGACCTTACCCCCAACCCTGTGCTCTCTGAAACATGTGCTGTGTCCACTCAGGTTAAATGGATTAAGGGCGGTGCAAGATGTGCTTTGTTAAACAGATGCTTGAAGGCAGCAGGCTCCTTAAGAGTCATCACCACTCCCTAATCTCAAGTACCCAGGGACACAAACACTGCGGAAGGCCACAGGGTCCTCTGCCTAGGAAAACCAGATACCTTTGTTCACTTGTTTATCTGCTGACCTTCCCTCCACTATTGTCCTATGACCCTGTCAAATCCCCCTCTGCGAGAAACATCCAAGAATGATCAATTAAAAAAAAAAAAAACAAAAAAACAGGGAAATTCAGAAGAATTTTAAGTAGGGGAATAAAATGGGCAAATATGTATTAAGGGATGCTCATTCTGGCAGCAATGGGAGCATACATTAGAGATTTGCCATTTTGGATAAAATATGAGATGTCTAGTAGACGATGGGAATCAAAAATTAAAGAGACAACTGTTATTACTTAGGTGGCTCTCAAAAAAAAAAAAAGAAAATATGGTATTATGGGAAACACATGGGATTTGAATGCCAAAAGTATGTACTTTAACACTGATTTATTTGATCTTTAGTAATCCCTTGACCCCCTTGAGCCTTAGTTTGTGTATTCATTCATCTAAACATTTAGTGAATGTACACTGTATGCCTTTTACACAGATGAAAGAGAGACAAACCTTGACCTGGAGATGCTTAAAGGTACAAAAACGAAAATATAATGGAATGTTTCCTCATTTGTAGAATTAGAATAACTATAGCAAACAGTATCATCTACTGCATGGATTCGGTGAGGAAATTACCAGATAATTAATAGTACTTAACTTCTAATGTTTTATAAAACTGCTTTGTAGGTGGGAGGAGCCAAGATGGCCGAATAGGAAAAGCTCCGGTCTACAGCTCCCAGCGTGAGCAACGCAGAAGACGGGTGATTTCTGCATTTCCATCTGAGGTACCGGGTTCATCTCACTAGGGAGTGCCAGACGGTGGGTGCAGGTCAGTGGGTGCGCACACCGTGCGCGAGCGGAAGCAGGGCGAGCCATTGCCTCACTCGGGAAGCGCAAGGGGTCAGGGAGTTCCCTTTCCTAGTCAAAGAAAGGGGTGACAGACGGCACCTGGAAAATCGGGTCACTCCCACCCGAATACCGCGCTTTTCCGACGGGCTTAAAAAACGGCGCACAAGAGATTATATCCCGCATCTGGCTCGCACCTGGCTTGGAGGGTCCTACGCCCACGGAGTCTCGCTGATTGCCAGCACAGCAGTCTGAGATCAAACTGCAAGGCGGCAGCGAGGCTGGGGGAGGGGTGCCCACCATTGCCCAGGCTTGCTTAGGTAAACAAAGCAGCCTGGAAGCTCGAACTGGGTGGAGCCCACCACAGCTCCAGGAGGCCTGCCTGCCTCTGTAGGCTCCACCTCTGGGGGCAGGGCACAGACAAACAAAAAGACAGCAGTAACCTCTGCAGACTTAAATGTCCCTGTCTGACAGCTTTGAAGAGAGCAGTGGTTCTCCCAGCACGCAGCTGGAGATCTGAGAACGGGCAGACTGCCTCCTCAAGTGGGTCCCTGACCCCTGACCCCTGACCCCCAGGCAGCCTAACTGGGAGGCACCGCCCAGCAGGGGCAGACTGACACCTCGCACGGCCGGGTACTCCAACAGACCTGCAGCTGAGGGTCCTGTCTGTTAGAAGGAAAACTAACAAACAGAAAGGACATCCACACCAAAAACCCATCTGTACATCACCATCATCAAAGACCAAAAGAAGATAAAACCACAAAGATGGGGAAAAAACAGAGCAGAAAAACTGGAAACTCTAAAAAGCAGAGCGCCTCTCCTCCTCCAAAGGAACGCAGTTCCTCACTAGCAACGGAACAAAGCTGGACGGAGAATGACTTTGACGAGCTGAGAGAAGAAGGCTTCAGACGATCAAATTACTCTGAGCTACAGGAGGACATTCAAACCAAAGGCAAAGAAGTTGAAAACTTTGAAAAAAATTTAGAAGAATGTATAACTACAATAACCAATACAGAGAAGTGCTTAAAGGAGCTGATGGAGCTGAAAACCAAGGCTCGAGAACTAGGTGAAGAATGCAGAAGCCTCAGGAGCCGATGCGATCAACTGGAAGAAAGGGTATCAGCAATGAAAGATGAAATGAAGCGAGAAGGGAAGTTTAGAGAAAAAAGAATAAAAAGAAATGAGCAAAGCCTCCAAGAAATATGGGAATATGTGAAAAGACCAAATCTACGTGTGACTGGTGTACCTGAAAGTGACGGGGAGAATGGAACCAAGTTGGAAAACATTCTGCAGGATATTATCCAGGAGAACTTCCCCAGTCTAGCAAGGAAGGCCAACATTCAGGTTCAGGAAATACAGAGAACGCCACAAAGATACTCCTCGAGAAGAGCAACTCCAGGACACATAATTGTCAGATTCACCAAAGTGGAAATGAAGGAAAAAATGTTAAGGGCAGCCAGAGAGAAAGGTCGGGTTACCCACAAAGGGAAGCCCATCAGACTAACAGCAGATCTCTCGGCAGAAACGCTACAAGCCAGAAGAGAGTGGGGGCCAATATTCAACATTCTTAAAGAAAAGAATTTTCAACCCAGAATTTCATATCCAGCCAAACTAAGCTTCATAAGTGAAGGAGAAATAAAATACTTTCCAGACAAGCAAATGCTGAGAGATTTTGTCACCACCAGGCCTGCCCTAAAAGAGCTCCTGAAGGAAGCGCTAAACATGGAAAGGAACAACTGGTACCAGCCGCTGCAAAATCATGCCAAAATGTAAAGACCATCGAGACTAGGAAGAAACTGCGTCAACTAATGAGCAAAATAACCAGCTAACATCATAATGACAGGACCAAATTCACACATAACAATATTAACTTTAAATGTAAATGGACTAAATGCTCCAATTAAAAGACACAGACTGGCAAATTGGATAAAGAGTCAAGACCCATCAGTGTGCTATATTCAGAAAACCCATCTCACGTGCAGAGACACACATAGGCTCAAAATAAAAGGATGGAGGAAGATCTACCAAGCAAATGGAAAACAAAAAAAGGCAGGGGTTGCAATCCTAGTCTCTGATAAAACAGACTTTAAACCAACAAAGATCAAAAGAGACAAAGAAGGCCATTACATAATGGTAAAGGGATCAATTCAACAAGAAGAGCTAACTATCCTAAATATATATGCACCCAATACAGGAGCACCCAGATTCATAAAGCAAGTCCTGAGTGACCTACAAAGAGACTTAGACTCCCACACATTAGTAATGGGAGACTTTAACACCCCACTGTCAACATTAGACAGATCAGCGAGACAGAAAGTCAAAAGGATACCCAGGAATTGAACTCAGCTCTGCACCAAGCGGACCTAATAGACAGCTACAGAACTCTCCACCCCAAATCAACAGAATATACATTTTTTCAGCACCACACCACACCTATTCCAAAATTGACTACATACTTGGAAGTAAATGTAAAAGAACAGAAATTATAACAAACTGTCTCTCAGACAAAGTGCAATCAAACTAGAACTCAGGATTAAGAATCTCACTCAAAACCGCTCAACTACATGGAAACTGAACAACCTGCTCCTGAATGACTACTGGGTACATAATGAAATGAAGGCAGAAATAAAGATGTTCTTTGAAACCAATGAGAACAAAGACACAACATACCAGAATCTCTGGGACACATTCAAAGCAGTGTGTAGAGGGAAATTTATAGCACTAAATGCCCACAAGAGAGCAGGAAAGATCCAAAATTGACACCCTAACATCACAATTAAAAGAACTAGAAAAGCAAGAGCAAACACATTCAAAAGCTAGCAGAAGGTAAGAAATAACTAAAATCAGAGCAGAACTGAAGGAAATAGGGACACAAAAAACCCTTCAAAAAATTAATGAATCCAGAAGCTGGTTTTCTGAAAAGATCAACAAAACTGATAGACCGCTAGCAAGACTAATAAAGAAGAAAAGAGAGAAGAATCAAATAGATGCAATAAAAAATGATAAAGGGGATATCACCACCGATCCCACAGAAATACAAACTACCATCAGAGAATACTACAAACATCTCTATGCAAATAAACTAGAAAATCTAGAAGAAATGGATAAATTCCTCGACACATACACCCTCCCAAGACTAAACCAGGAAGAAGTTGAATCTCTGAATAGACCAATAACAGGAGCTGAAATTGTGGCAATAATCAATAGCTTACCAACCAAAAAGAGTCCAGGACCAGATGGATTCACAGCCGAATTCTACCAGAGGTACAAGGAGGAACTGGTACCATTCCTTCTGAAAGTATTCCAATCAACAGAAAAAGAGGGAATCCTCCCTAACTCATTTTATGAGGCCAGCATCATCCTGACGCCAAAGCCGGGCAGAGACACAAGCAAAAAAGAGAATTTTAGACCAATATCCTTGATGAACATTGATGCAAAAATCCTCAATAAAATACTGGCAAACCGAATCCAGCAACACATCAAAAAGCTTATCCACCATGATCAAGTGGGCTTCATCCCTGGGATGCAAGGCTGGTTCAATATACGCAAATCAATAAATGTAATCCAGCATAGAAACAGAACCAAAGACAAAAACCACACGATTATCTCAATAGATGCAGAAAAGGCCTTTGACAAAATTCAACAGCCCTTCATGCTAAAAACTCTCAACAAATTAGGTATTGATGGGACATATTTCAAAATAATAAGAGCTATCTATGACAAACCCACAGCCAATATCATACTGAATGGGCAAAAACTGGAAGCATTCCCTTTGAAAACAGGCACAAGACAGGGATGCCCTCTCTCACCACTCCTTTTCAACCTAGTGTTGGAAATTCTGGCCAGAGCAATTAGGCAGGAGAAGGAAATAAAGGGTATTCAATTAGGAAAAGAGGAAGTCAAATTGTCCCTGTTTGCAGACGACATGACTGTATATCTAGAAAATCCCATTGTCTCAGCCCAAAATCTCCTTAAGCTGATAAGCAACTTCAGCAAAGTCTCAGGATACAAAATCAATGTACAAAAATCACAAGCATTCTTATACACCAGTAACAGACAAACAGAGAGCCAAATCATGAGTGAACTCCCATTCACAATTGCTTCAAAGAGAATCAAATACCTAGGAATCCAACTTACAAGGGATGTGAAGGACCTCTTCAAGGAGAACTACAAACCACTGCTCAAGGAAATAAAAGAGGATACAAACAAATGGAAGAACATTCCATGCTCATGGGTAGGAAGAATAAATATTGTGAAAATGGCCATACTGCCCAAGGTAATTTACAGATTCAATGCCATCCCCATCAAGCTACCAATGACTTTCTTCACAGAATTGGAAAAAACTACTTTAACGTTCATATGGAAACAAAAAAGAGCCCGCATCGCCAAGTCAATCCTAAGCCAAAAGAACAAAGCTGGAGGCATCATGCTACCTGACTTCAAACTATACTACAAGGCTACAGTAACCAAAACAGCATGGTACTGGTACCAAAACAGAGATATAGATCAATGGAACAGAACAGAGCCCTCAGAAATAATGCCGCATATCTACAACTATCTCATCTTTGACAAACCTGAGAAAAACAAGCAATGGGGAAAGGATTCCCTATTTAATAAATGGTGCTGGGAAAACTGGCTAGCCATATTTAGAAAGCTGAAACTGGATCCCTTCCTTACACCTTATACAAAAATCAATTCAAGATGGATTAAAGACTTAAACATTAGACCTAAAACCATAAAAACCCTAGAAGAAAACCTAGGCATTACCATTCAGGACATAGGCATGGGCAAGCACTTCCTGTCTAAAACACCAAAAGCAATGGCAACAAAAGCCAAAATTGACAAATGGGATCTAATTAAACCAAAGAGCTTCTGCACAGCAAAAGAAACTACCATCAGAGTGAACAGGCAACCTACAAAATGGGAGAAAATCTTCGCAACCTACTCATCTGACAAAGGGCTAATATCCAGAATCTACAATGAACTCAAACAAATTTACAAGAAAAAAACAAACAACCACATCAAAAAGTGGGCGAAGGACATGAACAGACACTTCTCAAAAGAAGACATTTATGCAGCCAAAAAACACATGAAAAAATGCTCATCATCACTGGCTATCAGAGAAATGCAAATCAAAACCACAGTGAGATACCATCTCACACCAGTTAGAATGGCAATCATTAAAAAGTCAGGAAACAACAGGTGCTGGAGAGGATGTGGAGAAATAGGAACACTTTTACACTGTTGGTGGGACTGTAAACTAGTTCAACCATTGTGGAAGTCAGTGTGGCGATTCCTCAGGGATCTAGAACTAGAAATACCATTTGACCCAGCCGTCCCATTACTGGGTATATACCCAAAGGACTATAAATCATGCTACTATAAAGACACATGTGCACGTATGTTTATTGCGGCATTATTCACTATAGCAAAGACTTGGAACCAACCCAAATGTCCAACAATGATAGACTGGATTAAGAAAATGTGGCACATATACACCATGGAATACTATGCAGTCATAAAAAATGATGAGTTCATGTCCTTTGTAGGGACATGGATGAAATTGGAAATCATCATTCTCAGTAAACTATTGCAAGAACAAAAAACCAAACACCGCATATTCTCACTCATAGGTGGGAATTGAACAATGAGAACACATGGACAGAGGAAGGGAAACATCATACTCTGGGGACTGTTGTGGGGTGGGGGGAGGGGGGAGGGGGGAGGGATAGCATTGGGAGATATACCTAATGCTAGATGACGAGTTAGTGGGTGCAGCGCATCAGCATGTCACATGTATACATACGTAACTAACCTGCACATTGTGCACATGTACCCTAAAACTTAAAGTATAATAAGAAAAAAAAAATACAAAAAAAGTGCTTTGTAAACTACAAAGCAGTGCAGTGGCGCTATCTTGGCTCACTGCAACCTCCACTTCCTGGGTTTAAGCGATGCTCCTGCCTTAGCCTCCCAAGTAGCTGGGATTAGAAGTGTGTGCCACCATGCCCAGCTAATTTTTGTATTTTTAGTAGAGGCAGGGTTTTGCCATGTTGGCCAAGCTGGTCTTGAACTCCCAACCTCAGTGATCCACCTGCCTCAGCCTTCTAAAGTGCTGGGATTACAGGCTTTAGCCACCACACCCAGCCCCATAAACAGTTTTTAATGAAGGTTCTTCTAATTTCTTTTTTGGAATAAATGAAGAAATTGGAACCCTGGTTCAAGCTCTTGTCAGCCTACTTCCCAGTTATACATTTAGAATGTGAGTAGTTTTTATGTTTCTTCTTTTGTGTTAAATTGGTATATAATTCACATACCACAAAACCCACCAGTTTACAGTGTACAATTCAGTGGTTTTTAGTACACTGACAAGGCTGTGCAACTGACACCAATTCCAGAATATTTTCATTACCACAAAAAAAACCCCACACCCAAGAGCACTTAGTTCCCATTTCTTCCTCCCTCCAGCCCCTGGTAACCACTACTGTCCTTTCTACCTCTATGAAGTTGCCTATTCTGGACCTTTCATATAAATGAAGTTGGACAATATGTGGCCTTTTGTGTCTGGCTGTATTCGCTTAGAATAGTTTAGTATGGTTCATCATATTGTTGCACGTTTCATGTTTTTGTGACTGAATAATATTCCACTGTATGAATATACCATATCTGTGGTTTACCCATTCATCAGTTCATGGGCATTTCGTCTGTTTCCACTTTCTGGGGGATTATGAATAATGCTGCTATGGACATTCATGTACAAGTTTTATGTGGACATGTTTTCTGTTCTCTTGGGAATATACCTAGGAGTGGAATTTTGAGTCATATGCTAACTCTGTGTTTAATTTTTTGAAGAACTGAGTAGTTTGATTTTGTTAACTGCTTTTCTAACCTTAATTCACAAAAGCCTCTAATGAAGGAATGGTAAAAAGCCATTGCAAATGCATGTGAAAAATAATGCAAAGGGATACAATAAAGGAAATCCACACAGCTCCCATAAAACCAAACTGCATTAGGTGTTATTGCTTGTGGAGTTCCAATTTAATGGTAGGTGTTCCTTTTGAGTTGTATTAGGGTGGTAAACTTTTCTGAGGTTATGTGCAATTATGTTTTAGCTGTCATCCTCTGGATTAAAAAAAAAATCCCTCAGGTTCCAAAGTGAACAATGTTGTAAAAATGAGCTAAATGGGAAAGCTTGACTTATGACTTAGTGCACTTAATTTTCCTTGTTGGAGATCTGTACCTCTCTGAGAGGGAAAACAATGGTCATTTCACTTATAAGGGGCCTTTTTTTAGTAGGAAGAAAAAAAAAAGACAAGGGAGCAAAACTGTTTAGTTCTGGTACATGGATAAAAGATGCTTACCTACTTTAAAACAAAAGGTGAGAAGAGTTTTTTTAGTCCCAAGTTGCAAGATAGGTTATTTTTACTGAAACATGTGATTTTAAACGAAATGTTTATTAGACTAGGTAGCTATTATTACATACATGTTACTCAACTTGGAGAGACCTAGAGGCAGTTACTAGCTGTCAATAGACATAAAACACAAAAACACCTTTAAATTTTTCCTTTAGCAAAGTCAGTTCTTTCATGTGTACCTTCTTCCTAGAGGACATTATTAAAGTTGTGAGTGTCAGTATGCATATTCTTTTAAACTCTTAAATTGTCACCTTCTGCTTCTCTATGTTTCTATCCCTTTCCTATCCACTCATGCCTGAGCTTCCCGAACATATGTCTTTATCCGTGTCAATACTTCCATCTTTGTAAATTTGCTTATATTTGGCTCATGAAGCAAAGCAGAATACTACATTCTTTCTTGCAATTATTGTTGTGTAACAAATTAACCTAAAATTTACTGGCTTAGAACTAGAATCATTTTATTTCTCATGATTCAGTGGGTTGACTGGGCAGTTTCTGCTGGTTTTGACTAAGTTATTCATGCAGCTACACTCAGCTGGTGTTACCTGGGGTTGGGGTTTGGTGGGATGACTGCACTGGCCTGCCTCTTCATGGTCTTTCATCCTGAAGGAGAATAGCCTGGCTTTTTTCACATGCTATCTCAGGGCCACACTCCAAGAGGGCAAGTCCCACAGTATAAGGGCTATCAGGGTTCTGCTTGGGTCATGTTCGCTGATGTCTCCTTGGCCAAAGTCAGTGTGGGTTGGGGCTAATAATGGTATGAATACTGGGGAGGCATGAATTATTGGGGGCCATTAGTGTAGCATTTTATACCTGAATGTTCATTAAGGTAAACTGTATTTTTCTTTTTTCTCCTCACTTTTCAGTTTGGGGAGTTTCAGTTGACATATCTTCAAGGTCACTAATTCTTTCCTTGGCCAGGTCTAAGCCCATCAAAGGCATTCTTCATTCCTATTTACAGCAAGCCACTTGTCCAACCCACTGCCCGCAGGCCACATGTGGCCCAGGGTGGCTTTGAATGTGGCCCAACACAAATTCATAAACTTTCTTAAAACATCATGAGTTTTTTTTTTTTTTAATTTTTAGTTCATCAGCTGTCATTAGTGTTAGTGTATTTTATGTGTGGCCCAAGACAATTCTTCTTCTTCCAGTTTGGCCCAGGGAAGCCAAAAGATTGGACATGCCTGTATTACAGTGTTTTTTATTTCTAGCATTTTTTCCATCAGAGCTCTTAGCATATTAATCACAGGCTCACTGCAACCTCCAACTCCTGGGTTCAAATGATTCTCCTGCCTCAGCCTCCCAAGTAGCTGGGATTACAGGCACATACCACCATACCCAGCTAATTTTTTTGTGTTTTTAGTAGAGACAAGGTTTCACCATGCTGGCCAGGATGGTCTCAAACTTCTTACCTCAGGTGAGGCCAGAGGTCACTTTGGCCTGCCCAAGTGCTGGGATTACAGGCGTGAGCCACCGCGCCTGCCCTTTATTTATTTATTTAACACAGGGTCTTGGTCTGTCATCCAGGCTGAAGTGCAGTGATGCGATCTTGGCTCACTACAGCCTCGATATCCTGGGCTTTAGGCCCACCTCAGCCTCCTGTGTAGCTGAGAATACAGGCAAGTGCCATCACGTCTGGCTAATTTTTGTTATTTCTCGAGCCCAGTCTCGAACCCCTGGGCTCAAGCAATCTGCCTGCCTTGGCATCCCAAAGTGCTGGATTACAGGTGTGAGCCACCACACCTAGCCCACAGTTATTTTAAATTCCCTGTCTCTATAATTTGACAGTCTTTGCCATAACTGAGTCTAGTTCTTCTACTTGCTTTATCCATTCAGAGTGTGTGGCTTTTGTTTGTTTTGCCTTTTAGTGTGGCTTGTAATTTGTTGTTGAAAGCTGTACATGATGTATTGCATAAAAGGAACATGGTAAGTAGTCATTTAGTGTGAGGTTATCTAGCTATGAGTTAGGCTGCCTTTGCTGGTAGTTGCAGCTGTAGATGTCAGAGACGAAAACATCATCTAATGCTTATTTTTGTTTCCTCTGTAGTATTTGGGTTTCCCTAGAGACTCCTTATTATTTATTGTTATTGACTTCTTCATCCTCTCATTATGAAACACTAGAGATTCCTTCTGAAATAGGGCCTGAGCTTTGCTCAACTATAATCCCTATTATTATATAGCAGACTGATTAATGTGATGGCAAGGCGTCAGGGGAGGGTAAGTGTTTAATGGTCCTTTAACTGTTAGTCTTGTCCCCCCAACCACCCACCTGCCCCTTAGGTGAGATAGGCTAAAGGGGGCTGGAGTTGGGTATTTCACTTCTCTCATGTCAGTTAGACTCTGGTAAAACCCAGCTTGGTTAGGTGTTGGTAAAATAGTTTCCCTTGAGGACAGGCCTTTGTTAAGGAGAGCAGTAACTCTGGAAGTTTGTTTGTTTGTTTTTTAAAATGTTTACTCTCTTCCCTCTACACACACAGAAACACAAGGGCATTTTCCCCTCAGCTTTTGACCCTGAGAACTTGATAGGTACTCTAAGGCTGGGCCTCCAGGAGTTCTTAATGTTTTAAACGAGTCTCATTCTCAGTCTCTAGCAATTAGTCAATCGCCCTTGAAGTGTTCCTACCAGTTGCTGGCTCTAGCTGCGGCTTCTACTCAGTAATCTGTGATTCTCTGTATTTGTCTGTTCTGGTTTTGGGGGCAGTGGTCTGTCCCGTGTCTTCATTCTTTGATGGATCTAAGAAGAGCTGTTGATTTTCAGTTTGTTCTTTTTTTTTGGTGAGGATAAGAGTACAACTTCCAACCTCTTTACATGTTGGATGGGAAACCACAAGATCTCAAAACTATAGTGGTTAAAATATTTTGTAAAATTTTATTTTAATTTTATTAAAAAAATTTTTTTTTTTTTCAGATCTAGGCCTGCAGAGGTTAAAAGATTTTTCACTCATTATTCATTCTTTTGTTCTTTCTTATCTATCCTTTACATTTAAGTATATTTAAAAAAATGGGCAACCAGGCCTATTTTATTTTATTAAATAATTTTCGTTTCTTCTGTTTCAACAAAACCTACATTCAAAAGGCCTATTTTAGATTTTTTATTGACATCTTTAAAACGTAAAATATAGCACTTTGGGAGGCCAAGGCTATATTTTGAGCCCAAGAGTTCAAGGCCAGCCTGGGCAACATGGTGAAACCTCACCTCTACAAAAAATAAAAAATAAGCTGGGTGTGTTGGTGCACACCTGTAGTCCCAGCTACTAGGGAGGCTGCAGTGGGAGGATCTCTTGAGCCCAGGAGGTTGAGGCTGCAGTCAGTTATAATCACAGCACTGCACTCTAGCCTTGGTGACAGAGTGAGACCTTGTCTCAAATAAATAAATACAAATAAAGTAAAATCTTGAAATAAAGGAGGATTAATCTTCTCAATTACTACTTTTGGTGAATATACATAATTAAGTTAAATGTATTATTATTATGGTTAGTAAACTGTTCACTAAACTGTAATGAAAAATAAATGTTTTGTGTAAAGAACAATTAAAAAATAAAATTCCAGGCTATTTACCAAGTTATTCAGAAATTCTAGAGCAACTAAGTGAAACCAATGGGAATATCTGTCTAGAATATGAGTTTTTCCTCAATGAAGTTAAGAAATAAAGAGAAAACATTTAAAGATATTATAGTTTTTGTGTCTACTATAGCGTTAAAAAACCAGAACAAGATTTTTCTTTTTTGATTGTTAAATTATTTTTGTGTGTATTCTCCTAATAAAGTTACATTTCCCATTATGTTGACTTTGCTAATGCTACATCTGCATTTCTTCTTACTCACTTCTTCTGGTCCATGCATACCAATCCTTCAAATGACGACTTCCTTGACAAAGTGTTACCTGATCAATTCAGTCAATAATGGTCTTTCTTTGAACTCTATTGCACTTATTGCTTTGTAATGACTATTTATGAGGGTATTTTCAAATGTATATGTCTGGCTCCTAATATATAAAGTTCTTGATAATGGTAACCTCATCTAAGTATATTTTCATATTCACAGCACCTGGCAAAGTATCATGCACAGTTATCCAGCAAACAAGGTCAAGGGTATCAGATTTCTAGGACGTCTTGTAGAATATGGAATCCTAGTTCTTTCATAAGACTCCATTCTGGACACCTAAGTTTATAGAAGAAAGGGCTAATGAATAGTGAAGTCAGTCACTTATAAACACCCTTCTGAGAAATCTTTCATTAGCAGCTCATCTTGTTCTCTAGCGCTGCAAATAAATTATAGACTCTTTAGGACAATGAATATATTTCACACTTCTCCTCAATGTGCCTGGGATTACAGCTTGTATTTGGTAGATGTTCAAAAATACTTTTTCTACTTAATATATATATATATTTAAAACTTTATTTTAAGTTCCGGGATATATGTGCAGAATGTGCAGGTTTGTTACATAGGTACACATGTGCCATGGTGGTTTGCTGCACCTATCAACCCATCATCTAGGTTTCAAGCCCCACATATATTAGGTATTTGTTCTAATGCTCTCCCTCCCCTTGCCCCCGACTCCCCTCAATAAATTTTTGAATAATAATAAAAAAATCTTCAGAGCAACCCACTGTGGAGTTTGCTGTATATGTGCACCATCCCCCACACCTCCACAGCTAACACACACTTTACAAATGATTCTGATGCTCTTGAACTTTTCAATTGTCCATTCTCTAAGACTCTCTTAACAATTTCTATTTATTCTCTTGCTTTCATCTTTTTTTCACTTGCTCCTACTTATTTTATAGATTTGTCCTTATAAGTTTCTTTTTATTTTATTTTTCCTACCCCTTACCCTTATTTAACCTCATCTCTTCTTTAGTTCTTTGTAAATGTGTGGTTGTGTTTGTATGTTGAGGGCAGGGTGGTGGTGCTACAAAATCACTCAATTTTGAAGACATAGGTTATTAAAGTTTTATAGCCCATTATTGTTTCACTGGAAGAATCATCACACAAAACTGGTAGAAAGGAGACCCTTGATTGTCATTTCCAGGAAAGAACCAGTTGAAGTAAATAACAGTACTCCCAATTTTCTCTTCTCATCTCTATGGCATTCCTGTCTCTCATGTCATTTATCCATATGCCACAATCACCTAGTACACTGCTACTATTATTACTTTAAACAAAGTTTTTTTTAGCTCAATTAAGAATAAGAAAAATAAAAGACCTTATTTTACATCCAGGTATTCCTTCTCTAATGTTCTTCCTTCCTTATGTAGATACAAGTTTCTGACTTATCATATTCCTTCTCCTTGAATAACTTATTTTAACATTTCTTGATCAATGTCCTCATTTCTTAATCAATTTCCTCAGTTTTTGTTTGTCTGATAGCCTTTATTTCTCCCTCACTTTCTTTTTGTTGTTGTTGTTGTTTTAATTTCTTCTAAAAAACAAAACAAAATGGGATACATGTGCAGAATGTGCAGGTTTGTTACATAGGTATACGTGTGCCATGGTGGTCTGCTGGACCTATTGACCTGTCTTCTAAGTTCCCTCCCCTCACCCTGCACCCCCCAACAGGCCCTAGTGTGTGCTGTTCCCCTCTCTGTGTCCATGTGTTCTCAATGTTCAACTCCCACTTATGAGTGTATTTCTCCCTCACTTTAAAAAGATAATTTTGCTGGATACAGAATTGTAGGTTGGTGTTTTTTTCTTTTGGCATTACAACACTTTAAATATTTCACTGCATTTTCTTTTTACTTGCATGCTTTCTGAGAAGAAGGTAGCTGTAATTCTAATCTTGTTCTGCTATAGGTATTTTTTCCTCTAGCTTATTTCAAGATTTTTCTTTGTCTTTGCTCTTCTGCAGTCTGACAATGATATGCATAAGTGTAGTTTTTTTTTTTTTTTGGTATTTATCCTGCATGGTGTGGTCTGAGCAACCCGAACCTGTGGTTTGGTGTGTCATTACTTTTAGAAGATTCTTGGCTATTAATTACTTCACCTATTTCTTTTGCTCTGTTCTCTCTTCTCCTTCTGATACTCTAATTTTCCTTATCGTCTGCTCTTGCAGTTTGTTTGCTTACAATGCTCCACTATTATATTGAGCCCTGGGGTGTGGTGGTAAAGTGCTGAGGTGGGGGGAAGCATTCTAAAATTTTATGATTTTAGAATAATCAGTCTTGAAAACCAAAAATAAAATCCCAAGCCCCGCAACCAACTGAACTGAGCCCTCCTGGGCCACAGGAAACCTGAAAACTGAATTCCCATTCAAGATTGGAAGGGAGGTTGCCCACGCTTTGCTGTACTCCCTCCCTTTTGGAGTTTAGGCACAACTGATCAGCATTAACATTAAAATAGGGATCCTGGCCAGGTGCCATGGCTCACGCCTGTAATACCAGCACTTTGGGAGGCTGAGGCAGGTGGATCACTTGAGGTCAGGAGTTCAAGAGCAGCCTGGCCAACTGGTGAAACCCCATCTCTACTGAAAAAACAAAAATTAATCCCAGCTACTCGGGAAGCTGAGGTAGGAGAATCGCTTTAACCCAGGAGGCAGAGGTTGCAGTGAGCCGAGATTGTGCCACTGTACTCCAGCCTAGGTGACAGAGCGAGACCCTGTCTCAAAAAAACAAAACAAAACAAAACAACAACAACAAAATTTAGAGATCCTAAGGCTGACAAAACACTCTCTGGCAAAAAGTTACCAGATTCCAGCCTGACTCTGGTATAGCATCACATGACAGATAGCAGGCCCTGAAGGAAATAAAAGTACTTAACTCCAAAATATTGATATATTTCTTTAACATATTTTGAAATGGCCATGCAAAGCTGTCTTTTGTGGAGGAAATGTTACATTTGCAGACAATCTCCAATTATGCAGCTAGGCTTTTCTCAGATCTAGGAGAGATTAAGAGTCTGACATATTTTAAGGTCTGAAAACAGTTAGTTACCTTCTAGTTTCGGAAACCTGCTACCTAGAGGTTTATCCACATAACAAGAACCTTGGCCTCCACAATCCCCCTTCTCTTAACTCAAGCCTTTCTTTCTACTAAGTTTTTAGCTTAACTCTTTCAACCAACTGCCAATCACAAAGTCTTTGAATCCACCTGTGACCTGTAAGCCCCTACCCTTCGAGATGTCTTGCCTTTCCAGGCCAAATCAATGTATATCTTACATGTATTGCTTTATGTATTTACCTATAACTTCTGTCTCCCTAAAATGTATAAAATCTAACTGTAACCTGACCGCCTTGCCACACTTGCTCAGGACATCCTGAGAATGTTCCCCGGGCCATGGTCACTCAAATTGGCTCACAATAAACCTCTTTAAATAGTTGACAGAGTTTGGCTTTTTCATCAACAGTCTTTTGGTAGCTCTACATCCCTGGTCTGAGTTGCACAACACCCACTTGGGTGAGACAGGAAGGCTGAGGGCTTGGAGCCAGGCAAGTGCCTTGGCCTGAGTAAAGTCTGTTCCCTAGAGATGGAGAGAGCCTTGGCCACATTTCAAAATGGTTACTGTTTCTCACCCCTGCCAGAAACGTGAGGGGATCTTTTTTGTTTCTTCATCATGAGAACTACATGACAAAATAATTTTCTCTGACTTTACTTCAGTATGTTTGCCCCATTGATTTTGTATTTCAAATTAGGGAATGCTGAGATATGATAAGCTCTGTAGTATAATTTCTTTTTATAGGGCTCAGAGATTACATTGTGGTAGGTAGTGGAATCAGACTGTTATTACGGATTGAAGTTTAAGAAAACAAAATATTGGTTCTGTTGCAATCAAATCTTATAAAGAAAACAGCAAAATTATTCGGCCATCAACCACAAAACTGTCTAATCTTTTCTATACGTTTACTTGAAACAATTATAGGATGAGTAACTTGAGCTCAAATATTAGTTCCCAGCTTTGCCAGCGTATTAGAATGCCACATCAAATTACCATCATGCACTGTATAACGACATTTCAGTCAACAATGGACCACATAAAAGATGGTGGTCCCATAAAATTATAATGGAACTGAAAAATTCCTATGGCCTAGTGCCATCTTAGCTGTCATGATGTCATAGTGTAAGGCATTACTCATATGTTTGTGGTGATGCAGGGGTAAACAAAACTACTGTGTTGCCAGGTGTATACAAGTATAGCACATACAATTATGTACAGTACATAATAGTTGATAGTGATAAATGATATTACTGATTTATGTATTTAGTATACTGTACTTTTAATCATTCTTTTAGGGTGTACTCCATCTACTTTTAAAAACAAAAAGTTCACTGTAAAACAGCCTCAGGTAGGCCGTTCAGTAGGTATTCCAGAAGAAGGTATTGTCATCATAGGAGATGGACAGCTCCAAGGGTGTTTATTGCCCCTGAAGACTTTCTAGTGGAACAAGATGTGGAGGTGGAAGACACTGATGTTGGTGATCCTGACTCAGTGCAGGCCTAAGCTAATGTGGGTGTTTGTGTCTTAGTTTTTAACTAAAGGTTTAAAAAGTAAAAATAAAACATTAAAAAAAATTTTTGTACACCTGAACAATGTCTTTGTGTTTTAAGCTAAGTTATTACAAAAGGGTCAAAAAACTAAAAAAATTAAAAGTTAACAAGGTAAAGAAGTTACAGTAAGCTAAGGCTAATTTATTATTGAAGAAAAATATTTTTTAAAACAAATTTAGTGTAGGCTGGACACAATGGCTCACACCTGTAATCTCAGCACTTTGGGAGGCTGAGACAGGTGGATCACTTGAGGCCAGGAGTTCAAGACCAGCCTAGGCAACATGGTGAAACCCTATCTCTATTAAAAATACAAAAATTACCCGGGCATCATGGCCCATAATCCCAGTTACTTGGAAGCTGAGGCAGGAGAATTGCTTGAACCTGGGAGGCAGAGGTTGCAGTGAGCCGAGATCACGCCACTGCACTCCAGCCTGGGCAACAAAGCGAGACTCCAAAAAAACCCAAACCAAACCAAACCAAACCAAAACAAAAAAACCAAATTTAGTGTAGGTTAAGCATGCAGTGTGTATAAAATATACAATAGTGCATAGTAATGTCCTAGGACTTCATATTCACTCAAGACTCACCCCAGAGTTAACTTCTAGTTGTACAAGCTACATTCATGGTAAGTGTGGTAACATTTAAAAATCTTTTATACTCTGTTTTCACTGTACCTTTTCTATGTTTAGGTATCTTTACATACACAAATACTTACCACTGTGTTATAACTGCCTACAGGATTTAGTACAGTAACATGCTGTACAGGTTTGTAGCCTAGGCGTAATAATAGGCTATAGCAGCAGTCCCCAACCTGTTTGGCACCAGGAACTGGTTTTGTGGAAGACAATTTTTCCATGGACCCCATGGACCGGGGGTGGGGGATGGTTTTGGGATGATTCAAGCACATTATATTTATTTTGCATTTTATTTCTATTGTTATTACACTGTAATATATAATGAAATAATTATACAACTCACCATAATGTAGAATCGTGGGAGCCCTGAGCTTGTTTTCCTACAACTAGGTGGTCCCATCTGGGGGAGACAGTGACAGATCATCAGGCATTAGATTCTCATAAGGAGTGCACAACCTAGATCCCTGGCAGTGCTGCACAGTTCACAATAGGGTTTGCACTCCTATCAGAATCTTATGCCGCCACTGATCTGACAGGAGGTGGAGCTCAGGCCATAATGTGAGTGATGGGGTGCGGCTGTAAATACAGATGAAGCTTTGCTTGTTTGCCTGCTGTTCACCTCCTGCTGTGTGGCCCCTTTCCTACCAGGCCAGGGACCCATACGGTCCAGGGGGTTGGGGACCCCTGGGCTATACCATCTAGTCTAGGTGTGAAGTAGGCTATACCATCTGGGTTTGTGTAAGTACAATCTATGATGTTTGCAAATGAAATAGCTTAACAATGCATTTTGCAAAACTTACTCTCCCTATTAAGCTATGCATGACTATACTTGATAGTTTCACAAAATTTACCACACAAAAAGTTAAAATGGCATTTCAAATTCAGAGGGGCCACTGCTAATTATTCATTTGTACATTTCTACATAGTAGGGATTAAAAATTAGAAATAATTTGATAGCTCTCTTTACCCCAGGAAAATGATATACCTTGAACAGATATTAACAAAAGTGATGATGACAATGATTAGTAACAACAACAGAAGTTTATTTCCTACATTATATTTTTAGATATCATTACACTTGACGAAAACTTTCAATTATGGGGATATGGAGAAGCTGAATTACTTATAGGTCATTTAGGTCAGTGGCTCCTAAATACCTATTAAGCTTTAAACCAGAGAAAAAAGAGAAAATATAATATGTATACTTCAAACTTTGTGTATAATTATAGTTGTAAAACATCCTTATCTAAGATTTCTCAGGCTCTTTGGACTCCTGAAGGAGCCCCTGGGACGTTATTAGAAATGAAAATTCTGTGGCCCCATAGCAGACCTACTCAGCTGAAACTTTGGTGGTGGGGCCTGGAAAGGTGTGTTTTAATTAACTCTCTAGGTGATTTGATGTATGCTGATGTCTGAGAATCATTATTCTAATCGAAGCTAAAAATGTACTAAACAAACGATATATGCATCAAAGGGAAAGCTGTAATACATCACCAATTTACTAAATTCCTGGCTCATTTTCCCAATAATATGTTTTAAAAGTCCTACTGGATAATAACAATGGACATCAGGATTTTTAAAAACAACAGAGTTTGATAACCACTGCCAATAAGGAGAATATTTGTTCTCTACAGATTTAATCACAGCTGTACTATATACCTGATAATGGGACTCAAACACTTATTTTCAGAATAATTATACCATCTTTTCTAAAATTAATGAAACTTCATGAGAAGAAAGAATCTGAATTTATATTTAGGAGAATTTTTTTTTTTTTTTTTTTGAGACGGAGTCTCGCTCTGTTGCCCAGGCTGGAGTGCAGTGGTGAGATCTTGGCTCACTGCAAGCTCCACCTCCCGGGCTCACGCATTTCTCCTGCCTCAGCCTCCCAAGTAGCTGGGACTACAGGTGCCCGCCAACATGCCCGGCTAATTTTTTGTATTTTTATTACAGACAGGTTTCACCGTGTTAGCCAGGATGGTCTAGATCTCCTGACCTCGTGATCCTCCTGCCTCAGCCTCCCAGAGTGCTGGGATTACAGGTGTGAGCCACCGTGCCCGGCTAGGAGAAAATTTTTATTTTGCCCTTATTTAGAACTAAAAATATCTTACTGAATTTATATTTGTATCAAATCCTTATTCTCACAGTTTCTTGATTTTAAGACAACATTATTAAGGAGCTAGCCAGTGTGACGGGATGAATTGAGGACCCATGAATTCCTACTTCAATCAAGTTCTCAGCAAAAAAAGAAATTTATTTCACATGGGCACTCTATATATGTTATCTTACAATTAATCATGTTATAATCTTTTCTGACAGTGGTCTAAAGTTTTATACAAATCTTAGCAGTAATCTCACTAGCCCTTTAGCAAAAGGGCTGACCTTGTATTGTTTATCTTTGTATCCTCATCAAGGGGTCTGGCACAATACCATATATAAATAGATTTTCCTATTAAATTTATCATCTTGACTGTGTATCTGACATTTAGTATGTTTAAACCTTTTCCATGTAAGCAGAACTACTTTTAAAAGGTTTTCAGTAATACACAGTACTAACAGTTTTACCATACAAAGGAGACATAACAGTGTTACTTATAGTCCCAGATCAGAACATGCAGGGCTAACTCATAGGCTGAACGCTAAGAAGTAAATAGTACTCCCTGTCACATGTTTATATGAGGCTATTGTTATTCTTTTATGTTGAACTAGATAATAGTAGACATTCATTCTTTAATAAATACTTTATAATTTCTTTTAGTGATATCCGAATAAAAGTTGAGATGAGATGGCTACTTATTATTAAGGGGTAAATTATCTCTTTCACCTAGCAAGGTACCATTTAATACACTCAAGTAGTTTAGGAAAGGAGAAACTAGTGGTCTGAAGAATTTAACGTCGAAAGAAAATTATGCCACAACCTTGATAAACTCAGGATTGGTTTTCAGATTAGAAAACTAAATATTAGAAACAAAGATGGCATAGACAAAACATTAAAACCCCTTCTCATAATTTTAAAAATGTCTGCTGTTCCTTCACTGATACACACTAATCAGTATTCTTTAATGTTGTCCTAGCGTTAATTCTTTCCATATTCTACCTTGTGAATGTGTAATTATTTGAAAGGCTGCTGTGCAGGTGTAACTTAAAAAAAAAAAGAAACATAATGAGAAAACACTTAGATAACAGGTATTGCTTCAAGCAGAAATCTGAAAACATCTAGGGGTGCTCAACAACAACAAAACAGAAAAAAATGGGCCTAGGTCTTGAATAGATATTTTTCCAAACAGATATACAAATAAATGGCCAATAAGCAAATACAATACGTGCAATATTGGGAAAATGCAAATCAAAACTACAATGGGATCCCACCTCACACCCAACAGAATGGCTGCCAAAAAGTAAAAATAACTAAATGTTGGCAAGAATGTAGAAAACTGCACCCTGTGTACTGTGGTGGAATATAAAATGGTGTGTAGACCCACCATGGAAAATGGTATAGTGGTTCCTTCAAAAATTACACAGAAGTATCATATGATGCAGCAAGTCTGCTTTTGGGTATATACCCAAAAGAACTGAAAGCAGGGTGTCCAAGTGATATTTGTACACCCATGTTTATAGCAGGATTACGATAGCCAAAAGGAGGAAGCAACCCAAGTGTCCATGAACTGGGGGAGTGAATAGAAAAAATGTGGAATATACCTAAAATGAAATATTATTCAGCCTTAAAGCAAGAAAATTCTGAAACATGCTACGCTGATGCACCTCAAGGACTTTATGCTAAGTGAAATAAACCAGTCACAAAAAGACAAATACCGTGTGATTCCAATTACATTTGGTACCTAGAGCAGCAGTCCTCAAACTTTTTGGCACCAGGAACTGGTTTTGTGGAAGACAATTTTTCCACGGACCAGGGGATGGCTGGGATGGTTTTGGGATGATTCAAGCACATTACATTTATTATGCACTTTATTTCTATTATTATTACATTGTAACATGTAATGAATTATACAACTCACCATAATGTAGAATCAGTGGGAGCCCTGAGCTTGTCTTCCTGCAACTAGACAGTCCCATCTGGGGGTGATGGGAGACAGTGACAGATCATCAGGCATAGATTCTCATAAGGAGCGTGCAGCCCAGATCCCTTACACGAACAGTTCACAATAGGGTTCATGGTCCTGTGAGAATCTAATGCAGCGGCTGATCTGACAGGAGGCAGAGCTCAGGCTATAATGTGATTGATGGGGAGCAGCTGTAAATACAGATGAAGCTTTGCTTGCTCACCTGCTGCTCACCTCCTGCTATGTGGCCCGGTTCCTAACAGGCCATGGATTGGTACTGGTCTGTGGCCTGGGGGATGGGCACCCCTGACCTAGAGTACTCAGATTCATAGAGACTGAAGGTAGAATGGTACATGCCATGGGCTGGAGCAGGAGGGAAATGGGGAGTTAGCGTTTAATGGGTACAGAGTTTCAAGTCTGCAAGGTGAAGTGCTCTGGAGAGTAATGATGGTGATGGTTGCACACAGTGTGAATACACTTAGTACTACTGAACTGTATACTTAAAAATGGTTAAGATGATATATTTTATGTTTATATGTATTTCACCACAATTTAAAACAAAAATGAAAAGTCCCCACCCCTGCCAAATATGGTGGTGATGCTAAGAAAAACTGTCCATGGTCCCATATAAAAATGTAATTTTGTCCAATACATATATTATTAGCATTTTTATCCCCAGTAAAATCTTTCCATGGCATCTGACAGCCCACTTGTTATAGCTAAATTTTGTCAACCACACCTATACCAACCCTGCCGAAGATTCACCCTTGGTAACAAGCTTCCATAACAAAAATTTCAAAACAACTACTTTATGATTTCAAAGTTTGAATTTCTGTGAGTCATTCCTTCCCTCAGTGACTCCAACAGGTACCTTAAAACTAGCTGACTTTATAAGCTTAGAGTATTTCTAAGATACACATCATATTCCCTTTTCTTCCTAAACTGCTTCTAAAGATAATAAATTCAGCATTTTAGCTAATAGAAATGCTTTCGTATTTTGTTAGCTTTTGGTTTTTAAAACATTTGTTTTTATTTCTATTATAGCTCTTTTAACTATTTCTTGTCTGACTGTTATGCTAAGGAGGTATGCATACACACATCATTTGTACCAGGTGGTATTAAAAGTAAAATAAGGTTTAATGAACCACTGACAGGCAGAGCAGTAGCTGAATGCCTGGGTCCCTTTCCCCCTACCATCCTGTATTATTAAGGTGCATGCATCAACTGCAGCAGGATGCACCATGGAAAATACTCAAGTGCCCCAGTCTTTGTGGCATTTTAAATTTTATATGGACATTGGAAGAAGACTGGGAATATCTAGAAGACATGAGAGCTTCCTGGCTGAGAAAACTGTCTTTGTTAGAAAGGAGGAGTGTCAGGAACTAAGCTTCAATTATTAGGCTGTTGTATTCTCTAAACTCATATGCTGAGCCAGCACTTTGCTAAACTATCAAAAGACAGGTCCCAGGACCATCAGATGTACCTCTCCTGCCTCTCCAAATCTTTTCCTAATTCATCTGTCTGTTTACAATGCCACATGATGCCTGGCAAATAATACTACTATTTACATAGGAAGGTGGGAAGGATTTCCAAATATCCGTAGAAGTTTGGAATCATAGCTGAATATTCATAAGTTTATAAAGTTTTGTGATATTTGTGAGTTTTATAGTCTACATCAGGATTTCTCAAGTCAGCACTGTTGACATTTTGGGATGGATAATTTTTTGTTGAGGGAGCTGTTCTATCTGTTATAGTTTGCTTAGCAGCCTCCTGGCCTCTATCCACTAGATGCCAGTAGCACCCTCCCAGTTGTGACAATCAAAAATGCCTGCAGACATTGTCAAATGTCTCCCATGAGTCAAAATCACCCGATTGAGAACCACTGGTCCAAAGACAATTCGTACAAATTTTCAGACTCAGATTCTTAGTGCACTCAATGCAAGTCAGTGTATTTCTGAATCGGGATGAGAAAAAGTAAATTAGGGGGTAAAAACTCCTCATTTCCTGCATAATCAGCCTGGGAGAGGAGAAAAGGATCATTTTTATTGATCAAGGTTTTCTACGCTCTGTGATTATTCTAATAAAGTTATGAGCTTCTAGCCTTCTGAATAAATTTTCTGTGAAAGAAGTTATCTAACTACAGGAAGTAACCAGGCTTTCAGGATTGGAGCAACCAGTGAGAACTCCATACTTCAACAGACTTCATCCTAGGAACACACACAGAGATTGAACATCCACTCCGATCGTATCATCAACCAGTGTGCAATTCAGTTTAATTAATCAGAGTCATAGTTGTTTGTCAATTTCCCCAGCTGGAATTAAATTATCTATCTATCTATCTATCTATCTATCTATCTATCTATCTATCTATCTATCTATCTATCTGAGTCTAACTTTGTTGCCCAGGCTGGAGTGCAGTGGCATGATCTTGGCTCACTGCAACCTCTGCCTCCTGGGTTCATGCTACTCTCCTGCCTCAGCCCCCTGAGTAGCTGCGACTACAGGCGCCCGCCACCACGCCTGGCTAATTTTTATATTTTTAGTGGAGATGGGGTTTCACCACGTTGGTCTGGCTAGTCTCAAACTCCTGACCTCAAGTGATCCACCCACCTCGGCTTCCCAAAGTGCTGGGAACACAGGCGTGATCCACCACGCCTGGCCAGGCATTAAATATTTGATAATAATAGTTAATATTTACTATCTAAGCTATAATACCAACTTGATCTCTCCAGTTGGATCCAAAGAACACATGATTACCTCCCCCATCCCCATCTAAACTGCTCCTCACCAGTCATCTTTCTCAGTAAGAGACAGCTACCCTGCTACCTATGGCTCAAGCCCTCATATCCTGTGATTTATTCTTATTGAGATATAATTCACATGCCATAAAATGTACCTTTAATGTATACAATTCAGCAGTTTGTTAGTATGTTCTCAGAGTTGGGCAAACCTGACCACTATCGAATTCCAGAACATTCTCATCGACCTCAATATGAAACTCCATACCTATCAGCAGTCATCCCATTACTCTCACCTACCAGCCTCTGGGAACCAGAATCTACTTTCTGTCTCTATGGATCTGCTTATTCTAGGCACTTCCTATAAATGGAATAATACCACAAAAATGGCCTTTTGTTTGTGGCTTCTTTCATTTAGCAGGTATTCAAGGTTCTTCCTCAGATTTCACTCTTGATTTCCCTTTTTTCACCCATTCCATAGTAGTCCATGAAGAAGTGCAGTTAATGCCATCTCCTTAACACATCCCTAGCCTGCCCATTTCTCTCCATCACTGCTACCATGTTAGTGTGAGCTGCTGGCATCTTGTGCCTGAATGCTTCCTATACTTCACCTGACTGACATCCCAACAGCCACAACTCAACTCCTAAGTTTTCTACCCAAGAGAGGCCCTCCCTGATCAACCAACTTAAAGTAGCACTCAAACCACTCTCCATTACATGGACCTCTTTTTGCTTTTATTCGTTCACTCAATTATTCAACAAATATTTATTCAGTATTATGATAGTATTTCTCTAGGTGCTGGGAATACAGAAGTGAACAAGACAAAGATCCTTGCTCTCTTATTTTATTTTTTTTTTGAGACGGAGTCTCGCTCTGTCGCCCAGGCTGGAGTGCAGTGGCGCCATCTCGGCTCACTGCAAGCTCTGCCTCCCAGGTTCATGCCATTCTCCCGCCTCAGCCTCCCGAGTAGCTGGGGCTACAGGCGCCTGCCACCATGCCCATTTAATTTTTTTGTATTTTTTAGTAGAGATGGGGTTTCACCGTGTTAGCCAGGATGGTCTCGATCTCCTGACCTCGTGATCCGCCCATCTCGGCCTCCCAAAGTGCTGGGATTACAGGCGTGAGCCACCGCGCCCGGCCTGCTCTCTTATATTCTAATGGAGGTACCACACAATAAAATAATTAGAAGGTGGCAAGTGCTTTGGCACAAGATGAAGTACAGAAGGGGAATAGTGAGGAGTGGGGAGTGTTGTGGTTTTCAAAAAAGTGATTAGGGAAGTGCTCAGTGAGCTGACAGCTGAACAAAGACATGAAGCAGGTAAGCCATGAGGATATCCAAAGACAGGTGTCCCAGGGAGAGGGGATGAGCTTGGTGAATGCAGGGCAGCAAAGGGGCCCGTATAACAGATGCAGAGTTAAGAAGGCGGGAGAGTAGAAGTAGATGCCGTCAGAGAGAGAACAGAGATCCAGAACTTGCAGGGCCCTGGGGGCCACAGGACGTTAACTCACTACCTGGTATTTTCCCATTTTCTCTCTCCCCACCCTCCCGCCCCTTCCACAGAATGTAACTGCCTTGAGAGCAACAACATTATCTGGTTTGTTCAACAATATATACTTACTCAGCCAAGAACTGTACCAGACAGAGTGAAATCATTCAATAAATGCTTACGAGATGAATTTACTGAATAATTACTATGTACCAGGCATTGTATAAGCCCTTAGTATGCATTATCTCATAATTATTGTCACCATTTTACAGTAAGAAAACTGTAGTTTGGGGAGGTTAAATAATTTGCCCAAGGTAACACAGCAGGAGACTGGAAAAGCCAAGACTTGAAATCAGGAGTGCTGACTCCAGAAACTTTATTCCACTACCTTTAAAATAATTTATAAATATGAGGTCATATTATCATTTATTATAAAAGATGGCTAAGACTAGAGAACCTGGAGCCAGGCTGCCTGGGTTCAAATCCAGGCTCTGCCTCATACTAGCTGTGTGACTCTGGGGAAGTCCTTAACTTCTGTATGAATCAGATTCTTCAGCTCTAAAGTGAGGATGACAATAATGAACTACATTACTGGCCTTTGTGAGACTTAAAAAAACTAATCCATGTATAAGAACTTTAAGGTGTTTGGTACGCTAAAAGTACTCATTAAGTGTAAGCTATTATTTATTCCCAGAGTCTTTAAGCCTCATATATCTTTCCAGCTATGAGACTAGTATGAGGCACTGTATCTTCTACAACCTGGAGCTGTACTTCTAGAACAAACGAAAGGACCTGACATCAGGTGGTTAACATTGATGGGCACCAGTCCTTTACTTTAATTGTATCGCTTTTATCTTAGAAGTCAAATATTAATATTTTCTGTTGGCAACCATAAGAAGTTTTGGTGGTAATCAATAAAACTTCTAGTGTGACTCCATGTTTCTCCTGTTTGAAAAATACTGGAGAACGTAATTTCAGAAAAAGCTGATCATCTTATCTGGAATCACTTCTCATCCTACATAAGTGGGATACCGTTAGAGATAACCAACTTCTCTGTTTGTTATTAGGTTTAATCAGTGTTATCACATTTGTAAGAGTAAAACCTTTTGATTGAGGAAGTCAGATGGTCAACCCATCTTCCTTCCATGAGTACAATGCAGGGAGGGGAGAGGAGGGAAGTGAGGGTATCTGGGAATTGAGAGACAAGAGAGATTTAAAAAATATCCTTCCTCACAATTATTCAAATACTTTAAATGTTTATCATTGTCATCCAACTTAGAATAAGAAGGGGGAAAACATAAGGAAGATTGAAAAAATTGAGAATTAAAAATTGAGCCATGAGAAAAGTATTAAAAATCAAGATAGCCAAAGTTCAGTGAAATCTAACGAAGTGGTTCCCACCTACTTTATTACTAAAACTCTTTTATATATTTCTTTTATAGATTTGAAATTGGAATATATTTTGTCTACCAAACTATATTTACTAAAATGTTTCCTATTTTAATCCATCATTGTAACTGTAAAATAAATCATATCCCAAGTATTCATTTAATATTATCTATCTGATCAGAACTACTGATCATTATATAACCAATATTACCATAGTATTGATATAATTCCAATAAAAGCAAAGAAGCATAACATACTGTTACTCTATGGAACCTTATACAAATATACAATGGTATTTTAGGCTGCAAATAGTTACAGATACTATTTTTACCACCACAGATCTTACAGTGATTTTTAAACTAAACTTTTTATTTTGAGATAATTTTAGATTTCCATGCAGATATAGAAATAATGCAAAGATCCCATGTACCCTTTATTCAGTTTTCTCCCATGGTAACATCTTACAAAATGAGAACATATTATCAAAGCCAGTAAAATACTGATTCTGAGACAGTGAAGTCCTGAACGTTTCCATCACCACAAGGATCCCTCATACTGTCTTTTCATAGCCACAACCATTTCCCCGTCACCCACACCTACTCCTAAATCCCTGTCTAACTCTAATTTGTTCTTCATTTCTATAACTTTTTTTCACTTTAGAAATGTTATACAAATAGAATCATATAGTATATAAACTTCTGGGATAGGCTTTTTCTCAATGTAATCCTCTGGAGATTCATCTGGGTTGTTCTGTGAAAAATAGTTTGTTCCTTTTCATTGCTGAGTAGTGTTTCATGGCATGGATGTACCAAAGATTTTAATAAGCCACAGGAGGATGCCTGGGTTGCTTCTAGTTTAGGGCTATTATGAATACAGCTGGTATAAACACTCACGTGTAGATTTTTGAGTGAACATTTAACTTTTCATCTCTCTGGGATAAATGCCTGGGACTGCAATTGCTGGGTCATACAGTAGTTGCATGTCTAGTTTTTTAAGAACTACCAACATTTTCCAGAGTGACTAAAACATTTTACATTCACACAAGCAATATATAAGTGATCTACTGTCTCTGCATCCTCATTAGCATTTGATGTTGTCACTTTATTTTTTTAGCCATTCCGATAGGTGTGTAGTATATCCCATTGTGGTTTTCATGTGCATTTCCCTAATTAAATACTGTTAACGTCTTTTCATGTGCTAATTGCTACCTATGTATCTTCTTCAGTGAAATGTCTCTTCATGTCTCTTGTCCATGTTTTAATTTGACAGTGTGAAGAGTTCTTTATATATTATAGATATTGAACCTTTGTCAGATATGTGATTTGCAAATATCTTTCTTTCAGGCTGTAGATTGTCTTTTCATCCTCTTATCAGGGTCTTTCACAGAGCAAAACTATTTAAGTTTTGATGAAGTCTTGTAAATATTTCCTTTAATGGATCTTGCTTTTGGTGTAAAGTCTAAGGACTCTTTGCCAAGCCTTAAATCCAGAAAATATCCTCATGATTCTTGTTAGAAGATCTATGGTTTCATATTTTACATTTATGTCCATGATCCACTTTGAATTCCTTTTTGTAACTTTGTGAAAAACCTATCTTTCCTTTATTGCTTTTTGCACCTTTGTCAAAAATGAGGTAGGCATGTTTGTATGGGCTTATTTCTGGGTTCTGTCTTCCATTTCATAATCAATGTATCTGTACTTCTGCCAATACCATACAGTCTTGATTACTGCAGCTATAAAATAAGTCTTGAAATTACATAGACGAATTCCACCTATTTTATTCTTCTTTTTCCAATTGTTTCAGTTCTATTAGGTTGGTGCAAAAGTAATTGTGGTTTTGCCATTAAAAAATGACAAAAAGCACAATTACTTTTGCAGTAACTTAATAGCTCCTTGGCCTTTCCATATATATTTTCTAATGAAATTGTCTATATCTACAAAATATCCTTCCGGGGACGTGGAAAGGAATTGTGTTAAACCTGCAAGGCAATTTATGGAAAACTGATATCTCTCTCTGTTAAATCTCCCAATCTATGAACCTTGCGTATCTCTTCATTTATTTAGACGACTGATTTCTCTCACTGGCATTGCGTAGTTTTCAACATATAAGTCCTCTATATGTTTTGTTAAATTTATACTTAAGTATTTCACATTTTTTGAGTGATTGAGAATAGAAATGTATTTTTAATTTTGGTGTCTATGTATCCATTGATAATGTACAGACATACAACTGATTTTTGCGTTCTTGTATCCTGCAACCTTGCTGAATGTACTTCTTGGTTGCAGCAGTTTTTGCTGAGTGTGTGTTTTTTATTCCTGGAGGTCATCTATGTATACAATTATGTCATCTGGAAATAGTGATGGTTTTACTTCTTTGCTTTCAACTTGGTTGCCTTTTGTTTCCTTTTCTTGCCTTATTCCAGTGAATTTACAATTAGAGTGTTTAGAGGCGATATCCTTGCTTAGTTCCTAATCTTCGACGCAGACCATTCAGTCTTTTATCATTAAGCATAAATTCAGCTGAAGGTTTCTTGTAAACATTCTTTATCAAATTCAGGAAGTTATTCTCTATCCCTATTTTTATGACAGTTTTTATCATGAATAGTTTAAACTTCAGTGCTTTTTCGGCATCAGTTAATATGACCATGTGGTTTGTTTTCTTCTTTACTCTGTCAATGTGGTGTACTACACTAATAGATTTTTTAATCTTGAACTGGCATTGTGTCCCTGGCATAACCCCCACTTGATCATGGTGTATAATTATTTCTATATAATGCTGTATGTGTTCTACTCACTAATTTTTTTTCTTTCTTTTTTTTTTTGGTAGAGAAGGGGTCTTACTGTGTATCCCAGGCTGGTCTCAAATTCCTAGGCTCAAGTGATTCTCCCACATCGGCCTCCCAAAGTGCTGGGATTGCAGGCATGGGCTACCATGTTTGTCCCACTAATCATGATTTTTGTATTTATATTCATGAGGACTATCTGTCTACAGGGATTTTGTACTGTCTTTGTCTGGTTTTGGTATCAGGGTAAACCTACAAACCAGAAAATTTTCCTTTTTTTTTCTAAAGGAGATTGTACAGAATTTGAAGTTAACTCTATTTTATTTTTTTGAGACGGGGTCTTGCTGTGTCACCCAGGTTAGAGTGCAGTGGTGCAATTGTGGCTCACTGTAACCTTGACCTCCAGGGCTCAAGTGATCCTCCCACTTCAGCCTCCTGAATTGCTGGGACTATGGGCACATGCCACTACATCTGGCTTATTTAAAAAAATTTTTTTGTAGACACAGGATCTCACTATATTGCCTGGGTTGGTCTCAAACTCCTGAACTCAAGTGATCCTCTCGCCTTGGCCTCCCAAAGTGCTGGGATTACAGGCATGAGCCATCCATCGCACTCTACCAGTTAACTGTATTTTAAATGTGTGGTATAATTCTTACCACTTGGGTCTACCTATTTCTTTTTTGCAAGTTTTAAAATTATGAACCCAATTTCCTTAGTAATTTTAAGATTATTCAAATGATATATTTTATATTGGATAATTTGTGATAGTTTGTGTTTTTCAAGAAGTTTGTCCATTTCTTCTAAGATGTCCAATGCATGTGCATATTATTCCCTTATTATCCTTTTGATATCTTCAGGGTCCACAGTGAGTCATCTGATTCATTCCTGACACTGGCAATTTATGTCTCCTCTCTCTTTTTTTTTGGTCAGTCCTGGTACAGATTTGTCAATTTTGTTTATTTCCTGTTTAACTGATTTTATCTTTTGTTTTGCTGTTTTGAATTTCAATAACTTCTGCTCTTATTTATTTCCTTCCTCTTGTTTACTTTAGGTTTGCTTTTCTATTCATAGGTTGTTGAGGTGGGTGCTTACGTTATTAATCTGAGACTTACTCTTTTCTATTATACACATGCATTGTTATAATTTTCCTCTCAGCACTGCTTTGGCTGTGTCCCCAAGTTTTTGATATGTTGTATTTTTCTTTTCATTCAGCTCAATATATTTTAAGAATTTCCCTTGAAAATTTCTCTTTGACCTCTGGATTATTTAGAAATAAGATGTTTAAGTTTCAAGTGTTTAGAGATTTTACAACAGGAATTTCTGTTGTTGATTTCTATTTTAAGTTCATTGTGGTTGGAGAATACTCTCTATGGTTTCACTTGTTTAAATTTTTTGAGGTTTTTAAATTAAAATTTTTTAATTGCCCAGAACTCAGTCTATTTTAGTATATGCTCCATGGGCATTTGAAAAGAATGTATTGCTGTTGTTGGGCAGATTATTCTATAAATGTCTACTAGATCCTGTTGGTTGATGATATTGCTGAGTTCTGTATCCTTGCTGATTTTCCAACTGTTTGCCAAATCTTGAGAGAGAGATATTGAGGTCTCCAACTATAAATGTAGATTTGTCTATTCGCCTTTCAGTTCAATTTTGGCTTCATACATTTTGCAGCTCTGTTTTTTGATGCAATTAGAATTGCTATGTCACGGGAGGGGAGGGGGCTGAAGGTTGAGCTGATTACTAATGGCCAGTAATTTAATCAATAATGCCTCCACAATGACGCTTCTATAAATCCCAAAAGGATAGGATTTGGAGAGCTTCTGGGTTACTGAATACATCCATGGGCTGGGAGTGTGGTGCACCCCAGGTTCCACAAGACTTGTGCTCAGGACCCTTCTGAACCTTACCTTATGTATTTCTTCATGTGGCTGTTGATCTGTATCCTTCATAATATCTTTATAATAAGCCAGTACATGTAAGTAAGTGTTTCCCTGAGTTCTGTGAGCCATTCCAGCAAATGACTGAACTTGATGAAGGAGTGAGTCATGGGAAATGCCAATTTATAGACTCTCCATCAGAAATACTGGATGCCTGGACTTGTGATTGGCATCCAAAGTGGGGAAAATCTTGTGAGACTGAGCCCTTAACTGTGGGATATGAGTCTGCCTCCAGAAAGTGTCAGAATTGAATTAAATTATGAGATACCTAGCTTGTGTTGGAGAACAGGTTGATGTGGGGTAAAACCCTACATATCTGGTCACAGATGTGTTCTGTGTTGAATGAGTGTGTGTCGTAGAAGACATATTTTTTCCCCTACATCACAGCATGTGATTGCTTAACATCACTTCTTGCATACACTAAGGGTACACAGAAGGCAAAGGTTACTTATGTTTTTCTCAGATATATTAACAAATAGTAACCACAGAGGAAAAAGGAAAATGATTTTGCTCTGGATTTAAACAGTATGGCCAAATAAGTCGTTTATGGGGTAGAAAAGCAATTCTTGGTCTAATAATGTTGTTATTCATAAATGACCAACAACTCACTAGTCTACAAAATTTTGCCAATGTACTCCATTCTATTAAGTTCTTATCAAATATTGTTTAGGCAATTTGGATGCCCATTGCAGATCCCTGGCTAATTTACAAGAGTAGTAAACAAAATCCTAGATTCAAAACCAGAGGAGTTTAAGCTCCTAAAAAGTTCATAATAAATGTACTTTATTTTTATTTTTTAAATCTGTTACAGGAACTATTATTTAGAAAATTAATGACTCCTCTGTAATGTAACTCTCTAATAATGTTTGGCTATTCAGGCTTTGCTAGGAAATGGACTAAGACTGCAGAGTAATGGGTAAGAATGATAATCTATCTGTAAGCAATAGGATAATTGGGCCAGGCCTTTACTGAATAATATTAATTTATGTTGTTGTTGTTATTTCTCTCTGGCAGTGGTTTTCAAACTTTTCTGATCACAGCCCACAATAAAAACTACATCCTATGTTATTACCCAGTGTGAAAACACACACACACACACACACACACACACACACACACACACGCACGCACAACTAAATAAAAATTTCATGAAACAATACTTTACCATCTGGGATGTACTCTGATCAATAGATTGTTTTCTACTGTTCTCTTTTATTCTATTAAGTAAAATACTCTAAAAGCTACTACATTAATTTTATGACCCGACAATGGGTAGTGAGTGACTCTCAGCTGCTCTAGGAGAAAACCAAGGCTGTAGTTTCCGAAATACGTAAATGTAGTCATCCTCTTCCTACAGTGGAACATTCTCTGCTGATGGGGTAGGATGGGATGGAAGGTACGGTTTAGCCCAGTAATGTTTCTTTGGAGTTCAACATGCTTAACATTTAAACTGGGAATTTTCATCCTTTAAAATTTGGGGCAGGGTTTCATGATGGCACTCCCTCAGTCAATTAAATTAAGTGCTACTTCCTTGCTTAGAATACATTTTATGCATGAAATACAGCATATGTTTGAAATATTTTAAAAGCTTTTTCTTAAATTAAAAAGCAATATATATTTAGTAAACAAAAATGCAAAGAAATATATAAAATCCAAAAACCAAGAGATAATCATAGTAACATACGTTAGTTTGTTTATATATTTGTCCTACACACAGACACACTTAAAAATCACACACATACAATTTGCATTCCCATGACCAAGAGATAATTGTGGTAACATTTTATGCGTCATTTTGTTTATATATTTTTCCTACACACAGACACACTTAAAATAACGCACATACAATTTGGATTTTACATGCAGATATGTCTTCCTCCAACTATTATAAACATCAAAAATTATCTTAAAATATTTTGCAGTCTGGAGAATATTATAAAATGGGATAATTTATTATATCTCTATTTATAGACATTTAGATTTTTTTCAAGTTTGTGAGGGCTTTTTATTTTTGTTTTCAGTGTTCTGCCATGAAAATTTATGCATTCATTTGATTTATGCACTCAACTGCATTTATTTTTACCTTAGATATTTTTTCATTTCCTTTTATGCCTACAAATTCCCTCCCAATTTCTACTCCAATCTAGAAACAGGTAAATATTAGATATGATAAGAATAAATCTAATGTTCCATTACTGTTTTGGGGTAGATCTTTAAAAATCATGCTAAGTAAATATTGTTCCATTCGCTTAAAAAAATAGTAATGGGTAGTGAATATTACTGAATGGAGTTCAATACTAGTTGCCAATGTCTAGTTTGCAGTATAAGTTTGGTGAAAATTTTGTTGACTGAATCAAGAATCCCATTTTTTTTTTTTCTGAGACGGAGTTTTGTTCTTGTCACCTAGCTGGAGTGCAATGCCCTCAGCTCACTGCAACTGCTGCCTCCAGGTTCAATGAGTCTCCTGCCCCAGCCTCCCGAAGTAGCTGGGACTACAGGCATGTGCCACCACACCTGGCTAATTTCTTTTTTTTGCATTTTCAGTAGAGACAGCGTTTCACCATTTTGGCCAGGCTGGTCTCAAACTCCTGACCTCAGGTGATCCGCCCACCTTGGCCTCCGAAAGTGCTGGGATTACAGGCATGGGCCACTGCACCCAGCGCATCTTTTTTAAACAATGAAAAAGAACTGAAAACTAGTCAACAGTTATAGAAATGTACAAAGTGGAAAGTGAATCTCTTGAAATTGTATTCCTCAAGATAAATGTTAATTTTTTATTAACTTTTCTTCTATGAAGTGAGAATTATTTTATTATTTTATTATTTATTTATTTATTTTTTTTTGAGACAGTCTTACTCCTTCACCAAGGTTGGAGTGCAGTGGTGTGATCTCGGCTCACTGCAACATCTACCTCCCAGGTCCAAGTGATTCTCATGCCTCAGCCTCCTGAGTAGCTGGAATTACAGGCGACCGCCACCACGTGCAGCTTTTGTATTTTTAGTGGAAATGGGGCTTTGTCATGTTGGCCAGGCTGGTCTTGAACTCCTGACCTCAAGTGAACCACCCGCCTTGGTCTCCCAAAGTGGTGGGATTACAGGCATGAGCACCTGGCCTGAATTATTCATTTAACTGCATAAAAATATATGCAAATAGATGTTTACTGTTGTATTGTTGTATTATAGTAAAACAAAAAATAGAGGATTGGCTAGAGTAGCTATTGTATCTTTATACAAAATAGCCCCCAAAGAAATCAGGATTATCTGTATGAACAGATATGGAGAGATGTACACAATGTATCATTATATGAAAAAAAAAGAAAAAGAAAGTATTTTAAAAACTGATGCACTGCTATAACAATTAAGAGATTTTCCCATTTTAAGCCATCAGTGCATTCCTTAGATAATCATCTACTTGATTACGTTAAGTAAGCAATTCTTTAAAAATACAGACAAATTTAAGTTGTTAGGTTTTAGATAGGATTTTCATTGATATCCCACCAGTGAACTTAGTTTTTGGTTTTGAGTATGCTGGCTCTGCCCGAGTTATACTAGGTTCATGAAATGCAATAAATAACTTCATCTTGTCATCCTGTATTCTGGAACATCTTACCTAGCACTGAAATCATCTGCATCTTCAAAGTCTAAAAGAATTAACTGATAAAACCAGCTGGTCCCAGAGCCTTTTTTGTAAAGGTTTAATATGTACATGAATTAAAAACATAAAGAAGTAATTTGTTCAAATTATCTATATCCTTATTTATCTTGAACTGCTGTGACTGACAGTGGTATATTAAAGTATAATTGTGGCCAGGTGCAGTGGCTCACGCCTGTAATCCCAGCACTTTGGGAGGCTGAGGCAGACTGATCATGAGGTCAGGAGACGGAGATTATCCTGGCTAACACAGGTGAAACCCCATCTCTACTAAAAATATAAAAAATTAGCCGGGTGTAGTGGCGGGCACCTGTGGTCCCAGCTGCTCGGGAGGCTGAGGCAGGAGAATGGCGGGAACCCGGGAGGCGGAGCTTGCAGTGAGCTGAGATCGCGCCACTGCAGTCCAGCCTGGGCAACACAGTGAGACTCCGTCTCAAATAAATAAATAAATAAAGTATAATTGTGTTTGTCAATTTCTCCTTGAATTTTTAAAAAAATTTTGTTATATGGAATGTTTCTGTGCTGAAGCAAGCAGTACAACTGAGACTCTTAAATGTGTGCAATTAGCTAAAAAAGTAAACTCACTCTGGGGTATATTTGATTTAGTAAGGCCATTACATAACATGGCAATGTCCATATAATGAGTTCTTCCTTTTTCTTTTTTGGCCAAAAAAATAGAGGAGTGACAGCAACTCTGCTTATACTTCTTCATGGTTAAAACTCTAGGCATCTTAAAAGAAGCATATTCAGATTCCTTTTCTTCTTTAGATAACTGGAATTATCACAGTTATATTTACTGTAATTTGGATCTAACCTCAGTCAGTCAGCCATCTGTTAAAAGCAGACATCCTTTGCTCAATCTTATTTCTTTTATTGTCTTAATTACATTTTCCTTTATTATTTATTTAAATGTATAACCAGATTTTTTCTTTATAATAATATATCAAAAAACCCTCTCTATGTATTACAGCTTCTATTCTATATAATAAAAAAAACTAGGAGTAGTTTATATTATACTATTAATTGGATTCTTAATTTATACGTCTTCTAAGATGAACTTAATTAACTAATTTGCACTTCACTTTCTGACCAAGATAACACAAGTAATTTCACCCAATCTCTCTGCTACTTCAACTAAAAAATAAGGATAATGAGTTGGCTCCATCATAATAGGGATATATGAAGAATTGAAAGTGAACATTTTTTGTCATAAGAACCTTTTATAATCTACCAATGTAAGTCTATGGAAAGACTAAGTATAATAAAAGTGAAGATGTTATTAAGGAGTGTGAAAACATAATTTTTTCCACCAGTTTACCTTGCTAATATATTGACTGAAGAAGCTTTTATACATTATGGACAATGTATCTGGTCTTACCTGATCCATTTTTCAGATACCCATTTGCATCTACAGTTGTATACATGATATAAGGTCCAGGTTGATTCACTCCAAAGGGCTGCAATAGAAAAAAAAAATAGTTAAGGCTTGGAAAATAAGTGAATTATTGGAAGTTTCAGGCAAATCTCTTTCAAAGCAAAAAATTCTTACACAGATGACAGTTACTTAGAGACCCCTTCCATTAACAGCACATCAAAAGAAAACCTGTTGTTTCCTAGGATCTTAGTGTTAAAAAATAATAAACAAACAAAAAGAAAACCTGATTAGTAGAAAATTCTTAAGACTTTAAATGATTTAATAGTTGCAATTATTCAGTTCGTTATTTTAACTGGGTATTTCTAAGACCAAATATTCTGTTGAATATAGCATTGCTTTTTCCCTTCAGGGAGGGATTGGACATGGTTTACATTTTCCCACTAAAATATCAACATAAATAAAATCCATCCACAATAATTACGATAGAATAAAAAATACTGATGATTAGTTCCACCACATTTAAACTCCTGCACATTTAGAGAATACATTATTTTTCATTTAAGAAAATTCTGATGGATTGACAGTGCCTCAGTTACAATGGTGAGGTCTATCTCTAACTTGTTTCCTATTTCTGGAACATTCCTCAAACCTTGAATAAAATGATATACTCCTTCTCTTTAGAAACCAAGGCTAATTAAATAGAACATAAAGAAACCAAAGATTGCAATGGACATCCTAAGATGACAAAATGTTTAAGAAATGCTTTACATTCTTTTGAATATTTTTCTCAGCCTCAAAATTCTACTGATCTTCCCAGAAAAGTATAGAAAAGTTAATAATGACATTTAGATAGGCTACTGATGCTTTAAAAATGATTTTTCTCCAGGATGATAAGAAGTAATATGATTTCATCAACATCACAATTGCCTGACTGATATTTTAAGATTTTTAGAAGTCCATATGCTTCCAATGGCTATGAGAAAATAGGTTGCTATAAGGATGGAATTACTCATAAGACATTACTAATTGATTAAATGATTCATGAAGAAATCACACAAATATGCAAAATAAACTTAAGAAACATTTTTATGTGGAAAGATGAATATTACGCTTTGTACTACACACTACTTTCATGAGAGAATTAGCAAAATGTTGTCTCTACATTCTTATCTTGCAGATGGGCAAGGAAAAGCATTGTTTTCTTTCCTATCTGTATTCAGTTAAAAAAAATCAGGTCAGCATGTGTCTGATATGAGTTGTAAAGCTGAAGCTCACCTATCATCACAGGCCAGTCATTTTGATATTTGAAGACAAGGTCTAGAAATCCTGATCCAGTTCCTCTACACAGTGGTTCTCAAAGAGTGTTACAAGAAACCCCTGGGGGTCCCAAAATACCTTCAGAAGGTCACATTAGGTAAAAACTATTTTCATAATAATACTAAGACATCTCGCGTTTTACACTGAGTTAACATTTGTATTAATAGAGCAAAAACAAAGACGTGGGTAATTAGCAGTGGCACCAAACAACGGATATTCCGACTTGGGTATTTAGCTAACTAACGTTTTCTTGAAAATGGACAGAGTGAGTCAGCCACTTTCAGAAAAACAAATGACAGTATTTGTCGCTAATGATAAAATTTGAGCTTCTAAGTGAATATTTTAATTTTGAAAAACTTGCATCTGCCACTGTGAGCCTGATATCTTCCCAATACTTAAGAAACTGTTCTGAGGCAATCAGTGGTAATATTAACAAATGTTATTTAAAAATATCATACAATAAAATGTGTTAACATGAGGAAGATCTGCATAACTCAGTAAACCAAAATTTCCAAAATGACCAATGCATGATAGTACAAAACCATTCACGGGTAAAAGATCCATCTAAAGTGCAAGGTAGACCAATATATTTTAGTGTAACAGAGTAGTGTAGAATCACTTCTGGAATGGTAAGGACCTCAAAAAAATCTGCTCCTCAATAAAAGCAATGAGAATACTGGCAGAAAGTTGTTGAAATCAACTTTTTCAGAACTTTGCAAGAATCCAAGGAGCACTCATTTAAGAAAAATAGCTGAATTTTGGTAAGAATAATTACCTCTGTTGTGTTTTAAATTGCTCTATTTCCATGTCACTCTCCCCAGCTCTGAAGTAGCCTTGAAAACCAACAGCTTTGCAAGTAGGGTAGCTATGAAAATGAAGAGCCTACCAGGTACTGGAGGGGGCAGAACAGGTTTAGAGCTCCCCAAAGATCCATTCCCAGAGAAATGTCACTATATGACCTTTTCGGAAGCTCCCTGAAAAGCTCTCTTCTCAGGGTTTGTCTTTTTTTAATGGACTGAGAGCTTGCTCTGTGTGAACAAGCTCCATCACTGTAAAGTTTCTTGAAAATACGTCCCATCAATACCTAATTTATTGAGAGTTTTTAGCATGAAGGGTTGTTGAATTTTGTCAAAGGCCTTTTCTGCATCTATTGAGATAATCATGTGGTTTTTGTCTTTGGTTCTGTTTATATGCTGGATTACATTTACTGATTTGCATATATTGAACCAGCCTTGCATCCCAGGGATGAAGCCCACTTGATCATGGTGGATAAGCTTTTTGATGTGCTGCTGGATTCGGTTTGCCAGTATTTTTTGAGGATTTTTGCATCAATGTTCATCAAGGATATTGGTCTAAAATTCTCTTTTTTGCTTGTGTCTCTGCCCGGCTTTGGTATCAGGATGATGCTGGCCTCATAAAATGAGTTAGGGAGGATTCCCTCTTTTTCTATTGACTAGAATACTTTCAGAAGGAATGGTACCAGTTCCTCCTTGTACCTCTGGTAGAATTCGGCTGTGAATCCCATCAGGTCCTGGACTCTTTTTGGTTGGTAAGCTATTGACTATTGCCACAACTTCAGCTCCTGTTATTGGTCTATTCAGAGATTCAAGTTCTTCCTGGTTTAGTCTTGGGAGAGTGTATGTGTCGAGAAATTTATCCATTTCTTCTAGATTTTCTAGTTTATTTGCGTAGAGGTGTTTGTAGTAATCTCTGATGGTAGTTTGTATTTCTGTGGGATCGGTGGTTATATCCCCTTTATCATTTTTTATTGCATCTATTTGATTCTTCTCTCTTTTTTTCTTTATTAGTCTTGCTAGCGGTCTATCAATTTTGTTGATCCTTTCAAAAAAACCAGCTCCTGGATTCATTAATTTTTTTGAAGGGTTTTTTGTGTCTCTATTTCCTTCAGTTCTGCTCTGATTTTAGTTATTTCTTACCTTCTGCTAGCTTTTGAATGTGTTTGCTCTTGCTTTTCTAGTTCTTTTAATTGTGATGTTAGGGTGTCAATTTTGGATCTTTCCTGCTTTCTCTTGTGGGCATTTAGTGCTATAAATTTCCCTCTACACACTGCTTTGAATGTGTCCCAGAGATTCTGGTATGTTGTGTCTTTGTTCTCGTTGGTTTCAAAGAACATCTTTATTTCTGCCTTCATTTCATTATGTACCCAGTAGTCATTCAGGAGCAGGTTGTTCAGTTTCCATGCAGTTGAGTGGTTTTGAGTGAGTTTCTTTCTTTTTTTTTTTTTTTTTTGAGACGAAGTCTCGCTAGGTCGCCCAGGCCGGAGTGCAGTGGCGCGATCTCGGCTCACTGCAAGCTCCGCCTCCCAGGTTCACGCCATTCTCCTGCCTCAGCCTCCCGAGTAGCTGGGACTACAGGCACCCGCCACCAGGCCCGGCTAATTTTTTATATTTTTAGTAGAGACGGGGTTTCACCATGTTAGCCAGGATGGTCTCGATCTCCTGACCTCGTGATCCGCCTGCCTCGGCCTCCCAAAGTGCTGGGATTACAGGCGTGAGCCACTCTGCCCAGCCTTGAGTGAGTTTCTTAATCCTGAGTTCTAGTTTGATTGCACTGTGGTCTGAGAGATAAGTTTGTTATAATTTCTGTTCCTTTACATTTGCTGAAGAGAGCTTTACTTCCAACTATGTGGTCAATTTTGGAATAGGTGTGGTGTGGTGCTGAGAAAAATGTATATTCTGTTGATTTGGGGTGGAGAGTTCTGTAGATGTCTATTTAGGAAATAACGCCGTATATCTACAACTATCTGATCTTTGACAAACCTGAGAAAAACAAGCAATGGGGAAAGGATTCCCTATTTAATAAATGGTGCTGGGAAAACTGGCTAGCCATATGTAGAAAGCTGAAACTGGATCCCTTCCTTACACCTTATACAAAAATCAATTCAAGATGGATTAAAGACTTAAACATTAGACCTAAAACCATAAAAACCCTAGAAGAAAACCTAGGCATTACCATTCAGGACATAGGCATGGGCAAGGACTTCATGTCTAAAACACCAAAAGCAATGGCAACAAAAGCCAAAATTGACAAATGGGATCTAATTAAACCAAAGAGCTTCTGCACAGCAAAAGAAACTACCATCAGAGTGAACAGGCAACCTACAAAATGGGAGTAAATCTTCGCAACCTACTCATCTGACAAAGGGCTAATATCCAGAATCTACAATGAACTCAAACAAATTTACAAGAAAAAAACAAACAACCCCATGAACAGACACTTCTCAAAAGAAGACATTTATGCAGCCAAAAAACACATGGAAAAATGCTCACCATCACTGGCTATCAGAGAAATGCAAATCAAAACCACAATGAGATACCATCTCACACCAGTTAGAATGGCAATCATTAAAAAGTCAGGAAACAATAGGTGCTGGAGAGGATGTGGAGAAATAGGAACACTTTTACACTGTTGGTGGGACTGTAAACTAGTTCAACCATTGTGGAAGTCAGTGTGGCGATTCCTCAGGGATCTAGAACTAGAAATACCATTTGACCCAGCCGTCCCATTACTGGGTATATACCCAAAGGACTATAAATCATGCTGCTATAAAGACACGTGCACATGTATGTTTATTGCGGCACTATTTGTAATAGCAAAGACTTGGAACCAACCCAAATGTCCAACGATGATAGACTGGATTAAGAAAATGTGGCACATATACACCATGGAATACTATGCAGTCATAAAAAATGATGAGTTCATGTCCTTTGTAGGGACATGGATGAAATTGGAAATCATCATTCTCAGTAAACTATCACAAGAACAAAAAACCAAACACCGCATAGTCTCACTCATAGGTGGGAATTGAACAATGAGAACACATGGACACAGGAAGGGGAACATCACACTCTGGGGACTGTTGTGGGGTGGGGGGAGGGGAGGGATAGCATTGGGAGATACACCTAATGCTGGATGACGAGTTAGTGGGTGCAGCACACCAGCATGGCACATGTATACATATGTAACAAACCTGCACATTGTGCACATGTACACTAAAACTTAAAGTATAATAATAAATAAATAAATAAAAGAAAATAATCATCAGCAATTGTTTAACATTGCAGCTGCCTGAGGCAGTGATTATCAGCTGGGGTTAATGAGAGGTTGACCAAATCTTAAAAGGAAAAATGGAAATGAGATATTCACAGGGGACTCTGAAAATCTCTCACTTATTTCTGGGAATCTAGAAGTCCATGAACATATGCAGCACTATGTTCGTGCCCCAGAAAGACTGGAGAAGGGCCTAACCTCTCTTTTAAGGAAATCTCTGGCCATCACAGCTGGCCATTAAGCTGAGTGGCAACACACAACAAAAAATGAAGACTTTACAGTATTAGTCTGGGAAAGTTACTGAACAAACAGCAATAAGAGCAAAAACCACAAACCCAGGCAATGGGAGAAATCTGGGAAGATTTCTGGAGTTGACGTATAGTTAAAAATGTCCAGTTTTCAATAAAAAAAATTATGACATGCAAAGAAACAGTATGGCTCATACGTCGGGGAAAAAAAAACCAGTCAAAATAAACTGCCTTCAAGGAAGCACAGATGTTAGATTTACTAGGCAAAGACTTTAAATCTGCTATAATAAACATGTTCACCAGTCTTGGCAATATGGGGAGGCCCTGTCTCCATGAAAAGTTAAAAAAATTAGCTGTGCATGGTGGCAAGTGCCTGTGGTCCCAGCTACTCAGGAGGCTGAGGTGGGAGGATTGCCTCAGCCTGGGAGGTTGAGGCTGTAGTGAGCCATGATTGCACCACTGCACTCTAGCCTGGGCAACAGAGTGAGACCTTGTCAAAAAAGAAAAGATTCTTCAAAGAATTAAAGGAAAGGAAATCATGTCTAAATAACTGAAGAAAATTATGAGAACAGTGTCTCACCACAGTAACAATAAAGAGAAATCACAAAATAGAACAAAACTGAAATTCTACAATACAATAACTGAAATGAAAAATTAACTAGCAAAGCTCAATAGGAGATTTAACCTGGCAAGGAAATAATCAGCAAAATTGAAGATATGTCAATTCATATTATCTAGTCTGAAGGATAGAAAAAAAGGGAATAAAAAAAAAATGAACAGAGCCTCTGAGACATATGGAGCACCATTAAGAATACCAACAATAATGGGAGTCCCAGAAGAGAGGAAAGAGGTAGAAATATGTGAAGCAATAATGGCTAAAACTATCTAAATTTAATGCAACATTAACCTGTACACCCAAAAAGCTCAATGAACGCCAAGTAGGGTAAACTCAAAGAGATCCACACCAAGATACATCACAGTCAAACCCTGCCTATCATATCATAGTTAACATTTTGAAAGCCAAAGATTGAATGTTGAAAGCAGCAAGAGACAAGCAATTCATCACGGACAAGGTATCCTCAGAAAGATTAACAGCTCAATTCTCATCAGAAACCCAGGAGGCTAGAAGGCAATAGGATGATAAATTCAAAGTGTTAAAAGAAAAAGACTGTCAGCCAAGAAGTCTAAAATCCAGCAAAAATATCCTTCAAAAATGGGGGGAAATTAACATATTGCCAGATAAAACCAGAAAGAACTTGTTATTAGCACACCTGACTTGTAGGAAATATTAAAGGGAATTCTGGCTGATCTGAAAGGACACTAGACAGTAATTTGAATCCACACAAATAAATAAAGAGTACTGTTAAAGGTAACTCTAAGTATTCTGCGAAGACGAAGTTGGAAAAAAAAAAGGAACTGTAGGTAAATATGGTATAAATATATTTTTGTTTGTAGCTCTTTTCTCTTACCTGATATAAAAGACTATTGTTTGAAACAATAATTATAAAACCATCTTGTTGGTCTCATAATGCTTGAAGATGTAATTTGTATTGACAATAATAGTACAAATTGAGGAGGAGTAAATAAACTGAGATATGTTAGAGCAAAGTTTTTACAAGCTACTAAAATTAAGCTGGATTAATATGAACTAGATTGTTTCTAAGTTACGATGTTAGTTGTAATCCTGAGAGCAACTACTAACAAAATAACTTTTTTGTGTGTGTGTGAGACCCGAGTCTCGTTTTGTCACCCAGGCTGGAGTGCAGCGGTGCAATCTGGGCTCACTGCAACCTCCGCCTCCGGGGTTCAAGCAAGTCTTCTGCCTCAGCCTCCCAAGTAGCTGGGACTACAGGCATGCGCCACCACACCCGGTTAATTTTTGTATTTTTATATTAAGTTTTAGGGTACATGTGCACAACGTGCAGGTTTGTTACATATGTATACATGTGCCACGTTGGTGTGCTGCACCCATTAACTCGTCATTTAGCATTAGTTATATCACCTAATGCTATCCCTCCCCCCTCCCCCCACCCCACAACAGTCCCTGGTGTGTGATGTTCCCGTTCCTGTGTCCAAATGCTCTCATTGTTCAATTCCCACCTACGAGTGACAACATGCGGTGTTTGGTTTTTTCTCCTTGCGACAGTTCGCTGAGAATGATGGTTTCTATTAAAACACTCCCTTTTCTATTACATAGTTATGTGAGGCTGAATTTTTTTCATCTATTTCAACCAAGGCAACATACCACAAAAATCTGAATGTAAAAGGAGATAAGGGAATATGCTATCTTCTATTACACTAAGCATTAAAGAGATTTGTAATAACATAAAGCAATGCCTCTCTTTCCCTAATATTTTAATATGAAAAATATAGTTTTTAAAAAAATAAAATTGGTTATGTTAATATAATGGGTTATCTTTTAAAAACAATATCATTTAAAATTATTTCAGTTTTAATTTCAAACAAAGTAATGTCAGTAGATATATCTAATGTAAAGAAAAGTTTGGGGTCCATAGACCAAGAAGTTTGAGAATTGCTCTTCTACACCATCTGTATAATGAACAATTCAATTCCCAATTTCCTTTCTCAACTGAAATGATACAACTGATACCTGGGCCTATAGGTCTTTTGGTTTCTTATCCCATACGTCATAGCATTAAACTTCATTTTTTTCTTCACTTACCTCCATATGAATGTTTACTACAAAATATACTAAAAATAGTTATGCTCATAGAAAATGCCAAGAGATCTGGAATAATTTTTACTTTGTGTTTCTTCTATACAATAAAGGTACAAGGAGTATTGCTGTATCTTTCACACCTTTTACATACTTGGGTTATATTAGGGTGTCCTTTTAAATGTCACATCTGATGCTTGTTTGAAAGAATTCAGGGAAGTTAAATTTAGACATATTAGTGATGGTTCAATTTTTCATACTATCAGTAAAAAAAGACTATCATTGGCACCCTTTTTCTCATTCTAGGATGTGTCACACTGATGTAATGCAGTTTAGGTGTTGTATCATATAGATTCTTTCTAACTAACCTGATCTCTTGTGTGCCTATTGTCTTATAAAATTGGGGTTGGAATACCTCTGTTTTCTTTAGAGACTTTTTTAGTAAGCCAAATGGTGGTTTCTATATTAGTGTCAATTATTTGATTACCTAGGGTTTGTTTCAAGGTCTTGGGCTCCTATAGTGGAGCGCAAATAATACTTCAAATCATTGGCTCTGGATGATGAAATAAAAATGGAAAAACATATAAAAGATACTGTATTAGGTATAATCAATAGCTATTATATGATAGAAATTCATGATTCTAAAATATTAGAAAAATAGCTGACTTATAGAGTGGACTTAACTTTTCTCAAGGGTAATTTTTAAAAATCCTGTTTATTTTTTAAGTGAACACTCACTGGCATTTGTCTTTATCTTCATTAACGTTAGCTGTAATGCCCAATTTAGTTTAATATTGACATTTTTTATTGTTTCTTGCTCTTTAAGACATTAAATAAAACATTATTTCCTTTAATTTTGGTTATTTTCCAATGAAAACTGCAAGATATTTTCCCTCTGACTAAGGTAAGTAAAGGACTGTAAAAAGGTATATTAAATGCAGAAAATATCCATATCATCGTTTTTCTATCTTTGGTACACGAAGCATGATATCACCACTGTCAGGTGTGATAAAAGAAAGGCAAACAGAATTAAGGAGTGAGTAATATTTTAAGGAATGTCAAATAAATCAGTTATAATCAATAAATAGTGGTTGAAGTAATGCCTGCTATATTTTAAAGCATGGTAAAACAGTACCAAGTAAGATCATTCACTTCACCAAAATAAAGATAAGAAGGTTTTTTTTTTGTTTGTTTGTTTTTTAGACAAGGTCTCACCCTGTTGCCCAGGCTGGAGCCCAGTGGCGCGATCACAGCTCACTACGGCCTTGACTTGTGCTCAGGCGATCCTCCCACCTCAGCCTCCTGAGTACCCGGGATTACAGGCGTGTGCCACCACATGCAGCTAATGTAAAACATTTTTATTCTGTAGAGACAGGATCTCACTATGTTGCCCAGGCTAGTCAGACAAGTCTCGAACTCCTGGGCTCAGGCAGTCTTCTGCCTCAGCCTCCCAAAGTGCTGGGATTACAGGTGTAAGCCATGGCATCTGACCCGAAGATAAATGTACTTGTCCTGTACTTTGTCAGAATGTTCCTAAATAGAATAGGTAAAAGCCTGAGACCCCTTCTGATTGAAAAGATTAAAAAGTTAAGTCACCTTGTTCTGTTGCATATATTAAAAATTAATTGTTGTAACAATGGAAACAATTGTGTTTCATTAGGAGGTATTTCTGTGAGCATTAATAGGGAATGTTTTTCCTTTGCATCAGAGCTTTTCCAGAATGCATTTCTCTTGTAAATAGCTTGTAATTTATTTTTCAAGTTTTCATACTTAACAGTGAATATGCTATTGGGGTGAGAGATGTGATGGTAAACTTATCAATGACGGCCCATTAAAAAGCAAACCAAATTCTAGAGAAAGCTCATTTATTCATACCTCAAATATTTGTCATGTAACTATGTGTCAGGCACTGTGCTGGGGAGTAAAGACTGAATAATCAATAAGACACAATCCTGAAGGGACTTAACACAGATACTCACCCACTTTAAACTATAATAAGTGACAGTAGTAGGACTAGGCATAGGGTGCTAAGAAACAACAGAAGGTGCATCCAACTCTATGTCAAACGGAAGCCAGGGAATGCTTTCTCGGAGGAAATATTGTCTGAGTGCCAACCTGAAGGTCACACAGAGCAAACTAGGAGAAGGTGAAGAAGAGAAGGCTTTGTTACAGAGGCAGGTGCAGGAACAGGAGGTGACAGAGGTGACAGAACATAGTGGTTCAGAGATCTGATTATAGAGTTGTGGGAGGGCCTGAGGAAAAACTGCAAGAGATAAGGCTGAAGGGGTAAACCAGGGCTCTATCTCAGGAAGCTAGATTTAGATCATCTCTCAAGGGTAAAGGGTAGCCACTGAAGGTTTGTGTTTTAGAAAGATCACTGTTGTATGTTTTTGAAGGATAGCTTAGATAACTGCTGCAGTCAGGCAAAAAAAAAAAAAAGTCCTGAAATAAAGTAACAGGACAGAGAGAAGGGACAGTTGTGGGGAAAGAATGATAATCTAGTAGATTTGGGAGACAAGGGAAAGGAAAAAGTGAGCCAGGGAACGTGGGAAGAGGACTGGGTTTTGGGGGGTGGGGAACATTACATTTCAGGGTCCTTCCTTGTAAGGGACTTAGATACAAAGGTCTGATGTTCAGGAAAGTGGTTGAGATCACTTAAAGAGTTTAGAGTAGTCGCCGCTCATGTGCGGTTTCATGTCCTGTGGTTTCAGTTACTCATTGTACAATACCATAATGTATTTTGAGAGATAAATATTCACATAACTTTTATTACAGTATATTGTTATAACTGTTCTATTTTATTATCAGTTATTGTTGTTATTAATCTCTTACTGTGCCTAATTTCTGAACTAAGCTTTATCATAGGTACGTACGTGTAGGAAAAAGAAGGTGCATAGGGTTCAGTACTATCCGAGGTTGCAGGCATCCACTGGGGATCTTGGAATGCGTCTTTGTGGATAAGGGGGGACTATTGTATATATAGTGAGAAGAGAACCTAGGATGGAACCTGAAAATCACCAACATTTGAAAGATAGGCAGAAGAGAAGTTCATAAAGAAACCCGGAAGAATGGACAGAGAGGTAGGAGGAGAGCTGGGAAGAAAGAGCAGGAAGGCAGCCGAGAAAAGGGAGTGTTTCGGTAAGTGTTGGCAGTATCACATGCAGCTGCAGCGGCATAAGCTCAAAGGCTAGACGATAACAGTGGGTTAAGGATACTGAGGTGAGGAATTTGAGAGATCCAAATGCAGGCAACTCGAGTTTGGCTGAGAAAAGAAAAGAGAGATGGGTAGTAGCTGGAGGGGATGTGGGTTTCAGAAGGTACATATGTATACATGTACAGATAAGAGACTTAGGCATCCTTAACTGCTGAAGGAAAGACACCAGCAGACAAGTGGAGGCCAGATGCATAGGCCAAATAAACAGTGGAACAAGGCCCATAAGGTTCCTGGAGAGGAGGCAGGTGTGACCCACAGCACAGCTGGCACGCTGATTTTCAGTCAAGAGGAAAAGCAATGAGAATGGCTGTGGAGGAAGGGATTATGTTTAGTGCTGCAGAGGTCAACTGACAAATTGTTATTATTATTATTTTTGAGACGGAGTCTCGCTCTGTCGCCCAGGCTGGAGTGCAGTGGCGCGATCTCGGCTCACTGTAAGCTCCGCCTCCCGGGTTCACGCCATTCTCCTGCCTCAGCCTCCCGAGTAGCTGGGACTACAGGCGCCCGACACCATGTCCGGCTAATTTTTTGTATTTTTAGTAGAGATGGGGTTTCACCGTGTTAGCCAGGATGGTCTTAATCTCCTGACCTCGTGATCTGCCCGCCTCAGCCTCCCAAAGTGTTGGGATTACAGGCGTGAGCCACCGCGCCCAGCCCAAATGACAAATTATTAAGCACCAGCCCCTCTGTTAGGTTCCAGGACATACTGTCAAGAAAAAAAGATACTGTTTTCTGCCTCCATGGAGCTCTTTGAAAGGAATGTGCACAGAGTCTTTTTGTATATGGGGAAGTCAAAGACTACTTTTAAACCGTCTGTTCTCCAAGGGGAAAAGTACTTATCTGCCTGCTTCTAGATTCATAATCCACGAAGTGGAAAAAGTCACTAGACTTTGGTGAAAAGAATTACCAAGTCACAGAGAAAAACGCCATTATTTCCACTGACATAGTGAAAGGTCAGAATATGCCTTATACTGAGAATAAAAGATTTCAAAAATTAGTTGGATATTTGAAGGAAAAAAAAATCAGAAAACAGGAATATAAATACTCTTTTGATTCACAGATATTTATGATAGCACCACTAATAATACTGATATTTACCATATCCATATTTCATAAATTTGTGATGTTTAAAAAGATTTACACAGTAAGAAAAAGTCAAGAAGTCTAGTATACCTCTAGTCGTACCTGAAACACAAATGGAACACCAACATTTCTCAAAATATTTGGAACTTACTATCCCTACCAATATAGGGATGTTATAGAGGCAGGGGTATCAACAATAACATTGACAAATAATAGCAGCTAAACTTTTTGAGTGTTTATTGTGTATTAGGGCCTACTATGGTCTATCTACATTAATTCCTCTAATTTTAACAATAACCTTAAGGTAATGTGATAGGCAGAATAATGGTACTCCAAAGATGTCCATGTCCTACTTTCCAGAGCCTGCTGAATATACTGCCAAAAAGGACTTGGCAGATGTCATTAAAGATCTCAAGATGGGTAGAGTATCTTGCAATATCCAGGTGGGGCTAACGTAATCACAAAGCTCCCCATAGGAGAAAGAGGAAGGCAGTATGCATTAGTGCCAGTGATTTGAAGATGCAACACTACTGGCTTTGGGTATGGAGGAAAGGGCCATGAGCCAAGGAAGATATGCAGCCTCAAGAAGCTGGAAAAGGTAAGGGGATGGATTCTCCCCAAAGCCTCCAAAAAGGAAGGTAGGCTTGCTGACAACTTGATTTTAGTTCAGTGAAACACAGTTCAGGCTTCCAACCTCTAGAACTGTAAGAGAATAAATCTGTGTTGTGTTAAGCCACTAAGTTTATGTTAATTTGTCACAGCAGTGATAGGAAACTTACATAGGTTAGTTTTACAGACATGGAGAATGAGGCTTAACAGAAGTGAAATAACTTTTCCAAAATTACTGTAGATAGTTGAAGAGATTTGCATTTTATGGATTATTTTCTTTTTTGAAGTAGGAGGGAAGGTTAACTACTGAGAACTGGAAACTGGGAAAGTAGAAAGGGTATTAAATAGTTCTTATGAAGAAAGAGAACTTCTGGTATAGTAAGTAAAATGTGTATTTACAACACACTGAAGTATTTAGAGATGATGGATTAGCCTTAAAATACTCTAGGGGGAGGATGGGTAGTAGGTGGTGGTATGGGTGAAATAAAATTGGGCATATAATGATATTTTTGAAGTTGGGTATGGGCACAAGAATTTTATGTTATTTGTTCTTGTTTTTTTTTTTTCTTTTTTCTTTTTTGACAGTCTCATTCTGTTGCCTAGGCTGCAGTGCAGTGGTGTGATCATGGCTCACTGCAGCCTCTACCTCCCCAGGCTCAGGTGATTCTCCACCTCAGCCTCCCGGGTAGCTCGGGTACAGGTGCACACCACCACACCCAGGTAATTTTTGTATTTTTTGTAGAGATGGGGTTTCAGCACGTTGCCCAGGCTGGTCTCAAACTCCTGGGCTCAAGAGATCCTCCTGCCTCGACCTCCCAAAGTGCTGGGGTTACAAGCATAAACCACTGTGCCCATCCAAGGAGTTTTATTATACTGATTTATACTTTCATAGATTTTGCAAATTTTTAAAAAGTTAAAAAAATCAAGATAAAGAGCAATAAATGACACACCAGATACACTGATAAAAGCCATGAAGTAAAATGGACAAAAACAAACTTCAAATAAAGCAAAACCAATAAAAATGCAAGGAGAGCTTCCAGTTTCTGGTCTGAATGTAAAGTTCCTTAATGTTGTCACTCTAGTTCTCATAATAAGAAAAAAGCAAAGAAACAGAAAATCAACAACTTTTCTTAGATCTTTCAGAGAACTAAGGTCACAGGACAAACTGCTACTTTGCAAACTGGAGAGACAGACAGGTGGAAACAGAGTCACAGCTTACAAGAAGCAGAAGCCCAAGAGCAGAAGATCAAAGATGGAGCCAATACAGGTAGGAAGACTTAACTGAAAAACTGCTGGAGGCTCAGTGTAGACTAGCTTCAGTGTTCAAAACTCCAAGGGTTCAGGGCAGGGGGGAACCCTCACACTTACACTTTTGTTGAGTTTTACCTCCAGGAATTCCACCAGATTCTCACTGTGAAGACTGGAGAAAAATACCTTTATGTTTCCAGCAGAAGCATGAGAAGGTAACCATTCTGAAATATGCCCAGAGCTCTCTGTTCTCCCTAACAGCCTGCCTTCAAAGAAAACTTCTACTACAGCTTAACTGACTTGGGTTTAACAAAAGCCTAACTGACCTGGGGAAAGGGAAATACTCAACTTCAGCTCCCTCTCATCCTCCTATCTCACCTAAGAAGACAGGGAAGCTGAGAAGCACTTGTGAAGGTCACAGCCCAGGGACACAGGTTCACTAAAAGAGTGAGACCTAATGACAAGATGACAGAACACTTTTCCTATTCCAGTACTTCATCAACTGGGCTCCTGTATAACAGGGAATTACAGCCCAAAGCACTGTAATCATTATCTTTCATTTAAGAAGGAGTCTGTAGCGAAACCGACACACCAGAGGAGACAAAAACAAGGACACTAGAGGAAATAATTGCCTCCAACACAACAGCTACTGTGAACAGTATATACAGCCTAATTCCCAGTCAGATCAACCTTAAAACTTCCACAGTAAAGGTCTACCTTAGTTCCCTTTGCTTAATACATCATATCCAGCTTTCAATAAAAAATTACAGGGCATGCAGAAAGGCAAAAGACAAAACAAAACAAAATGTCCGAAGAGACAAAGGAAGTATCAAAACAAGACTTATATATAGCAGGCATTTTGGAATGATCAGACCAGGAATTTAAAATAACTATGATTAACATGCTAAGGGTGCTAATGGAAAAAAGCAGACAACATACAAGAAGAGATGGTTAATGTAAGCAGAGAGATAGAAACTAAGAATCAAAACGAAATAGAAATAAAAAAACTGTAATAAATGAAGAATGCCTTGATGGACTCATTGGTAGATTGGACATGACCTAAGAAAGAATCAGTTAAGCTTGAAGATGCCAAAGGTGTAAATACACGTAGTAGGAATACAAGAAGAAGAAAGAGAGAAAGGCAAAAGAATAAATATTTGAAGTAATAATGATTGAGCAATTTCCAAAATTCATGACAGACCTCAAGCCACAGAACCAGGAAGCTCAGAGAACACCAAGCAGGATAAATATTGAAAAAATCTATACCCAAGCATATCATATTCGAACCGCAAAAAATCAAAAACGAAGAGAAAATCTTGAAACAAGCCAGAAAAAAGAAATGGAAGAAAATATGACTTGGATTCCATATAAAACTGTGATATAATTTAAAAAAGCTCATTTGAGGTTGAAGACCATGAATTAGGGTGATATGGTTTGGCTGTGTCCACACCCAAATCTCACATTGAATTGTAATCCCCATAATCCCCACATGTCATGGGAGGGACCTGGTGGAAGGTAACTGAATCACAGGAGCGGTTTCCCCCATGGTGTTCTAGTGACAGTGAATTCTCAGGAGATCTGATGGTTTTATAAGCATCTGGCATTTCCCCTGCTGGCACTCATTCTCCTGCTGCCCTGTGAAGAGGTGCCTTCCACCATGATTGTAAGTTTCCTGAATCCTCCCCAGCCATGCAGAACTGTGAGCCAATTAAACCTCTTTTCTTTATAAATTACCCAGTCATGGGTATTTCTTCATAGCAGCATGAGAACGGACTAATACAGAGGGGTAGTGCCAATACGCAGAGCTACAGGTTTTTCTTCAGAAATGCCCAGTATACTAGGCATAGGAGGGAATAAGAGATAGCTGGACTAACCCAGGGTTGAAATTTTCCCAGGCAGGTACACTGGAAAGTCAGTGCTTTATAGGAGTTAAAGGTACTGGCAGAAGTAATGTTGGTGTGTGGTAACTAAATAAGGAGGTGGGCAAAGACAATACTGGGCTGATACAGGTCAAGAGACTAATGGTTTTAAAGTGGAACAGGTATAATTAGAGTAACAGAGTGGGAGGGCTGGAAAATAGGCTGTGGTCAGAGTTGGATAAATGAAATTAGGGTTTCAAAAGTGAAACCATTCTGGTAGATAAGGTCCAGGTTATGGCCATGGGAGTGAATAGCTAAAACTGAATATGAATAAAACACTCTGAAGTTTTCAAAATGGAGATGAAGGAATATGGGTGGGATCGGTTCATGAGCTCAGTAATTTTTTCCTCTTTCTATACACCTGATAGTCTGCCTATCAGGTGTGACAGAACACATAACCAGCAGAAGAGCTATTCAACTCATGAATTAACTCAAGTGGTAAAGAATACTATATGGGATGTATATTTTCTCTCTCAGTTTCACACTGGGTCACATCCAATATAACACTTTTTACTATGATCTGATGTCAAAGGAATATGAAGAAGAACTACTTTTTCAAGAAGTAAATAATTTCGCAAGTGGGCATACATTTGACATTTGTGATACTGGGTAAGTACACTGTGCATTTGTTTACATGCTGATAAAATTGTGATCTATGATATCAGTAAAATATCAGAGAGAAGGAAAATGATATGGTGAAGGGCAGCTTAACAGGATCTTAATTTCAAAGAAAGTCATGAATGAATGGGAGGCAGATACATTATCTGCAGAAAAGCCCAAAGGTGCTGGGCGGTAATGGTAATCATTATAAAGGCAGCTCTGCATGTTGGACTTTACTTATGTGACTTTCCAAATGATTCTGTTCACTGTAAGATAGAAGTGGCTTAATATTTTAAGATAAGGAGACAGGAAGCCTTATGGATCTTAGAAGTGTCACCTACCTGGCCAGGTGTGGTGGCTCATGCCTGTAATCCCAGCACTTTGGGAGGCTGAGGCAGGCGGATCACGAGGTCAGGAGATCGAGACCATCCTGGCTAACACGGTAAAACCCCGTCTCTACTAAAAATACAAAAAATTAGCCGGGCATGGTGGCAGGCACCTGTAGTCCCAGCTACTCGGGAGGCTGAGGCAGGAGAATGGCGTGAGCCCCGGAGGCGGAGCTTGCAGTGAGCCGAGATCGCGCCACTGCACTGCAGCCTGGGGGACAGAGTGAGACTCCATCTCAAAAAAAAAAAAAAAAAAAAAAAGTGTCACCTGCCTTGGCTATACAGCCCTTCCTATCAAACTTTCACCTAGAACTTGTAAGTAAAATCAGTGGTTTCAAATATAACTTTTTAAAGTTATTACATGGCCACCATGTAATAATCAAAGAGCCACAGAATGGAGATATGGTTAGTTAGAGGGAGAAATGTAGGTCTGAATGTTTCACAAAGTGGGTAGATAATACCTGAATAACCAAGTTAATCTTTAGGCTGATGAATCCCATCCACAGTTTTACAGTGATATAAAAGTATATGGGTTGGACCAAACATTCACATGCATGCTGCAGTGACTGTGGTGACGCCTCATCCAGATCTTCTCTTCAGGACCTACACACTTATTCCCTGAGCTGGCCTGTGTTGGCTGCTAACAGCTCACAGCAGGGTTCCTACCTGGAGATTGTTCTTAGCCAAAGAGAGCTGCCTCATATAAACGTTAACACTTTCCTGGCGGCCTGTCTGGATGTGATGTGTGATTGATGCAAGAGTTCAAAAGCCGCGCCCCTCTGGCTCAGTTCGGGCCACATTTGAAGGATCATCCTAGCTCCAGAGCTCCCCATGCATCTTCTCCTTCTGCCACTGCTGCTTTCTTCACTACTTCAGAGGTGTTGCCCCCAGTTTGAGTCTAGATTATATCCCTGTGTCAGGGTCTGTTTCTACACTTCTTAAATATGGGAAGTTTCCCAACTATACATAAAATATTGTCAATGTAATGTTTAATGACACTGTTAAGAAAATGAGACAATAATGAGAACACCTAGTTTGTATTGCAGTTCCACTATTTAACAGCTCCATGACTTTGGATAATTTAACTTCTCTGAGTCTCAGTTTCCTTGTCTTTAAATAGGGGCTAATTTCTTATGAAACAAGGATTACTACAAAGACCCCAAACAGTTCCCTGTACACACACACAAACACATGCATGCTTTTAAATACAATATTCTTATTACAGTTTACATGAATTGGTCTGTCAAAAACTAATTATTTTCACATTTGTTATTTCACTGAAACATTCTATTAGACAGCAAGTCAATATTAAGACTACACACAAAAAAGTCACTAATTGCCTACTATATGCTTGTCTCTGCGACCTATACCAGGTACACAAGATGACATGGTTCTTGACTTCAGGGGGTTACAGTCTCGTGTGGAGAGGCATCTAATCTAAACAAGTGTAATGAAATATTATAAATGCCAAAATGTCTTAAAATAATTGGAGGGGTGGTCATTCTGCTAAGGATATCAGAAAAGGCTTCATAAAGACGACCGTTCAGGTAAGACATTTTTTTAGGAAAGGTACTTTACTTTCAGCACAGTTTTCTTGAGTAATGAAGGATTCTTTAATCACTGCCAGATAATAATGATATTTGATAATCTATAACAACTATTTTGTGTGTGTCTACTTATACATAGAATTTTCATAGACATATTTATAACAGATATAAATTTACTTACTGTTATCTTACGAGGACAGTCATTAGAACACAGACCACTAAGAACTGTGGAAAAATAAACAGGCAATTATTACTATTATAAGTTTATATTTAAAGTGAGCTCTAATTTTCTCCCTAAGATCCATTAATATACTCTATTGATTCATAATCACAAGCAGAAACCAATTCAATTTCTTTAGATCTGAGCAAATTAAAGTTCTGTTGTTCACTTTATACCAATATTTCAAAAGCCTTTATTAAACTGTCAAGATGCTACTATTTTGTGAACTATATAGGTGAGATAAATTATGATTATATCATACCATACCTAAAATAGAACCTGTTGGTTCTATTTTCCAATTAGTTAGCTAAATTCCAAGGATGACTTAGATTCTGACAGAGGGGTGCCAAATGAGAACCAACTAAAATGTATACTAAGAAAAACATCTACATTCAGTACTTTATATCTCAAACTAGACTTTTTTCATTCATGTAATTCTGGGTCAAAGATTTTGGGTACCCTTGATAGCTAATATAGAGAGCATAACTATAAAATAATTGATGAGTCTACAACAAATATACAAAATAATGATAAATTTATTGTATAACCAGCAAAAAGAGGTTAAAATATCTGAACAATCTTTATCTAAATAATATGAGTTCTGAAATAAAACCATATTTCTACCACTTTTGGTGAAGTGATACCTTTGATAAGAAAGCAGACATTATATGCTATCATTTTAAAATGCTATATGTTATAAGATAAAGAAAGAGAGCTGATAGTTCTCAGTGGGCACAAATTATTTTCTTAGTTATGAATATTTGTCTGTAGATTAAAATATATCCAGAAGAAAATGGTTTCTTTTGTTTGTTTATATTACATGACTATGGAATGACAATCATTCTAATATAAATGTTTGACTTAGGCAGGGTGTAATGATTTGAATGTTGCTATCCCCCCAAATTCATGTCTTGGAACCTAATAACCAACGTGACAGTGTTAAGAGGTGGGGCCTTTGTGAAGACAGTAAGTCACGATGGCTCCATCCTCATGAATGGGATTAATGCCTTGACAAAAGAGGCTCCAGTAATTTCTTTTGACCCCTTCTGCCATGTGAGGACGTGGCAACAAGGTGCCATTTTTGAAGTAGAGGTGAGACCTTACCAGACACTGAATTTGCCAGTGCCTTGATCTTGGACTTCCCAGCCTCAAGAACTGCGAGCAATAAATTTCTGTTGTTTATAAATTACCCTAAGGTTTTTTTTTTTTTCTTTTTGAGACAGTCTCTTGCTCTGTCGCCAGGCTGGAGTGCAGTGGCACGATCTTGGCTCACTGCAACCTCCACCTCCTGGGTTCAAGCGATTCTCCTGCCTCAGCCTCCCTAGTAGCTGGGACTACAGGTGCACGCCACCACACCCAGCTAATTTTTGTATTTTTAGTAGAGACGGGGTTTCACCATGCTGGCCAGGATGGTCTCAATCTCTTGACCTTGTGATCCGCCTGCCTCGGCCTCCCAAAGTGCTGGGATTACAGGTGTGAGCCACTGGGTCTGGCCAGATATTTTTTTTATATTAATAGCAGCCTAAATGGACTAAGATACAGAGTATGTAAGGTAAAAGGCACCAAGAAATAAACATGATATATTTCATCACAAAAGAGAATACCTGTTCATTTACTATAGAATATTTACATTAAATACAACTTGAGGAAACAGTGAAATAAATATTTTACACTTGCAAGCAGTTTTCAATGTTTAAATTTCCTACCCCAGCAGAATGCCTGGTTCTCACTCTTTTATTATGAAAACCCTAACTTCTCACTCTCCTTTTATCTTCTTCCCTAAAGTTTAGGTAGATATTGGTACTTCTTTTCCAACTGTTCCAAAATGATTTGCATAAGCCTTCATTTAAACCATTATCTTGCTGACCCACAGTTACTGATGCACACATATGTCTTTGCACGCAGATGTTACCTCTGCATCATTCTGTCCTTATTTTCTCAGGGTCTCACCCAACATATTTGCTCAATAAATACTTGTTAAAGGAGGAAAAAAGATGGCTTATTCAGGCTAGGCACAGTGGCTCATGCCTGTAATCCCAGCACTTTGGGAAGCTGAGGTGGGTGGATCACTTGAGCTCAGGAGTTTGAGACCAGCCTGGACAACATGGAGAAACCCTGTCTACCAGAAAAAAAAAAAAAAAAAATTAGCCAGATGTGGTGACACACGTCTGTGGTCTCAGCTACTCAGGAGGCTGAGGGAGAAGGATCACTTGAGCCGGGAAGCAGAGGCTGCAGTGATCTGAGATCACGCTACTGCACTCCAGCCTTGGTGACAGATGGAGATCCTGTCTCAAAAAAAAAAAAAAAAAAAAAAAGATGGATTATTCAATAAGTGGTGCTGGATAATTGGTTACTTGGAAAAAAATAAAGTTAGAGTTTACCTCCCTACGTAAAATGTATATTTGACAAAGACATAATAATAAAAGAACTCTTAAACTTGAACAATAAAAAGACAACCCAGATGACAAATAGGAAAAGGATCTGAATAGGTATTTCTCCAAAGAAGATATACAGATGGCCACTGAGCTCATGAAAAGATGCGCAACATCATTAACCATCAGAAAAATATACAGCAGAATCATTATGAGATGCATGCCCATGTTCATGGCAGCGTTAGTCACAACAGCCAAGAGGCGGAAGCAAGCCAAATGTCCACTGACAGATGAATGAATAAAATATGGTAAATACATAAAATGGAGTATTATTCAGCCTTAAAAAGGAAGGAAATCTTGTCACATATTACAATATGGATGAACCCTGAAGGCATTATGTTAGGATAAATAAGCAGTCATTTATTGTATAATTTCATTTAATGAGTTATCTAAAGTAGTCAAATTCACAGAGACAAAGTAGAATGGTGCTTAGTGGGGAGTAGGGGAAAGGGAAAAAAGGGAGCTGTTTAATGGGTATAGAGTTTCAGCTTTGCAAGAAGAAAAAGTTCTGGAGATGTGTTTCACAACAATGCAAATATACATAACTCCACTGAACTATACCTTAAAAATGGTTAAGATGGCAAATTTTATGTGACACGTTTTTACCACAATTTAAATCATGGTTAAGATGGTAAAAAAAAAAAAAAACTCACAATGAGTTAACATTTTATACACACTAAGATGGTTATAATAAAACAGTCCAAGAATAACAAATATTGTTGAAGATGTGAAGAAATTGGAACTCTCATACATTTCTGATGGAAATGTGGAATGGTGCAGCTGCTTTGGAAAACAATCTGGCAATTCCTTAAAAGGCTGAACATAAAGTTCTCCTTTGACCCAGTAATTCATTTCCAGCTATATTCCAAGAAAAACAAAGAAACATATATCCAAACAGAAATGTGTACATCAGTGTTCATAGCAGTATTATTCATAATAGCCAAAAGGTGGAAACCATCCAAATGTCCATCAAATGATGACTGGATAAACAAAATCTGGAATATACATGCAACAGAATATTATTTGGCAATTAAAAGGAATAAAGTACTGACGCATATTATAACATGGATGAATCTTGAAAACATTATGCTAAGTGTAAGAAGCCAGTCACACATAACCATATATTATATGACCCCATTTATATGAAATGTCCAGAATAGGCAAATCGATGGATACATAAAGTAGATGAGTGGTTGCCTGGAGCTGGGGGATGATGGGGGACTAAGAGTGACAGACAAGGCCGGGCGCGGTGGCTCATGCCTGTAATCCCAGCACTTTGGGAGGCCAAGGCAGGCGGATCACGAGGTCAGGAAATCGAGACCATCCTGGCTAACACAGTGAAACCCCGTCTCTACTAAAAATACAAAAATTAGCTGGGCGTGGAGGCAGGTGCCTGTAGTCCCAGCTACTTGAGAGGCTGAGGCAGGAGAATGGCGTGAACCTGGGAGGCGGAGCTTGCAGTGAGCTGAGATCGCGCCACTGCTCTCCAGCCTGGGTGACAGAGCAAGACTCCGTCTCAAAAAAAAAAAAAAAGAAAAAGAAAAGAGTGACAGACAATAGGTACAGGGTTTCTTTCGGTGGTGATGACTATATTCTCAAATGATTGCAGTGATGGTTGCACAACGCTGAGAATATGCTAAAGCCATTAAATTGTATACTTCAAATGGGTCATGATGCGGTATGTGAATTACATCTCAATAAAGCTGTTACAAAATAAGAAAGATACCATAAAATTTTAAAAGACTAGTGACAAAGGGGGTGAACTTTTTGTAATATAACAGTATAAAGAGATACTATTGCTAATATAAAAAGAACTTCTAGATATCAGTTAGAAAATAATCCAACAGAAAACAAAGGATTTCAAGAAGCAATATCTGGAAGAGAAAATGCAAATAATCAAAAAAAAAAACACTGAGAAAGACACTCAACTGCACCAGTTAGGAAAAAACCAATTTTATTCCCAAGAGATAGGTGAAAAAGAAAAGCATGATAAAATTGTCTGTAAGGAAAATAATAAATATATTATCACAAAGGGCTCTTTAATACATACTACAGTACATTTTATAAATCAATTAGAAAATAAGAAAGGACAAGGACTATAGATAGAAATAAAGATACAAATGCCTCTTAAATATATGAAAAAATGCTGAACTTCATTCATTATAAGAACAATATGAAATAAAAACAGGACATATTTTTCACCTAACTGGCAAAGATCAAAAAGTTTAATAACCCCTTGGGTTGGTGAAGGTGTTAGGAAAAGAGCATTTTCATATATATACTGTAGGTCGAAGTAGAAAATTATACAATTTCTGTGAAGGGACATCTGTTAAAAAATACAATATAAAGTTCAAAACAAGGGAGAATTAATCTGTGGTATTGGAAATTACAATAGCAATTACTTCAGGTGAACTGGGTTAGTAACTAATAAGGGGGCTGGAGGGCACATTTTGGATGTTGGTAGCATGTTTCTGGATCTGCGTGTAATTGCATGGGTACGTTTACTGTGTTAAAATTTATAGAGCTGTGCACTTATGTATACTTTTCTATATGTTATATTTCAATAAAATGTTTATTTAAAAATATATATGTATTCTTTAACAATTCCATTTTTAATAATTTATCCTACAGGATATTCATTACAGCACTATTCATAATAAGAGATTGAAAACCACATGATATATGTGAATAAGGAACTCATTAAATTATGTTGTAACCATACTATATGATACTATTCAGTAGTTAAAGAAGTTTAAATTGCTTCTTTAACTACTGAATATATTCTAGATTATACATATATATACATATATGCATAAAATATCTTAGATACAAAGTGGTTGTCTCTGGGAAGAGAATTGTATCACTGGGAGATGAGTAAAAGGGAGACCTACTTTTATCATATACTCTTGTAGTTTTTAATAGACCATCTGCATTACTTATTTTAAAAACAAATTCACTAGTGAAATAAAAATTAAGAACTCTCAGATGAGTATGTGGTAAACTAGATAGTGTCATATGCTGGTGAAAATATAAATCCCTACAACTTTCAGGGAAGATAATTTGTTATTATTGATTAACATTAAAAACACAGTCTCTTCAACTCATGTCTATGAAATACTGGAAACCAGATAAATATCCACTGAGAGATAAAAAGTGAAATAAATTGTGGAACATATATAACATTATGGAATGATATGGAGGTATCAGAAGAATGAGGGAGGCCTGTAAGTGCTGACTTGAAAGGGGGCTTATACTTTGTTAAGGTAAAAAAACCAAGATGCATGCAAATATGTTTCATAAAGTTCCATTTAAAAGTATGTGTTGGGCTGGGCATAGTGGCTCACTCCTGTAATCCAGCACTATGGGAGGCCAAGGTGGGTGGATTAGGAATTCGAGACCAGCCTGGCCAACATGGTGAAACTCCGTTTGTACTAAAAATACAAAAATCAGCCGGGAGTGGTGGCAGGTGCCTGTAATCCTAGCTACTCGGGAGGCTGGGGCAGGAGGATCGCTTGAACCTGGGAGGCGGAAGTTGCAGTGAGCTGAGATTGCACCACTGGACTCCAGCCTGGGCGATAAAGGGAGACTCTGTCTCTAAATAAATAAATGTGTTGGATGAATCTCAGACATAGTGTTGAGCAAAAGAAGCCAGGTGCCAAGAGCACATCCTGTATGATTTCATTTACATCATGTTCAAAAACAGGGCCTTATGCATCTCTTCCATCTGGATGTTTGCCTGTATCCTTTGTAATACCTTTTATAATAAGCAGGTAAACGTAAGTAAAGTGTTTCCTTGAGTTCTGTGAGCTGCTCTAGCAAATCAAACCCGAGGAGGGGGTCATGGGAACCCTGATTCATGGCCAGTTAGTCAGAAGTACAGGTCCTGACCTGGGACTTGTGATTGGCATCTGCAATGTGGGGCAATCTTGAGGGGCTGAGCCCTCAACCTATGGGATCTGACAGATTATCTCTAGGTAGATAGTGTCAGAATTGATTGATTGGTTGGTGTACGGAGGGGGAAGGCAGAATCCCTACATATTTTGGTGACCAGAGATAAAATATTCTGTGTTGTAGTGACTGTGTGAGAGTAGACGAAACAAAGTTTGGTTTTGTCCTGTCTCTTATGTTATGCATAATTGCATGGTATTCCATCTTTTGTGTGTGTGTGTGTGTGTGTGTGTGTGTGTGTGTGTGTGTGTGTGTGTGTGTGTGTGTATTTACCCCTCTGTATGTTATGGACTGAATGAGTACCCCCTCCCTCAAAGTCATATGTTGAAGCCCTAACCCCCAATGTGGCTGTTCTTGGAGACAGGGCCTCTAAGGAAGCAATTAAGGTTAAATGAGGTCACAGGGAGAGGATCAGTGTCTCCTAATAAGTGAGCTTGCTGCTTCTCTCTACATGCACATGAAAAGAACATGTGAGAGCACACTGAGATGGCAGCCACCTAGAAACCAGGAGATGAGGCTGCTCAGAGTGCATCTACCTTCCCAGCACTTTGATCTTTAACTTCCTAGCTTCTAAAACTGTGAGAAATAAATTTCTGTTAAGACACTCAGCCTGCGGTATTTTGTTATGGAAGCCTGAGCAGACTAATACACATACATACTTCCTTTTAAAAAACATTTTTAGGCCGGGTGCGGTGGCTCATGCCTGTAATCCCAGCACTTTGGGAGGCTGAGGCGGGTGGACCACCTAAGGTCAGGAGTTCAAGACCAGCCTTGCCAACATGGTGAAACCCCGTCTCTACTAAAAATACAAAAAAATTAGCCAGGCATGGTGGTGTGTGCCTGTAATACCAGCTACTAGGGAGGCTGACACAGGGGAATCTCTTGAACCCAGGAGGTGGAGGTTGCAGTGAGCTGAGATCATGCCATTGCATTCCAGCATGGGCAACAAGAGCAAAACTCTGTCTCAAAAAAAAAAAAATTATGTAGATGAAATCATACTACATACTATTGTGTAATTCCCCCACACTTATTACTTCAACCCATAATTGCATGGTATTCCATTTACGTGTGTGTGTATTTACCCCTTCTTTTTATTAGGATGTTTAGGTTCTTCCCCTCCTCATACCCCAATTTTTTTTCCTCCTAAAAACACCATTGGCAAGATCAGCTTTATGGACCTGGTACATTTATACACAGATCTTTGGCACATCTCTGACAATTTCCTTGGAATAAATGTATAGAACAGAATTTCTGGGTTCAATCTGAAAGCTTTTGATATACACAATGAAACTATTCTCCAGAAAAGACTATCAAACATCTAAAAAGACCATTTATTTATCTTCTGGTAAGTGCCAAGCTGTGAACACATGAATTTTCTTTTACAAATAGTCTTCCTTAATCTTCATATCAAGACTGTGAAGTAATTCTAATTGTCCCCTGCCTCCTCCTTTTTTTTTTTTTAAATGAAGAGGAAACTGAAGAACTGAAGATTCGGACCATACTCACGGTCACAAGGTGAATGGAACTCTTTTGCAAGACTATGTGGCCACTGCTTTCAACAAGCAACAAGAAACTAACTCATTTAAGGAACACATTATCCTACGATGATAGGAGATGAGAAATCGATGAACTATTGGGTTATTTTCTGTATAAGATAAAATGTCTGTGTCTTGGTTAGCATAGTCTAGAGTATTTACTAATATATCACATAATCACATTAGTATTAATCACATAATACAATTCAAAAATCATGTAATAGTTTCTTCCATTTTGTGTACAATAAGCTAAAAACTTGGTTCTTGCATCTGTTTTTGTTTTTTCACAAGACCTCCTGTCAAATTTGAAGTTTCACATTATAACATTAGGATCACATGATAAGACTTAAATGTAACCTTAACTTTGCCACATCTTTTCTCCACTAAGAAATTTTATACAATAAAGTCAAACTAGGTATTAAACATGAAAAAATATGATACATATTTGCCATAGATATGTGTTATAAAAAGGGGTGTCTACATAATACAAATAGAGTATGCATTTCCTTGGTTTTTGCAACCACAGATTCAAGGAGAAACAATACTAACCCTTGATTAATTATCATGCTGGTTCATAATATTGTTTAATTAGGAATTCTGAACTCTCTACATAATATTATAAAGGTTTATCTGTGTCCACTCAGAAATTATTTTACCTACAGAACTTGACCTTTTCCCAGTGACATCTATACGGCTATGCAGCAGGTGAGGCTGACTCAGACTGCGTGGGTTCTGGGCTCTGCTAGCTATGTATGTTTGATGTAAGGTAGGAAAATATGTCTTTAGCTACATTCAGTAATGATACTGCTTTTGTTAAGGAGTGCTACAGAAGGATGAAATTTTACTTTTAGCTTTGGTTTTACCACTCAAATCCTCTGTGACCCACCCTTTAGTTTTCTTTTTTGAGACAGTCTCACTCTGTTGCCCACGCTGAAATGCAGTGGCACCATCTTGGCACACTGCAACCTCTACCTCCTGTGATTTTCGTGCCTCAGCCTCCCAAGTAGCTGGGATTACAGGCGCCTGCCACCACACCTGTATTTTTAGTAGTGATGGGGTTTCACCATGTTGACCAGGCTGGTCTCGAACTTGGGGCCTCAAGTGATTCGCCTGCCTTGACCTCCCAAACTGCTGGGATTCCAGGTGTGAGCCACCACGCATGGCCTAGTTTTCTTATAAGAAAAAAAGAGGACACCCACCCTCATACTTACTATCTTCTTCCCCTCTTGAGTTAATGAAATTTGAAAATGTCTGAAAAACATTAGGTTTCTTGAAATTTACAGACCATATAAAGAAAATTTTTATTCTCATTTTTTCCCCTCTTATTGCTCAATATATTAAAGGGACAGACTCATCAGGAATATGGTTTCAATCACAGTTTATTACAATTAGATGTAAATTCTTCATGAAAGGCAGAACTGATTTAAATATGGCTGGAAAACACAACAGAGTGTAAGTTTTATATGTATGTTAGTAGTTCATCTTCTGTTATTAATAATCTGCTACTACAGAAACTAAGTCTTTAGGTCATGAGTGTTGATAAGGGTAAACCTCAAGGCAAATATCTGACACCAATGCTGGCTCAAAGCTGTAAGTGCCACTCCTTTCAAGCTTCCTATTCATTTGGCACAGAAAATCTCAAGCAGGGCCACGTCTTGCTGTGTTAGCTAATGAAAGATGTGATCATGGGCAAATCACTTCACCTCTCTCTCTTTTATGGTTTTACAAAAACATTTAAAGTAAGAGAGTTGGATGAAATAATTTATAAGGTTTATAAAAACCTCTAAACTGGAGTTTTTATAAACCTTATAAATTATTTCATAATTCTTTGATTCCAAACCGGGATCTATATTGTTATCTAGTAGTTTCAGGTGCTTAATACTCACCCTAGCTCAGAGGGAAGTAGCCTGGGTTTAAAGGGCTCTTTGTGTAAGTTTGCTCACATGTGACAAAATTATCTAGAGAACAAAGCCTTGAATAGTCTGGGTCTGAATGAACGAGGCTGGATCATGGATGATGCATCCTCTCAATGTCAGAAATGCAGAGCAGAACCAGAAATGGAACTTGCTACTATGTAAGCTAATTTTCTGCATTCTCTTTTTCCTTACAGCATATGTAACATTACATACATACTCACGTATTTTCATCTAAAACTTAATATAGGATACTATTATAGGAAGCAATTGTGTAAAGCAGAAGGCACATGATAAACAATAAATGTTAGCTATTACTGTTTTGTTTATAAAACAAACTATAGATTCTATCATTCTGGATTTCAGGATTTAGAGGTATCAGCTTTCATTGCTGCAGCTTCTTTCAGTGTGCCTGAAACTTCAGAGACCAGCAGAAGCAGGCAGAGAATGCTCAGTGCTCATGGTGGTTATATCTACTAAGTGGCAAAGAGCACAGCTTTTCTAAAATACTTTTCCTGACTTTCCAAATGTTTTACAATAGGCTCTCTTATTTTTGTAATCAGAAAACAAAACTAAATAAATACTAAACCAAAACCTTACCAATAAAAAAAAGAAATAATGTGTTAAAGTTCTCTGGCATAATCAAAAAAGTAAAAGGATAGACTGATGGTGATTCTACTAATGTCACCCTGAAATTATAATTTAAAAACTCCACAATGTCAAGCTTATGAACAAGTAAAAATTATTTAAAGTAGTCTATTAAATGAGTGCAAATATGTAATTTCCCCAGTGATATCAGAATAAAAATTTCATCACCTGTGCTTCAGTTAGGTTAAAAACAAACACTATTAAATGTGCCAAGGCTGAATTTACTATGATTACAGCAAAAGCCCATTTTTTAAAAGTGAGACAGTTATATTACTGATATAAAAATATAGGTTTATGGGTGAAGTGAAACTTATTTTTTTAAGTAAGTATAATAAATGGGAAGGTATGCTAAAATACATAAAGGGCCCATTATGGAAAAGGGAAATTTAACAGGACAGACACCTGTATGCAATTCTAGCCTTCTACTATTTGTGTTCTTTGCCCCTGTGAGCTTCTTGAAGGCAATAACTGTTTTTGTTTGATTTTTAAGTGTCTCTCTGTATTGCTTAGTTCAAGTGTAACTCTCTCTGTGTTGCTTAGTTCAAGTGTAACTGAATGTTTTTTCACTAGCTAATTTTGGCTAACTCTAGAAGTTTAAGAATTTTTAATAATTTCATAAGCTTTTGTAATTACATATTATTTGTAATCATACTATGGGCTGGGCACAGTGGCTTATGCCTGTAATCCCACCACTTTGGGAGGCCAAAGTGGGCGGATCACTTGAAGTCAGGAGTTTGAGACCAGCCTAGCCAACATAGTGAAACCCCCATCTCTACTAAAAATACAAAAATTAGCTGAGTGTGGGGGTGTATTCCTGTAATCCCAGCTACTTGGGAGGCTGAGGCAGGAGAATTGCTTGAACACAGGAGGCAGAGGTTGTAGTGAGCCAAGATCATGCCACTGCACTCTAGCCTGGGTGACAAAGCGAGACTGTGTCTCAAAAAAGAAAAAGAAATTACAAAAATTCTACACAGGATTATTATAACATTGTGTAATACCCTTTTAAATGAGCTGTTCCAAAAAGTAATTTCTAATACTCCTAGGGACTTTTAAAACCAAATTTGTTTTTAAAGATTAAAAAAATATGAAAACAGCCTATTCACAAATAAAAAGCAGTAATTAAAACACTTGATGAGCTATGTGAAATACTGGTTATTAGGAGATTTAATTTGTAGTTTAAAACATGGACAATGGGATGTGCAATTTGTAAGTTTCTTTTAACATGATAATGCTTAGGATTTTATCATTTCATGTTAAACCATACTGTATGTTACAGTCCATGTATTCTTAAAGATATTTAAAGTATAAAAATTTGGCTTCTAGCATTGTGATTCAGTTTATATTAGCTATTTCACACAAATGTCAAAACCAAAACCCAAATATGGCAATAATCGTGCATAAATACTGTAACACTAAGCCAACGTGCAGGTTGGGAGAAGGATGAGTTAAATAGCCAAAGCTGTAAAGGTCAATACTGTATAATGGTTTTAGTTGTGTTTAAAGTAAAAAATTCCTGCCTGGATTCTGAGTGACTATTCATATTCCTTCTCTGAAAATGTCTTTAAGCTTTGTTTCTTTAAGACATATGAACACAAAAACATTATCACCTCTTTAAAAATTACTCAAGCTTTGAGCACATGTGTAAAATCAAGTACCTGCTTCCAGACATTCTTGTCATTTAGACGACATTATTTTAGATATTCTATGGAAGATTTTTTGGTCTGTTATTGATTACCTATCTTTCATTAATTATTTTATTAAATTGTAAAATCATATGCTCTTTGTAAAAAAATACAGAAACATATTTTTGAAGCAATTTTAATCTTGTTCTTTATGTGTACATATTAAGTATCAAATATGGTAGTTATATAATATATACCTATATAAATATATATACATATATTTCATACACATATAAATTTGTTAAAATTTTTGCTAAAGTCAGGAGCAGTTTGATCTTTAAGAACATATCGAATAAAAAAATGGTAAGTATGTGACATGATGGATATGTTAATTTGTCTGATTTAATAATTTCACAAGGTATACATATACTAAAATATCATATTGTACCCCTTAAATTAAAAAATATTAAACAAGGAATTAAAAAACAGAAAACATATTGGTTCCAGGTCAGTATGTTTGAAATAACTTCTAGGAGACAATTTCAAAAACAAAACATATTATTTACCTTCCTTAATTCCCTAAATGTCACTGCAATGTTCAAAAATAATAAATGACAGATATCTTGAGAAATTCTTAAAGGATACTGAATAGGTGAGTAGGATTGAGAAAGAGCTAATTAGTGTTGAGCAGGTCAGAGAGCTACTGGGGCAATGGGGGTGGACCCCCCAGCAGCTCATTGGGAAACCTTTCAGCTCAGAGCTGCGGCAGCTGAGAGGGGAAACATGCCAGGGCTGAGGAAAGAAGGGGAATGGAGGGTCTCTGGAAAACAGGTTCGAGGCTTGTGACAGGAAAAGCTGCATTTGTTACTTGGTAGTTCTTGGTAGCTAAGTAAAGTGGGGGATTTGCTGGTGCTTCTAGTCAGTGCCCTATATAACTGCACAGTGTTGCCCAAAACACAAACTTTTTAGCATAGAGGATGAAACAACACAAAAAAGCTCAGCAAAGCAGTGAGTTCCTCCCTGTAACATCCTCTCATTACTTCCCACTGGAATGCACAAATGTGTTCAGACTCAGAGAGCCTGTCGACACCCTCGGTTGAGGCCACAGGAGTAAGTCAGGGCTCTTGTGTCTCTTGCTAGTGACTTTCACAGAGAAGGCAGCTGGAGTTCAACTTTAAGGCATCACTTCAGCTCTCCTGTCTGAGAGCCCTCAAGCCACCACTTTGCTCAAATATAGCTTCTACCCCTGGTGGGCTCCCAGCTTGTGAGCCCCAAAGGGGAAAGGAAAAAGGAAGCAGTGGCAATTGTCTGATGGGCAGAAGTATATAGTGACCCACCCCGCCCGCACTACCCACCAACACTGATTCTTTTAAGAAATGTAAGCAGAGAAAACTCCTCATGCACAAGAAGAAAAGCAACAGCTTAAGAGAAGGAAGACTAACAGGAATAATCATATAAATGGCCCCCACCCTAAACAGAACATGCACAGGAACAGGAGGGAATTTCAAAGATGAGCATATTACAGTAGCCCCCACTTATCCAAAGGGACATGTTCCAAGAGCACCAGTGGGTGCCTGAAACTGTGCAGAGCACTGAATCCTAAATATGCTGTTTTTTCCTATATGTACATACCTATGATAAAGTTTAATTTACAAATTAGGCATAGTAAGAGACTAACAACAATAAACTAATAATAAAATAGAACAATTGTAACAATAAACTGTAATAAAAGTTATGTGAATGTAGTTTTTCACTCTGAAAATATTTTCTTGTACTGTACTCACATCTTTTCAGAATACAGTTGACTATGGGTAACTAAAACCACAGAAAGTGAAACTGTGGATAAGTGGGGACTACGCTATATGCAAGAAGAAAATAGAGCAATGTTTATAAAATTCTGTAATAGCGAACTTAGTGTTAACAGTAAGAGCAAGAGAAAGATATTTTAAGACATACTAGTACTCAGAAAATATATTAACCTAAGTACAATTTTTCTGAAAATAACTTGAGAAAATACTTCACCAAAAGAAATAGGGGAAAATGTGGTGTATAAGAAAAAAGGTGGCAATAAGGCTGGTAAAATTTGTTTATTACTGATAATATGGTTGTGAATTATTAAGAAAGGATTTATAAAATGGAAGGCACAAAAAGTAAAACAAAATTAATCATCCAGAAATTAAACTTCCATATTATTTCAACAAAACCCAGAGGCAGGCAAGGGGAATAAAAGCTTTCCCATTAAGTATCTGCTTTTGGAGAAAAAAGAAAAAAGAAAGCTTTCCCAAAGGAAAGGTCTCATCTTGTTTGGTAAACAAAGGTGAAGATACTGTTACAATTTTAAAAGTCCTAGGGGAAACAGGGTTCATCCAGGTTTGTTAGAAATGAGTTAAGTTCTAGACTAGAATTAAGATTCAGAACCTCCAAGTGTATCTGACAGGAATAACAATAAAAGATGAGAGCTAGTAACTAGTCTTGATTCAGGGGAGAGGGGACCCCACAATTCTGTAATACGCAAGGTCCCCGTCTTCATGTAAGTGCTGTGGATCTGCTGTGCTGTGCGTAAGAGAAGCAGAAGGGCAGTTTACATTGCCATGGCCACATATAAAAGCTTAAGTATCCCCAATTTCCTTAACTGAAAAACAGTGGCATTTAGTATAGGCTGGTTTGAGATTAGAGTAACAGAATAATTTAAGAGCAAAATCAGCTGTGGACATTGCCGATGGCTGTGAAGGGTAATTACGTGCTAGTAACTGACTTAAGGCAAACAACCGATAATCAAAGGAAAGAGTGGAAGGGCATCTCAAAACAACTAGAAGGTTATTTTTCTTCCAAATGATTGCTTTAAATTGGGATCTCATTTCCTGTGACCTTTCTGTAAATTACATTATTAATATTTATGTTAATATCTTTAATGCAAAGTTATCCTGTTTTCTAAAACTAAAACCTCCTGCACCAAATTGGCTATCTATGGGTCTCAGCTTGGAGATGTGTGGAGAATCCTCTCCTCAGGATAATGTTACTGAGACTGCAGGGTGACTTGTCCTGATTTAGGGTGGTAAGTTGAAGGCCAGGGATTCTTAAACTCCAGATTAGAGATTCTCAAGACTCTCTTCAGTTTTCTGTTTTAACTTTTTACTACAGAACATTTCAAACAAAAGTATAAACATATATAAAACTGAAAATAGCAGAATGAACCTCACACACATTTCTCACAATTTGAAAAACTGTCAACAACACATGGCCAACCTTGTTTCATGTATACCTAGCTTCCACATCCCTGGATTACTTTAAAGAAGGGCTCAGACATGTCATTTCACTGTCAGGTAGTTTGCTGTCTCACTATTTAATGATGTAAAGGCTACATTTTCCTGAGCAGGACCATGATGTGTTCTGAGTATTCTGTTATTATGATTATAAGTTAGGGCAGTGGTCCCCAACCTTTCTGGCACCACAGATGGGTTTTGCAGAAGAAGGGCAATTTTTTCACAGATGGGGGTTAGATGGGTGATGGTTTCAGGATTGTTCCACCTCAGATCATCAGGCATTAGTTAGATTCTCATAAGGAGCACACAACCTAGATCCCTCACATGTGCAGTTCACAATAGGCGTCGTGCTCCTATGAGAATCTAATGCTACTGCTGCTCTGACAGGAGACAGAGCTCAGGCGGTAATGCCAGTGATGGGGTGTGGCTATAAATACAGGGGAAGCTTTGCTCGCCCTCCGGCCGTTCACCTCCTGTCGTGCGGCCTGGTTCCTAATAGGTCTCAGACTAGTACTGGTCTGCAGCCTGGGGTTTGGGACCCCTGCGTTAGGGTGTGCTTTAACAATAAAAACTAGAGTAATTTTATTGGAACAATTTTTAAAAAATTCAACAGATACCTATAAAGGGCCTACTATACACCAGACATGAGTATCAATGGACAGAACTAACTAAATATGCACATTTTGACTTGAGTTTTCTAACAACTAAACTGATCATAAAAGAAGTCTGTGTTGCATTATGAGGAGGTGAGGTCTCCTTTAGTACAAAGCATTCAAGCAGAAGCTAAGATGTTGCATTAGGTTAGACTTGGGCAAGATGCCTTTTGAGATTTTCCCCATCTCTAATATCTTGTTTTTGTAATTAAAAAAAATGTAAATGAATAAATGCCAAGGAAGAACTTGGGACCCTAAATTATATGCATACATTTTCCCACGTGGATAATTTCTAAATGATCAATATAAAAAAAGTCAGACCTTCTTTTGCCTCACCCTGAGAACTGCCTACTCTCTTTAGCATATTATTATTATTATTATTATTATTACAACTGGGAATTGGAATATCTTATCAATGTTACAAAAACCCTATGCTCTGATTCCCATCCGTTCTACCTGGCTGGGGACCTCTGTGCGAGGGAAGAACTTGCAGACTTGAGCATGGAAAGCAGTGGAGTCGCAGGCCCTCATGCTAGTCAGCAAAACTCACAAGTATAGACAGTTCAATCACATTCTATTTTAAGAGTATAAAACAGAACTTTTAGTATAAAAGTAGTTTCAAGGCTTGAATAAAAGAACTTGCTGAGCACAGGGAGAACTTGATTTGTTTTAACAATATACAGATTAATATCTCTTGCACTTGAAATTTTCCTTAGTACTTAATGCGTAACATCTGTCCTAGAAAGAATTGATCTTTAATCTGTTCAGGTATGCACAGGCACATACCACATTCAGATGAACTAAGTAATAAATCTGTCTTTTTTTTAAGCTTCAGACTTGAGAAAATAGTTCCTTTAAAGTACACTGGCTCCAGCCTGGCCAACATGGCAAAAACTCGTCTCTACTAAAAATACAAAAGATTAGCGAGGCATGGCAGCACATGTCTGTAATCCCAGCTACTTTGGAAGCTGAGGCATGAGAATTGCTTCAACCTGGGAGGCGGAGGGTGCAGTCAGCCAAGATCGCGCCACTGCACTCCAGTCTGGGCAATAGACCGAGACTCTGTCTCAAAAAAGTTTATTGAAGTACACTGGCAAAATTCAAATGAAAGAAGGAAAAATCCCACAGTTATCTCATTAAACAGAAAGAAAACAATATTTTGAAAGAGAATTATTAATTTAAATTTAATGTATATTTTTGAAGCAAATCACACTTATGCTAGGTTGGAGCAAAACAGTTAGTTTTACAGGAGCCCATTAAAATAATGAGAGGAAAAACTCACTGTCACTCATCATGTGTTACTCTTTCTGTGCATTTTTGGTGTAAGCCTGAGAAATTACGTAAATTAGAGTTTCTAGTCACACAGAATCTGCAAAAGATGGGTAGACTTGAGAAGTTAAACCAGGAAAGGCATTTCAATCTTTTCAAGAAATGAATGACTGACTTAGTTGTGTCCCTAATATCAGCAAACAGGTCAAGGTGGAAATCTGACTTTGAATTGGAGTTTCACCTATTTTGGTAGAATGCTTCTTAGAGACACAGATGAGTCAGAGGCATCAAGTGTTGCTTAAGTACTAGAGAAGAAGGGAACACTGTTAATCAAGATAGCCAATCCATGCCTCAAAAGATAGCTGGACATTTATTTGACATAAATTTATTGAATGTCTCCTATGTACCAGGCCCTGTGTTAGGCACCCAGCAATCAAAGACAAATAAGACAGAGGCTGCTCTTAAGTTGCTTAGATCATTAAAGCATACTAGGAGTAAGAGAGATGTTAATGTGAATGACACAAATAAATAAGCCTAGATTTCAGAGTGCTTGCCAAGCATTCTGAAATGGATGGATGAAGGAGAGATTAAATGTGATATTAAAATAAATGAAGACTAAAAATACGCTGCTTTTCACCAAGAAGGATGATGCTCGTGAGCAAAGGTAAAATAACTGATTTTATTTTATTTTTTTATTTTTTTTTTTGAGACAGAGCCTTGCTCTATAGCCCAGGCTGGAGTGCAGTGATGTCACCTTGACTTACTGCAACCTCTGCCTCCCAGGCTCCAGCCTCAGCCTCCTGAGTAGCTAGGACTACAGTCACGCGTCACCACGCCCAACTAAATTTCGTATTTTTTATAGAGACAGGGATTTCACCATGTTGGCTGGTCTGGTCTTCAACTCCTGACTTCAAGTGCTCTCCCTGCCTCAGCCTCCCGAAGTGCTGGGAGGACTGATTTTTTTTTGAGATGTTTTCATCCTAGAAATTGTGTGACTTCTGTTTGGTTCCCCTGGGAACTCAAATCTGCAGCAGTTAAATGACTGTCCTGGATTTAGTAGTTTATCCCTAAGGAATCAAATCCCAAACTCTTACTCCAATACTCATTGTTTCAATTAACTGAACTTGGTTATTCTAATTACATACACAATTAGGTTAGCAAAAGTTTTAAGAATTTCTTGCCTTCTTATCTAGAGGTGTCCAGTTGAAGAAGGACAGAGATAAGGAATGTACTTCAACTCCAAAATTAACATCATACCAAATAAACAGTATATTTAAATTTTTTTAGCTTTAAAATAGCCAAATAATACTTTCTTGAAAATGGCAAAAGAGAGGACATGGATAATTAAAAGTATAGAAATGATTAGACTCATGTATCAGTATTTTGTGGCTGCAGTAATAATGAAGATAGGTGAAACTCTTAGCTCAAATAAGACTGAATTTGCTGTTTAGAAAGGAAGGATGCATGTTATATCAGTTTCATCTCTCAAAATAAATCTCAACACTAATACGTTCTGTTGCTTTTCTGGGTTCAGCTATTTATGCTTGTTTCAAAACTGTAATAAATATTTCTACAAAGTACATGTGCCTTTTTTGGTCACACAAATCAACATGGGTCTCTTGGTGTTGGCTATCACAATAGTAATGCAAAAACAGTCACCTCTAACACCAGTTCAGGATAGAACTCTCAGCAAAGTAGGAATAGGGAGAACCTCTTTAATATGATACAAAGCATCTACCAAAAAACTCTATAGCTAATATAACACTTAATGGCGAAAGCCAAAATGTTTTCCCCTTAACACTGGAAACAAGACAAGTGTGTCCACTCTCACCACTTATTCAATATAGTAAATGAAAATTCTAGCCAGCACAAGAAAAATAAAAGACATAGGGATTAGAAAGAAAATTATCTCTCTTTGCAGAAGACGAAGTTGTCTATGTAGAAAATCCCAAGGAATCTTCAAAAAACCCTCCTAGAACCAGTTAGTGAGTCAAGCAAGGTCACTGTATACAAGATCAATACACAAAAATAAATTTCATTTCCATACACTAAAATATGTGGAAGCAAAACTTAAAAACACAATATCCTCTACAGCCATCTTAAAGAAAATAAAATACTTAGGCATGCACTTAACAAAACATGTACAGGGTCTTTATGACAAACATGGGGGTCAGGTGGAGGATACTACTAGCATGGGTGGGAACTGGTTACAATGAAAAAATAAGTAACACAATGAGGAAAACAGAAGTCACGTTTCTCACTGCTGGAAGAGATATCTACAAAAACAGACGAAATTAGAAGGAACCCTGAAGTGCTCCATTTGGATGAAAAATGAAATTATTGCAACGAATTCATGGTTTTATAGTTAGCTCATACAAATGTAAATAGATGTAAAAATAGTTACAAATGTGTAGACTTGTATGTACATATGTGAATCCATACCTGTTTTCTCCTAGCTGTGTCCATTGAGAGAACCTGGAAGAAATGACAACCCAGTAGCAACGAGCACACTGGGCAACCATTTCAGGATGTGGTTTTGAAATACTGTTCTCTACTAAAAGAGAGAAATGTCTGATTCCTTGGAGAAATGTCTGATTCCAGGCTTGGGACAAGGGGGGTACAAGATGAACAGTAGAATGTCAATTGATGGAAATAGAGAATCATTATTTGACAAATGTAGAAGGTTGATTCAGGGAGTTGTCAATGTACTCTAAGGGTGCTAGGCAAAAGTTTCATAAAGAAAAGCCTATTAATGTAATATCAGAATATTGCCCCCCAAAACACTAATGAATTACAAAGGGGAAAACAGTGAGTTTAGGGTAGAGAAACTTGGTGATCATCAAGGTGACCAGGTGAACAAGGTTAACATCATGGTGGTAGGACAGGTGAACATCATGTGCTTCCTGATATGATGCACTGAGAAATGCACAGCATCAATTCTGCAACTCCTTGCAGTGGAATTTCTGCAAATAATTCATGACCTAAGTTGGGTAATGAGGAAACAGTGCTATCTCACAGAATGCAAAGCCTGGATTCTTTAAAACTGAAAAGGACATGAAAAATAAGAAAAGACTGAGGAACTGGTCCAGATTGAAGAAGTCTGAAAAGATGGGACAATTAAATGCAATAGATATTTCTGGACAGAATCCTGGGCCAGAAAGAAAAAACAATATTGTTGGGACAGCTGGTGAAATCTGAATGGGGTCTATGTATATAGACAGGATGGTGCTGTACTGGTTGATCTGATCTAGAGGGTTGTACATCGGAGCATGTCCTTGCTCTTTGGAATATGTGGAGAGAGGGGAAGAGAAAGAGAACAAAATTAAATGTTAGTACTTTACTCACCAATAACTTTAACAAAATAAGCATCTGCTTCAAAGTTATTTTTTAGTGTATGAATGGCAAAATCATTCTTTGTATATCCTTTACTTAGCACTACAATGTCCAAGATTCCCTGGAAAAAAACAAACAAAAATGGTAAGAACAAACTATTAGACCAACTAAAAAAAAAATGACCATTAAAATGCATGGCATATTGTTTATAAAGTAAATGTAGCCTTATTTATTCATCCTCATGTTTAAAATAAAATCGCTATTAAAAATAGGTAGTATATACACCCAAGTTTCAATAGTAAAATATAAATAAAATAAAAAACATCTGTAATTTTAGTCTCTGGAGATAATGATTAGCATTTTGCTATGTTTCTTTCCAGTCAAATTTGCATGAAGTTTCAAAGGCCCATGATGTGGACCTGCCAGACCCTTTCCAACCATCAGGGGGAGTACCTTTTCATCTGCCCTTGCCACCACAGCATTTTATCATTTGCTTTCAAAAAGGAGGGAGCTTTGCTAATTTTGTCGAAGGAAATAAATGTATGCTTATTTAAATTGATATTCCTTTGATTCTTTTCATGAAGTTGGTCATTTATCATATTTTTAAATATGTCAGCAACTTGGCTTTTTGTAGTAAACTATGTTCTAGTTTTGCAGAGTATTTTTGATGATATCAGTTTGTATAAGCCCTTTTATATTATGAATATTAACTATTTGACTTTCATAGAAAATTTATTTCCCAGTTTTAAAACAATTTTAAATTTCATTCATATTTTTGATGTACAGAAATTAAAAATGGATTTGTAGTCAATTCTCTTGCTTTGTCCCCTTGTGATATTTCTGTCAATTACTTTTATGGTTGGAATCTGCTAATGAAAAGTGAAATAACACAAGATTTGATTGCAGGAGAAACGGGAAAACAAGGACCTGAATAATTCATATAATTGAGAATAAGTCTCTTATAAAAAACAAAATAAAATCAAAAATGGGGTAAATGGGGACATAAATGTCCTATTGGGCACTTAACTTTTAAAAATAAATTATCTTACAAGGATATACTGTGATACATTAATTCTGGAATTTAACATTGCTTTTTTCAGAATTTATTATTTTTCAGAGCGGTAAACTGGCATTTCACCTTAGAAAGGGGAAAACTGGAACCTTAAAGCCTTTCATAAGGTCACCTGGCAATCAGTCAGAGTCACAAGAATCTGTGGAAATAGACGCTACTCTGCGTCACAAAGATAAAACTGAGCACTAAACTCATTCTTTTGTGATCTTGTGCAGATTCAAGGGTCTGTTATTTGTTGGCTGTAAATTTTTTTTTTTTTTTTTTTGAGACGGAGTCTTGCTCTGTCGCCCAGGCTGGAGTGCAGTGGCGCAATCTCGGCTCACTGCAAACTCTGCCTCCCGGGTTCACGCCATTCTCCTGCCTCAGCCTCCCCAGCAGCTGGGACTACAGGCACACGCCACCACGCCCGGCTAATTTTTGTATTTTTAGTAGAGACGGGGTTTCTCTGTGTTAGCCAGGATGGTATTGATCTCCTGACCTCATGATCCGCCTGCCTCGGCCTCCCAAAGTGCTGGGATTACAGGTGTGAGCCACCGCGCCCGGCCTGTTGGCTGTAATTTTGTCTACTGTTGAACATTCAGGTCTGCCAGTCTTAGAGCATGATGCTTTAGTGGTTTAATCCAAATATGCCCAAAATGAAGTAAGAGAGTTTTAATATTTGACTGTACTGATCAGCCAATGTTGTCAATAGATTTGTTTCATCTGTCATTTAACATTAAAAGGGGCTTTCCTTAATTAACTCATTTGCTTTTTGTTGTGTTGTCCACATTTTCTGGTCAAATGGAATGAAGCTAAAGTGTGACAAGGTGAAAGGCAATTAAACTTCAAACACACAGCCCAGCTCTGAACTCACATCTTCGTAAATGTCAAAGAAGGTGGCAACCATGGCATCCTTAATTTGATTTAGGTCTGTCAGCTCCCAGTAGACTTTAAACATTCGACGCGCCTCTTCACAGCTTGCATTATTACAAGGGACGTTCTCCAGTAAAAAGGCCTGCTGGTTGCTGTGCGCCAAAGGAAAGGCATTTCGTTAATATAAACATCAACACTGTGGCATCGGCTCTGTAGTATTTCCTAGATTAAAAGGAGACGGTAAACGGTACACAGTGAAATTACACGAAAAAATCTCCACATTTTTTGTTTATAGTACTGTCATTAAAAAATTGTTGGCTATCCCTTTTCAACCTTTGGCAAAAATCCTCTGATTTTGTAGGCTAGTTGGTTGCTGGCTTCTTTCCTTTTCTATGGAGTTTCCAAGTCCATCCCTTCTTCCTCATTTACTACTCTATAGTTATTGACCCTCAGTTCCTGCACACTGTCATTATCTGTTTAGATGTGTATTACTTTTCACTGAATATCTACATTTTAACTAGAATGTCTCATAAACTCAAAGCAATGAATCTATTACAACAGAATTTCAGCTGCTCTCATAGGTGGTAGGGCAGATATTGCCAAGCATCTCTCAGATAACAGAAGCATCATACGTTGCATAGCCATGAAGTCTTCCCTCTTGAATCCTACTCTAGAGGCAAAGTATTTATGAGCTTAGATTCTGGAGCTAGATTACCTAGATTCAAATCCTGGCTCTGTTATTTAGCAGCTCTGTGGCCTTGAGTGAGTTATTTAACCTCTAAGACTCAGATCCTCATTTGTAAGCTGTATAATAAGAGTACTTAGAGCATAGGTTGTTAACATGAAATCAAACACTGCAAGGAAAGTTACTTAGAACAACTCCTGGCATCCAGTTAGTACTCAATGAAAGTGTTTATATTATCTTCATTTTTACTATAGAATGCAATACAATGCCATGTAAAAATATTTTCTTTAGATACAGAAGTAACTTTGTAAAGTGTTATTTTATGTAATAGCTCCTAGGCATTTTCCCAAAATATGTATATTCTTTCACTTTTCTCTATGCATATAGAAAATAATAGATGATACGGCCTAAATTTTATTATTGTTTAATTTTTCTCTAATAATAATTACTTTTCATTTTTTCTTGAGACAGTCTCACTCTGTCACCCAGCTGGAGTGCAGTGGTGCAATCTCGCCTCACTGCAACCTCTCTGCCTCCTGGGCTCAAGTGACCCTGCCATCTTAGCCTCCGGAGTAGCTGGACTACAGGTGTGTGCCATCATGCCCAGTTAATTTTTGTATTTCTTGTAGAGACAGGGTTTTGCCATGTGGCCTAGGCTAGTCTCAAACTCCTGAGCTCAAGTGATCTTCCTGCCTTGGCTTCCCAAAGTGCTGGGATAATAGGTGTGAGACACCATGTCTGCCCTCTAATAATTACTTTAAATAAATCAGTACATAGAGATTTCTTTTGTTCATATAAAAATATTACTGTGGCTCTGGGTGAGTTTGATTATAAGAAAGCAAAATTTCTAAGCGTTTAACACAGAATAGAAACCAATGTACCAAATATTCAATTTGCATGATGTCTGGTAAATATATGATTGGATTCAAACTATTTTTCCAGATGAAAAATTCCAAAACAAATAGTTTACCAGAACAATTCTTTAACAAATGAAAAAAATCTTTCAGACCATAACATTTACTTGGAAAACTCTCAGGTGACTTTGTTCATGACCTATTATAGAACAGTATTTGTCCACTAGAAAGAATAAATGATTTCTTCTTTGTCTCCTGTCTAACAATGAATTTTAAAATTCTAATTTATAAAAATTTTTCCTGGTAACTTACCCATCCTACCCTTTTAGCTAAAGAGTTTTTCTAGATATTTCACAGAGATGTAGCACACTCTGTTATTAGAAGATTGTATTAAAACATGAGAACATGTGATAAAAGCGGACTTTCTACAGTATTCTATAATCTATGCATCATATGGTCAACATTTGAGTGAGCATGCATCCTTATTTTCCTTTGCAAAACTACTGCACATATTTCATTATTATAAGTCTGGTCACAATTTCAAATATACAACAACCTACAACAAAAACCCTTTTGCAGTCATGCAATTTAAAATGTTATTCCTTCTTTTGCCCACACTAGACATGGAACTGGTCAGCTATTTGGAGAGGCTGCTATGAACCAGTGCAGGTTTTCTGGACTCACAGTTTATGCAGATCTGCTGGATCTGGGTCCAGGGAGTCCCACTGATGGGCTGAGGCTGGCCATGCCCAGCTGGGGAGTCTCAGAGGAGCAGGGAATCAAAATGCTTCCTGGAATCACCACCCTGGTCTTCAAGTTCTGGCATGGAGTCATAGTTGCAGCAGACTATAGGGCTGCAGTGGGTGCTTACATTGCCTCCAGATGGTAAAGAAGGTGACAGAGATCAACCCCTACCCGAAGCCATCATGGCTAGGGGCACAGGGAACTGTAGCTTCTGAGAATGGCTGTTGGCTCGGCAAAGTCAAATGTATGAGCTTTGAAATAAGGAATGCATCCCTGTAACAGCTGCCTCCAAGCTGCCTGACAACATATTGTATCAGTACAAAGGCATGGGGCTGTCCATAGGCAACATGATCTGTGGCTGGGATAGGAGAGGCCCTGGCCTCTGCTACATGGACACTGAAGGGAATCAGATCTCAGGGGCCACCTTCTCTGTAGGTTCTTGCTCTGTGTATGCTTATGGGGTTATGAATCAGGGCTATTCCTATAACCTGGAAATGGAGCAGGCCTATGATCTGGCCCATGAGGTAAGCTACCAAGCCATCTACCAAGCCACCTGCATAGATGCCTACTCAGGAGGTGCTGCTAACCTCTACCATGTGCAGGAGGATGGCTGGATCCAAGTCTCCAGTGACAATGCAGTTGATCTTCATGACAAGTATGATGGATCTACCCCAGGAGGGAGGGTGATGTAGCTGTTTGCATTTCTTGGGTGACTGTCATTGGTAATATGGATACAGTGCTTCATCTTATCTCTAGTGGAGGGGTCTTCAACTGTATCAATACTTTTTTTTAAAGCTGTGGAACACTGACCTCTATGTGTTACCAGTCCTTAATGAGCTGCTGCAGAGGTGGCTATTTTACTTTCTTGGATGTTAAGGTACTCTACTCACTACTTTACCTGAATGAATGAATGAATGAATAAATAAATACATACATACATAAATAAATGAATAAAATGTCATTCTTAATTTTTGATATCAGTTGGTAAAGATTACAAATGTCTTAGAGCTCCCTAGCTACTTTGGTCCTGTATTGTGAAACATGAGGTTCGTAACAGTTCAGTTCTTTAAAATTCTACAGAGCTCTACAAGTAGAACCCAGCATCTTGCCTTTAAAAATAAAATTTGATTTAAGCCAAAGGAGGAAGAACCTTTACCCATTTGGTTTAGAAACTATTGGCGACAAACAGTCTTGCTTCTTTTTAGTCAGTTTCTCTATGTGTTCTTGGCAATTATAACTAATATATCTTAAACATTTTTTTATTAAAAATGATTACAAAAGCAATCATAACATTCAATAGAGAGATTTAAAAAGTCAAAATCCTTCCTTTCCAGGAATAATCAATGTTAATAATTTGGTATGCATCTTTCTAAGCTTTCTTCTAGGCACATATAAATATGTAAATACATATAACCTTAAAAAAAACCTAATTGGGTTCTGATACATATATTTTTCTATAATATTTTTCTTTCCACTACATTATATAGCACACACAAAAGGGAATGGGATATAGTCTGACTGAAGACTTTTGATCCCTATATTGAAAACATCCCCCATGAGAAGGTGTACCAATTTAAGTCTCCCATTAGTAGCCTATCAAATTGCCTGTTTCTACACAGTCTCATGTTTTTCCAATGGTTATTCCATTATATGGCCAAGCCATCATTCATTTTAACACTATGCTATTGATGGTCAGGTTATTGCCAACTGTTCTCTATTACACACACACACACACACACACACACACACACACACACACACACACAGAGATAGAGAGAAAATTTTTCTTTGGGAACTTGTACGAGAAATTCCAGATGACAGTCATCTGGTCAAAGGATATGGATATTTTAAATGACAACAGTTAAACCTAAATGGTCTCTGAAAAGCTATACCAACTTTTATTTCCAACAATGTATGAGCGTCTTTTCATATCTTGCCGGTATTAGTAACATTGCTTCTTACTCTTGACAGTTGAAGAGCTTAAAAACAACTTCATTCTTCTGATGATGACAGCAGCTGAGTATTACATTTATGTTTATAAGCCATTCACATTTTTCTGAAGAACTGCCAATTAAAATTATGTTCTCATTGATTTTTAGATCTTTTATTGTTAGAGACTTTAGCCACTTATCTGTTAGTCTCATATCCTTGTTTGTAAGATGGAAGTCATAATAGTACATTACCTTCAAACAGCTGTTCTAAGGATTGAATGAGAAAATACATTGTAAAGTGTTCAGTATAGTGCCTGGTATAGCACAGTACACATTTAATAACTGCTATTATTATTATTATTATTATTATGTACTGCTGTTATTATTACCTGATATGTTGTAAATACTTCCCAGCCTTTTATTTTTTTTTTTTAAATTTTGTTTACGGTACCCTTCACTAAAAGGTTTTTAATATTTATGTAGTCATTTATGTCTATATTTTTCTTTATAGCAGTATAAGAAATGTTAAAGGAAGTCTATCAGGCAGATGGAAAATGACACCAGATGACACTCTAGATCTACACAAAACAAGGAACACTGAAAATGGCAAACATGTAGGCAAACAGAAAAGTCTTTTTCTTATTATTTAAATTTATTTAAGGAGAATCAACTGTCTAAACAAACAAAAACCAACATAGTATGGTGTTAATAAGGTAGTAGATGTAAAATGTGTGATAAAAATAGCACTAAAACCAGAAGAGGAGAAATATAAATATACTATCATAAAGGTTCTGAAACTATACGTGAAGTGCTATAATACTGTTTGAAGATAGACTAGGATAAGTTAAAGATGTATAAACACTACAGTATTCACTAAAATAAGATTTCTAATGAATAAATCAACAAAAAGACAAAATAGAATCATAAAAATACTCACTTAATTTAAATGAAAACCTTTAGAAAGAGGACAAAAACCAGAAAGTAGATTTTGACAATATCAATACTGACATGAAATATAAAGGGTCTAAACACACAAACTACAAGCCATACGTTGTGAGATTGGATTAAAAAATGAAGACTCAACTATATATTGCCTCCAATATAAAGATACAAATAGGTAAGATGTAAAAGCAGTGATAAAAGATAGATCACCCCAAGGAAGGCAAAAAGACAACCCACAAAATGGGAGAACATGTTTGCAAATTATATCTGAAAAAGACTTGCATATGGAATATACAAGAAACTCTCACAATTTAATAACAAAAGACAACCTAATTTAAAAAATGAACTAAGTAGCTGAACAGACATTTTTTCAAGGAAAATATATACGAAAATATATACGAACAGCCAATATGCACATGAAAAGATGTTCAACAAAATTAGCCATCAGAGAACTCCAAATCAAAACCACAATGAGACAACACTTCACATCCAGTACAACAGGTAAAATTTTTTTGTTTGTTTGTTTTTGTTTTTTTGTGATGGAGTCTCGCTCTGTTGCCCAGCCTGGAGTACAGTGGCACAATCTCGGCTCACTGCAACCTCTGCCTCCCGGGTTCATGTCATTCTCCTACCTCAGCCTCTGGAGTAGCTGGAATTACAGGCGCCTGCAATCATGCCCGGCTAATTTTTGTACTTTTAGTAGAGATGGAGTTTCACCATGTTGGCCCGGCTGGTCTTGAACTCCTGACTTCAAGTGATCTGCCCACCTGGGCCTCCCAAAGAACTGGAATTACAGGCGTGAGCCACTGCACCCAGCCAGACAGCTATAATTTTTAGAAAAAGATAGATAATAACTAGTGTTCAAGAAAATGTGGAGTAATTGGAAGCTCATACACTGTTGGGAGACATGTAAAATGGTACAGCAGCTTTGAAAAACAGTCTAGCAGTTACTCAAAAGATTAAACATAGAGTTAAAATTTGACACAGGATTTTATTCCTAGATATATTCCAAGGAAAATGAAAACATGGCTACACAGAAACTTATATGGAAAAATGTTCATAGTCGTAGTATTTAAAGGGATCAAAAGGTAGAAACTATCCAAATATCTATCAATTGATGAATGGATAAACAAAATGTGGTATATCTATATAACAAAATTCTATTTGGCCAAAAAAGGAATCTATTATACAAAGACATGGCTGAACCTTAAAAACATGCTAAGTGAAAGAAGCCAGTCACAAAGGACAACATATATTCCACTTATATGGAATGTTCAGAATAGGAAAATCTATAGCGATGGAAAGTAGACTAGTAATTAGCTGGGGCTGAGGGAATTGGAGGAAAGGGGGAATGACTGCTTAAGGGGTAAGAGCTTCATTCGGGGTTAATGAAAATGTTCTAAACTTGAAGGTGATGGTTATATAACTCTATGCATATTCTAAAAACCATTGAACTGTATACTTTAAGTGGGTGAATTGTATGGCAAGTGATTATATCTCAACAAAACTATTTACATAGGTTAAAAACAGATATAGCAAGTTAAGGCAAATAAAAAGAAAGCTGGAGTGACAATATTAATAAGAGAGAAGGTAGACTTCAGAACAAAGAATATCACCAGAACAAAGAGAGTCATTTCATATAAAAGAGTCAGTTCTAGAGAACATAAGAATCCTAAATGTTTATAGGCCTGATGACATAACTTCAAATAACATGAAACAAAAATTGAAAGAACTGTGGAAGAAACAGACAAGTTCACAACTATAGTCACGGATTCCAATATGTCTCTTTTAATAATTGATAAACTAAAAGACATAAAATCAACGAAGATAAAGAAGACTCAAACAATAATAACCAATTTCACCTGACTGACGTTTATTGACCACAACCCAGCAACACCAGAATATATAATCTTTTGACGTAACATGAAATATTTATCAAGATAGAGCATATTCTGGATTCTGAAACAAGTCTCAATAAATATAAAATAATTTAAGTCATACAAAATATTTTCTCTGATCATAATGGAATTAAATGGGAAAGCAATAACAGTTATTTCAAAAATTTCCAAATTTTTTTAAAACTGAAAATAAAACACTACTAAATAAACCATGAGTACAAAGAAAAATTCGAAAGTACTTTGAGCTGCATAAAAATGAAGCCATCAAGATTTGTTGTATGTCACTATAGTAGTATTTAAAGGACTATTTATATCATTAAACACCTATAGTAGAAAAGAAGAAAAGTCTCAAACAAATGACCTCAGTTACCTTCTTAAAAGCCAAAAATAGAAGAGCAAATAAAATGTAAATTAAGGAGAAAAAAGTAAATAATAGTAGAGAAAATCAGTGACATAGAAAACAGGAAAAAAATAGAGAAAAATCAATGATAACAAAAGCTGGTTTCTTGCAAAAAACAATAAAATTGATAAGCCTTCACTCAGAATGGCCATTAAAAAAATAAAAAGGAGAAAAGGTAAAAAGTACCAATATCAGAAATGACAGAGTTAACATCACTACAAATTTTAGGGATTTTAAAAGGATGATAAGGGAATGTTATAAAAAACTTTGTGCCAATACAATTGATAAGTTAGATGAAATGGACGAATTCCCTGGAAGTCACAAAACACCAAAGCTTACTCAAGAAGAGATAAATTGAAATTGCAGTGTAACAGTCTCCAAAAAAGAAAACTCCAGACCGAAATGGCTTCACTGATGAATTCTACCAAATATTGAGAGAAGAAATAATACACGTACTACACAAACTCTTTAGAAAATAGATGAGAAAGACATACTTCCCAACTCATCCTGTGAAACCAGTGTTAAACACCCAAATGAAAGACATCATAAGAAAACTACAGACCAATATTCTTCATGAGGATAGATGCGGTGTTTTAAAACAAAATTCTAGCCAATCAAATTCAATAATACAGTCAGATCTTGATTTGCACAGTTCAGTGTTCATTGAAACGTGTGCATTTTTTGAACCATGTCTCTGCTCTGTGATTACCAGCCAATCACACAGAGAGGACATATTTCTGATAAGAGCATGTTTCAGTGAACACAGCATCTTGCAAAGTGAACACTGTAGGAATATTATAATTACTAAAATCATGACCAAGTTGAATTTATTGCAGGAATGCAAAGTTCCTTTAATATTCAAAAATAAATCAGTGTAATTCATTAGTTTAACAAACGAAAAAAAGGAAAATAATACAATCATCTAATAAAAGGCAGAAAAAGGATCTGACAAAATCCAAAACCCATTTCTGATCTAAACTCTCAGCAAACTAGGAATAGAAGAAAAATTCTCAACACTGTAAAGGGCATCTACAGAAGACCTACAGTGAACATCATACTAATGGTGGAAGACTGAATGCTGTCCTCCTAAGGTCCCTGTTCTTACAAGGCAAGAATGCGTGCTTTCACCACTTCCACTCAGCAATGAATATACAGGTTCTAGCCATTGTAAAAGGAAAGAAAAACAAAGGACATCCGGATTGGAAAGAAAGAGGTAAAACTGTCTTTATTTGCAAGTTATATGGCCATGTACTTAGAAAAATCATATGAGATCTAGGAAAAAATTACTAGAACCAGTAAGTTTGGCTAGGTGGCAGATATAAATACAATAGTCAAGAACAATGGAAACTGAAATTAAAAATACTGGCTGGGTGCAGTGGGTCACACCTACATGTAATCCTAGCACTTTGGGGAGGCCATGACAGGAGGATTGCTTGAGCCCAGGAGTCTGAGACCAGCCTGGGCAACATAGAAAGACCCTGTCTCTATTAAAAAAAAAAAAAAAAACTTGAAAAAAAAAAAGTACCAGGCATAATAGCATCAAAAATATAAACTACTTAGGTATAAATCTGACAAAAGATGCATAAGACCTGTACATTGAAAACTAGAAACACTGTTAAAAAATTAAACATCTAAAATAAAAAAGCTATATATGCACTACATTCATAGTCAGAGGATGCAATATTGTTAAGATGTCATTTATCCCCAAATTGACCTATAGTTTCATTGTAATCCCAATAAAATTCTCAGCAGACTTTTTATTTGTATTTCTTTTGCAGAAACTGACAAACTGACCCTAAAATTTATAGGAAATACAAAGAAACTAGAACAGCCAAAATAACTCTGGAAAAGAAGGAGGGCATATACTATCTGAATTGACTACTCATTTTAAACAATAGTAATCAAGTGTGGTACTGCCACAAAGATGGACAATAGATCATGGGAACAGAAAAGAGAATGAAGAAATATACCCAAACATATATTGTCAACTGATTTTCATCATGGATCAAAGGCAATTGAGTGGAAAAAGAAAATATTTTCAATAAATGGTGTTGGAACAATTTACAAAAAAGGAACTCGGATATAATGGATCACAGACCTAAATTGTAAAATCCAGACCTCTTCAATTTCTAGGGCAAAACATTGTGTTAGGTAATGATTTCTTAGTTACGACACTAAAACCATATCTATAAAAAAAATTGAAATATGGTACTTTCCCAAAACTAGATACTTCTCCCCTTTGAAAGACATTGTTCAGAAAATGAAAAGATAAGCTAGAGATCTGCAAGAAAATATTTGCAAATGACATATCCAATAACAAAGGACTTGTACCCAGAATATATAAAAATCTTTCAATATTCAATAATAAGAAAACAAATATCCTAATTTATTAAATAAACTAAAATTAAAACTACAAGAACATCTACTACAAACAGAACAGATAAAATTAAAAAGACCAACCATACCGATTTTGGAGAAAATGTGGAGAAACTGGCATGTCTGCCATTTTCTTAAAAAGTTAAACATGCATGTTTCAAAAGACATAGCTACCCCATTCCTTGGTATTTACAAAGGAAAGCACATGTTCAGACAATAACTTGTACATGAATGTTCACAGCTGACTATTTGTAGCAGTCAGACCTGATATAGATCTAATTGCTCATCAACGTGTAAATGGATATAAGCAAATTGTGATGCATCCATACAATGGAATATTCCTCAGGAATAATAAGCAAAGAGCTAAAGATACATGTAAAACCATGGATAAATCTCAATATTATTATGCAGCGTAAGAAAACCCAGACATAAAGGAACAGATATTGTGTGATTCCATTAATATAAAATATTAGAAAATGCAATCTAATCTACAGCGACAGAAAGCAGATCAGTGGTTTCCTGTGGGATGGGGAAAGTGCTGATTACACAGGGTTAAGAGGAAACTTTTGTGAGTGATGGATATGTTCATTATCTTGATTGTGGTGATATTTTATAGATGCATTTGTATACCAAAACATATCGACTTACAACCTTTAAAGATAAGTAATTTACTCTGCCAATTAAACCCCAATTAAGCTATTAAAAATACATGAAACTCTCATGATAAAAGCACAAATAAAAATAACAAAAATAAACTTGACATCATCAAGTTTGTGCTTCAAATACTATCAAGAAAGTAAGATGACAACCCACAGAAAGGGAGAAAATTTTTGAAATCTCATATTTAATAGGGGACTTGTATCTAGAATGTATTAAAGAAATTTTACAACTCAATAGCAAAAAGACAAATAACCCAATTATTAAAAAAGCAAAGAATCTGAATAGTTTTCCAAGGAAGAGATACAAATGGCCAACAAGTACGTGAAGAAAGCTCAACATCATTAGCCATTAGACAACTGCAAATCAAAACCACAATTAAATAACACTTCACACCCACCAGGATGGCTAAAATAAAAAAGACAGGTAACAGAGGTTGGTGAGGATATAGAAAAACGAGAATACTTGTATAATGTAGACGGGAATATAAAATGGCAAACCTGCTTTGAAATACAGTCTGGTGGTTCCTCAGTTAAAAACAGAGTTCTGGCCGGGGCACTGGCTCACGCCTGTGATCCCAGCACTTTGGGAGGCCGAGGCGGGTGGATCACGAGGTCAGGAGATTGAGACCATCTGGCTAACATGGTGAAACCCCGTCTCTACTAAAAATACAAAACAATTAGCTGGGCGTGGTGGTGGGCGCCTGTAGTCCCAGCTACTTGGGAGGCTGAGGCAGGAGAATGGTGTGAACCCGGGAGGCAGAGCTTGCAGTGAACTGAGATCACACCACTGCACTCCAGCCTGGGCGACAGAGCGAGATTCCATCTCAAAAACAAACAAACAACAAAAACCAGAGTTCCACCTCTAAAGAATATTCTACTCCTAGGTATATCTCAAGAGAAATGAAAACATGTCTACATAAAAACTTGCATATGAATGTTCACAGCAGTATTCATAATAGCCAAAAAGTGCAAAAAACCCATATGTCCATCAACTGAAGGATGAATAATGAAATGTAGTATAACCATATAATGGTCTGTTGACAACAGAAAGAAAGGAATACTGCTACACACTACGACATAGAAAAATCTTGAAAACATTATACCAAGTCAAATAAACCAGTCATAAAGTAACACATATTGTATAACTGCATATACAAGATGTTCAGAACAGGTCCAATTATAGAGACAGAAAGCTACAGAGACAGAAAGCTATAGAGACAGAAAGAAGATTAGTGGTTTCCTAGGTCTGGTGGCAGTGGACGAAGTCGTAGGGGAATTGGAGAGTAACAGCTAAGGTGAATGGGGCTTCTTTTTAGGGTAATAAAATGTCCTAAAATTGCTTGTGATGATGGATGCACAACAATATGAATACATTTTTTTTTAATTGAAGTCCAGCTCTGTTGCCCAGGCTGGAGTACAGTAGTGTGATCTCGGTTCACCGCAATCTCTGCCTCCCAGGTAGAAGTGATTCTCCTGCCTCAGCCTCCTGAGTAGCTGGGATTACAGGCACGCGCCACCACGCCCAGCTAATTTTTGCATTTTTAGTAGAGATGGGGTTTCACCATGTTGGCCAGGCTGGTCTCGAACTCCTGACTTCAAGTGATCTGCCTGCCTCGGCCTCCCAAAGTGCTGGGATTACGGGCGTGAGCCATTGCGCCCAGCCTGAATACACTTTTAAAAGCCACTAAATTGTATAGAATAAATGGGTGAATTGTATGGTGTGTGAATTATATCTCAACAAAGTGGTTAATACAAAAGTTAACTGCAGAACATTTCAACCTATTTAAAAAACCCATGGTAAATGTTTAAGTGACATAATGTGTAAAATGTACATATTAAATGTTGCTTCTCTGAATATGCCAATATTTGTATATCTAGTATGCAATTTTTTTGAGGCTGGTTTTAATTTATCTTCAAAGGCTATAAAATTGGTGGTGTTACTCAATACACTACCACTTGATGAGGTCTGGGTTATTCTAGGTGGTTAATGTGCTGTAAGCAACTGTCTTACTTCTCATTAAGAGAGGTAGCTTATGGATCATTTAACTTAAAGTCTGATTTTTCTCCTTGGCTGTCCTTAGAGCTCATGTCCATTTTAGTCATTTCTATATTCAGTGAGTTCTCCTCTTCCAGACTGTCTTTAACTCTCTTCCTTAATTCCCCAATTTCATTATCAGCCTAGACTCAAATGGAAAGAGCTTCAATGTGGGGATACGTCTGTCTTACTGTATAAACCTTAGGAAAGCCAGTTCTACATGGAGAAGAAAAACAAATTAAGAAGAAACACAAATAAGTCCATTAGGAATCCTCTAAAAATTAAACATTAAAAAAATGATGCTCTGAAACCCATGCTGCCTACTATCGGTAAGTGCAGAATGCTTAGCTAAGCTGATATAAAACTTTCACTTAGAAATACTAAATATTATTGAAGTGTTTTGCAACATATGCTACTGACAACAAGAAATAGTCAAAGGCAATTAATTGATATTCACAATAAAGTTCACTTTATCTCTGGGCAAATGCAATCCATTTATCCCCAGTCAGTGTCTAGGATATGTGACTCAGTGGGGGAGACAGCACATGTTACCTGAATGAAAAAAGGAAGCGAGCATCTTTTGTAGAGGGAGGCCAACTGAAAGGGAAACCTAATGGAATATAACACTGTGACTGCTGAAAAGTTTCTGTCAAATAGGTGAGTAGAAAATATTTTGTCATGTTTTAATTTACCTATATTCAAAAGAATCTATTAGTTTGTTTGTTTATTTATTTATTTATTTATTTATTTAGAGATGGAGTCTCACTCTGTTGCCCAGGCTGGAGTGCAGTGGTGTGATCTTGGCTCACTGCAAACTCCTCCTCCAGGGTTACTACAAAATATTCATTAGCTCATAAAAGGTAAGAAATCCATGTACTTTAATAACTATGAGATACAAGAATTAATCGGCTGGGCGTGGTGGCTCACGCCTGTATTCCCAGCACTTTGGGAGACCGAGGTAGGTGGACTGCTTGAGGTCAGGAGTTCAACACTAGCTTGACCAACATGGTGAAACCCCATCTCTACTAAAAATACAAAAATTAGCTGGGTGTGGTGGTGGGTGCCTGTAATCCCAACTACTCGGGAGGCTGAGGCAGGAGAATCGCTTGAACCTGGGAGGTGGAGGTTGTGGTCAGCCAAGATTACGCCATTGCACTCCAGCCTGGGGGACAGAGGGACTCCATCTCATAAAAAGAAAAAAAAAGAACTAACCAAATGTAAGATTCAATCTTATCATCTTGAGAAAAGTTTGACCATGCTGAGTTAACAGAATTGCCCACCTTAAGAAGGTGCATTTATCCTATCAATGAAAGTGTATTAAAGTAAGATTAAACCAGGAATGTATATAAAATCAGCTATTAAATCCTTTGCTAAGCAGAGAACAGAACACTTAGACAATTAACTAAAACTTGGGCTGAAAGAAAGAACAGATGTAACACAATTAGCCCTTCTAGTAAAAAAAACTGAAAACTTTTTTCCTTTTCAGGTTACTGTTGGCCTTAGGTGACCCCAAGTGACCCAATTGAAGATTTAAGCTTCACATGCTATGAGATGAAATTCTCTCTTCTTATTATAATGGTAGCTTTAAAACTGCCAAACAATAGAATACCTATGATAATGAAAATTTGTAGAAAATACCACTAATAAACTCTCACTTCTATATATCCTTATATAGACGTAACAGCTTGTTACGTCTGCTAACAAGCTGTTGAAGACGTAGAGAGATGAACTACAGTGGGAAAGGCCATTAGTCCAATAGATGTTTTGTGGAACAAAATCTGAGTAAGTCTGCTTAAATACCATAGCCATAATGAAAAAGCCTTTCAGAAAGTCCATGATTGTTCCTTCACTCTTTAGAATTCTATTTCAAACTCTGTAGTATGTAAAGAATTGAAATATAATTCAAACTCTGTTCACTATGGGAAGAAGGGGAGGGAAGGAATTTCTAAGACTTATGAACAATAGAATTTTGAAAGTGTGGCTAACACAACCAGGGATTTTATCTGGTGAATTTTACATATCACATGTCTGTTATTTTTAATAGTTTCCTCTGCTTGGGTTCATGTTCATAAATCTTTTGCTAAATTTCCACATGTACCTGACATGTATGAATCTGTTATTCTACTCTGTTTAGCTGACATTGAATGTCTACTTCCTGAAAGGACCTGGAATAATATATTTTCTTTGGATTTGAGAATCCCAGTCCTCTCCTTTGTTATTATATTTCTTCAACTGCTGTTTTTGGATTATACAGGGCACTGTTTGTGAAATGTCACTTATGGGGCTAAATAATAATGCTATCAAGTAAATACACAATAATAGGTATTTATAAAATATAGCTATATAAAATACAGTACATTTTATATGAGAGAGTTGCATCACACAAGCATAGCTTCTCAAGCTAGTAAGATAAAAATCACGTACATGCTGGAGTTAATCCACACAGATTTAACGTTCTGAATCCAACTGCATGCTTGACATGCTGTAGGAGATCAATATATAATCTGTTTTTCACCAACTGTAGAGGTATAGTAAAAAGGCTAGAGAATTGTGTTTTCATATGTAATCTTCTCCATTTTATCTTACAATATATATTACTGTATATGTATAGGGAAGATGACACAAATCCATATATGTATATTTTAACTTGTGAGTGATTTAATGGATTTTAAAGAGTAATTCTGCCATTTTTAGACTGACTTTAAAACCTAATTTGTGATTCTGCCACATATCAAAATGCAAACAGTGATCATCTCTGGGTGATTTTTAAGCTTTTAAAATTTGTACTTCCTAAATTGCTATAATCTGTGATTAGAAGAATAAATAAAATAAAAAGTACTGTACTATATTTACATTCTATTAAGTCATACATGGTTCTGTTACATATTACAAAATAAACTCTTCTGAATAAAAAGAATGTATGGTCATGAACAAGTCAATGATACCAAATAACACCATGACTACTCAACACTGTAATGAAGGTCCTGGCCAATGCAATAAGACTAAAAAAGAAAGAAGAGATACAATACTTACATAGCAAGAGATCATTTTTATTTTCAAATGAAATAATTATCTATATAGGAAATCCAAGAGAATATGCCAATTATTAGAATAAGAAAATAGTCAGATTGATGAATATAAGATCCACATACCAAAATCAATAGCCTCCTTAAATTTCAATAATAGTCATTAGAAAAGTAATAGGAAAAAAAAATCTCATTCAATAACAATGAAATCTCTAAGTTTTAAAAAATAATCTAGCAAAAGCTGTGTCGGAGTTTTATGAAGATAATGGCAAAACATTACCAGGGGAAATGTAAAGACAATGTGAATAAATGTTATGGAATGGAAGATTCAACATCACAAATAGTTCCTCAAAAATTAATCTTTAAATAAAATGTAATCAAATCAATCAAGAAGTCAACAGAATTTTTTTTGGTCAAATAAGAAAAATTAATTCTAAATTCATGTGAAGGGACAAAGGGACAAGAATAGTCAAGACAATTCTGAAGACAAAATTACATGGGAAGGTATTTCCCTATCAGATATCAAACATTATTTTAGAGCTAGAATGATTAATACTATGTGGAATCAGTGCACAGACTGATAATTAAGGTAAGGCACCAAAATAGAAGGCACAGAAATAGGACCACACACACAGAGAAACTGGATACACACAAACGTGGCATTACAAGTCAGTGGGGAAAAATACACTACTCATTAAGCATGGGGACAACTGGTTATCCAAGAGAAATGAATTAAACTAGGTTCTTTTGATGCAATACACAAAAATAAAGTTTAGGTACATTAAAAGCCTACATATGAAAAGTAAAATTCTAAAACTTTTATGATAAAATACAGGAAAATATCTTTATGACCACAAGATAGATCATTATTACCTAAATAAGATCGAGAAAAGCTGAGATTGCAAACAAAATAACCTGTATTCATTCTGTGCACATCTGTAACATTAAGCTAGCTATAATTATCCCTATTCTCTCCCATTTTGTTTTGTCACATGAGAAGAGCCTACTGAATACCACTGAGTTATCATTACTATTGTGGCAGCTTATACACAATTACATGTAAAAATGTACTAGATTATAATTTTAACTGAGCTATATAGCTCATCAAAAACATTATATTATCTTAAAATCAGTTTGCTTGTTTTATTGGAAATATAATCCATGCATTTTAATTTCCCAAATTGTAAAAATTAAATACAATTGTCCCTAGGTATACACATGAGATTGGTTCCAGGACCAGCCCCCAGTACCCATACCCAAATCCACACATACTGAAGTCCATAGTCAGCCCTTTGGGGTCCGATGCCATAGGAAATATGTACAAGGGTTTGCATCCCACGAATACTATATTTTCCATCTGTGTTTGGTAGTGGATGCAGAATCCACAGGTAAGGAGAGCTGACTGTATTTATTGAAAAAATTCCACATAAGTGCATCAGCAGAGTTCAAACTGGTACTTTTCAGTGGTCAACTGTATAAGAATATATTTACAATATGGCAGTGAACACAGTACCTTGAAACTTCAAAAGAAAATTAGATATGACCATTTCAACATGCAATATAGTAAGAACTATTCACGTTTGGCTACTAAGGAATTGAAATGTGGCTATTCTGAATTCAGATGTGCTTTAGTGTAAACTACAGAGTGGATTTTGAAGAAGTAGTATGTACGCACAAAAAATACATACTACAACAACACAACTGTGTTTTGAAGAATATGCTACTAAATTTCTTATTCTGTAAGGAGATGGCTGTGTGTGATATGCCAGCACATACACTTATTTCAGCTATTATATTTGGGAGAGACAAGCTTATGTCCCAGTTCAAGCTCAGAATTGCCCATAATCAGAACAAATATCTTGCGCAAACAGATAACCTTTAAAGTATATCACAAAATTATATATAAAATATAAGGCAGAATAAATTTGTTTCAGCATTAAACCAATTATTTATTCACATATCTACCTGTGTTCCCTCATACTCCTATTGTCTAAAGGGGAGATTAAGTTTATATCTGTTCATTGGTCTTGAGGTCTGCTTCCAGTCTTTATTTAAAGCAGTCTTACTTAACGGAGATTACAAATGGAGATTTTGTGTATAGAAGTGTCAGTGTTTAACATGTTTTCATGTAAATAGAACAGACATAAAGAATAGTGGTGGAGTCGAGGAGAACACAAGTCACAGGGGTCTCAGTTGTATCAGAATAATCTGAACAAATATGACCAAAAGTGAAGATTTCTCAGAATGGTGGTGATTTGAAAGGTGATTGGAAGACGCCATTTACAAATGGAGTTTCTTTCCAGGCACTGGGACTAGGGCTGAGTCAGTCTAGGGCAGGAACAGAAGGGGCGGCTGCTGCTACCTCGCTCCACATTTCAGATGGTAGAGCATTATGCACAAGTGTCCATGGTCCAGGCAGTATGCAAGAGAGATGAGAAAGCATGCGAGGCAGGCCGACTTGTTTCTGCTCTTTCTATTCCTGCCTGGACCAGCAATTTCACTGCTATTCTGTGACAGATCTGTCACACACAGGCTTAGATAAAAAATATTTCTGTATAGAAAAAAAAGTTGTGAAAGTGATATTTTTGAACTTCTAATGCTGTTACTCTAGGGAAAAGCCAGTAGTGGCAATGGGGAGGAAGGGAGAGACTTACCATATGTGAAGGGAAAATAACTCAGCAACTGGAGTGGAAATGATTATTATCAGCTAATAGGAATTATGTCAACCTAAATATTACTCACTGACAGCACAGCTATGTACAATTTATGATAAGGGAATAACTTAAGCAATGGTGAATACTTATGAAAGACTTGAAATTCTTACATTTCTTCTGCATTCAAAGTTTAACATTCATAAAAAATTAGGAACCAAGTTACATTCTGAATCTTCCTATTTTTTTTTATTTTTGAGTTTAGAGTTTTTTTATATATTGTGAATACAAATCCTTTGTGAATGAGATTTGCAATTATTATTTCTCCTAGTCTGTGGCTTGTTTTTTCATCCTCTTTGCAATGTCTTTTGTGAAGTAAAGGTCTGAATTTTGATAAAGGTCAACTTATCAGCCTTTCTCTTTCGTTGACTGTGTTTCTGGTGTCATGGCTAAGAGCTCTTCAACTAACTCAATCTAGGTCACAAAGACTTTCTATGTCTTCTAAAGGTTTCATCATTTTATGTTTTACATTTAAGCTTGTAATCTATTTTGAGTTAGTTTTTGTGTAAGATATGATGTTTAGTCAAGGTTTTTTTTTCCCTGCTAGGGATGCCCAGTTTTTCCAATACCATCTGTTATAAAGACTATCTTTTCTCCATTGAAAAAGAGACTACACTTCTCTTAAACACCGTTAGCTGTACTAGTAAGCTGTACTTGTTTGGCAGTCTAAGTTATTCCACTGATCTATGTGTCTACTGCCTTGCCAATACCACACTGTCTTGATTATTGTAGCTATATAGTAAAATCCTTAACTTAGGGAGTGTGATTTCTCCAATTTTATATTCTTTTTCAAAACTGATTTAGCTATTTTGGTTCCTTTGTCTTTTCATATAAATTATAGAATCAATTTGTCTGTATCTACAAAAAAACTCTACTGCGATTTTGATAGGAATGACAATAACTCTACATATTGAGAGAAATGATATTTTTGGATGTTGAGTCTTCCAGTGCCTGAATATGGTATGTCTCACCAATGGTCTTCTTTGATTTCTTTCATCAGCATTTTGGAGTTAATGACATATAGATACTTAATATGTTTCATTTATACTTAAGTATTTTGTTTCTTAATGCTGCTTTAAATTGGATTGTATTGATTTCTATTTCTAGTTGTTCATTGCTAATATATAGAAATAAGAGTGATTCTTGTGTATTGATCTTGTATCCTGCCACTATCTTAAATTCACTTAATAGTTACATGAGGTTTTTTTTCCCTAATTCTTTCAAATTTTCTACACCAACAATCATGTCACCTCAATAGGGGAAGTCTGACCTCTTTCTTTACAATTTGTATGTCTTTTATTTCTTATTCTTGCTTTACTGCACTGGGTAAGACTTCCAGTACTAGGTTCAATGGGAGTAGAGAGAGAACACAAACTTGCCTTATTCTCAGTATTAGAGAAAAGCATTACTTTTACTTTCACCATTAATTATAAGGTTGGCTGTAGATTTTTTTATAATTCTTTATCAAGTTGATGACGTTCCCTTGTATTCCCATATTTCTGAGAGGTTTTATCATGAATGCATTGAATTTTGTTAAATGATTTTTCTACATGAACTGATATGCTTATTCCTTTATTTAAAATAGTAAATGGAGGAATAAAATGATTTTTAAATATTAAATAACTGTACATCCCTGGAATAAAGCCCACTTGGTTGTGGTGTATTATTTTTGATATATTGCTGGGATTCTTTGGTATAATGGGAAATATATATTTGGTCTTGGTCCCCAGTTCCTGGCATGGAGCTCCTAAATGGAATTTCCTGAGCAATAGGAGCATCTTTTGTTACTCATAACAGGCCCTTCCAATTATCTGAGTTTATGCTAATGAGATGAGCTATCTCATCTATCTTGAGTTTATGCTAAGGCCCTTAGATAGCTTCAGGATGAGGCCTTTCACCAGAAACAACAATCTTTGATCAGAGGGTTGGAACTTTCAGTCTCACCCCCTAATCGTCCCAGAAAAGAGAGGAGGAGCAGCTTGAGTCCAACGACCAATGGCCAATGACTGAATCAATCATGCCTACGTAATGAAGCCTCCCTAAAAACCTCTAAACGACAGGATTTGGTGAATACATCCAGTTGTGAGGGTGGGACACTCTAACTCCATGGGGACAAAAAAGGCCATGCTTGTGACCCTTGTGACCTTACCCTAATGTACCTCTTCATTTTGCTGTTCACTTGCTTCTTTTAGAATAAACTACAATAGAATGTATAGCATTTTCCAGAGTTTGGTGAGTCTTACTAGCACATTATTGAACATGGGGAGGAATGAGGACTCCTGAATTTGTAGCCAAGTTGGAGAGAAATCTGGGTATCCTGGGGACTGGAGCTTGAGATCGGGATATGAAGTCAAGGCAGTCTTGTGGAACAGAATCCTTAACAAATGTAGAGTTGCACACTTACTCTGGGAATTTGGTGTCAGTGGCTTGGATCACTGGGCACACAAGTGGTACTGGAGAATCAGAGATTCAATGTGCTAATTTGTTGTTGGGTAATTTTTCATCTCTGTTCATGAAGTATTAGTCTGTAGTTTTCTTTTTTTGTACTGTTTTTGCCTGGTTTGGCATTAAGGTTAACATCAGCCTCCTAAATTTAGTTGAATTGAGAAGTGTCCCTTAGTCTTCTATTTTCTGGAAGAGCTTATGTAGAACTGGAATTATTTAAAGGTTTCGTAGAATTTGTTAGTGAAACTATCTGGGCCTGGAGATTTCTTTTTCAGAAGGTTGTGGTTAAAGTTTTAATCTCTTTAATAGTTATACAATGGTTCCTATGATCTATTTCACTTTGAATGAATTTTGATAGTGTGTGGTTTTCAAGGAATTGTTAAATTAAGTCAAAGTTGTCAATTTATGCATGGAGGGTTGTTCATTGCAACAACACTAATCCTTTAAGCATCTGAACATCTGTAGTAAAATCTTCTGTTTCATTTTTGTTATTGTTTAAAAACTAACAATCCTCTCTTTTTTTTTGTCAGTCTTGTTAGAGGTTTAACGATTTTGTTGATATTTTCCAAAAACCAGCTTTTGATTTGCCTTTGTTATTTTTCTGTTTTTACTATTTATTTATTTTTATAGATTTAAGGGCTACAAGTGCAGTTTTGTTACATGGACATATTATGTAGTGATGAAGTCTGGGCTTTTAGTATACAATAGTATATACTGTACTCATTAAATAATTTCTCATCCCTCACATCCCCTCAGCTTCATGGGTACAATATATACTATTTGTATACATAGTTAATAGTTATACAATGTAATAATTTCTCATCCCTCACATCCCCTCAGCCTCATGGGTACAATATATCCTATTGTACCCACGTACAGTACAGTAGTATATATTGTACCCATGAGGCTGAGCGGGTATGAGGGATGAGAAATTACTACATTGGTACAATATATACTACTGTACCCATGAGTTGTACCCATTAAGTAATTTCTCATCCCTTACACCCCCTCAGCCTTGCGAGTCTTCACTATTACTCCATCCTCTATGTCCATGTGTACATATTATTTAGCTTGTATTCACAAGTGAGAACATGCAGTATTTGACTTTGTTTCTGAGTTATTTCACTTAAGACAGTTCCAGCCATGTTGCTGCAAAAGACACGATTTCATTCTTTTTTATAGATGAGTCGTATTCCATGGTGTATATGTATATGATATATATATTTTTTTATCCAATCATCTGTTGATGGGGAACTTAGGTTGATTCCATAGCTTTGCTACTATGAATAGTGCTGCAAAAAACATATGAGTACAGGTATCCTTTTGGTATAATGATTTCTTTGCCTTTGGTTAAGTACCCAGTAGTAGGATTGCTACGTCAAATGGTAATTCTATTTTTAGTTCTTTGAGGAATCTCCATACTGTTTTCCACAGAGGTTGTATTAATTTTCATTCCCAATGACAGCAAATAAGTGGCCCCTTTTCTCCACATCCTCGCCAACATGTTGTTTTTTGACTTAACAGCTGTTCTGACTGGTGAAAGATGGTATATTTCATTGTGGTTTTAATTCTTATTTCTCTGATGACTAGTAATGTTGAATATTTTTTCATGCTTGTCAGTCACTTGTATGTCTTTGTCTGAAAAATGTTTGTTCATGTCCTTTGCCCAGTTTTTAATGGGGTTGCTTTTTTTTCTTGCTGAGTTGAATTCCTTGTAGATTCTGGATATTAACCCTTTGTCAGATGTTCAGTTTGCAAATATTTTCTCCCATTCTGTAGGCTGTCTGCTTACTCTGTTCATTATTTATTTTGCTATGTAGATAAGCCTTTTAGTTTAATTGAGTTCCATGTATCTATTTTTGTTTTTATTGTGTTTGCTTTTGAGGACTTATTCATAAAGTCTCCCTAGGCCAATGTCTAGAAGAGTTTTTCCTAGGTTTTCTTCCAGGATTTTTATAGTTTCAGGTCTTACATTTAAGATTTTAATCCACCTTGAGTTAATTTTTGTATATGGTGAGAGACAGGGGTCCAGTTTAATTTTTCTGCATATGGCTAGCCAATTTTCCCAGCATCATTCTTTGAAGAGACTGTCCTCTCCCCATTGTGTATTTTTGTCAACTTTGTTGAATATTAGTTGGTTGAAGGTATGTGGGTTTGCTTCTGGGTTCTCCATTCTGTCCCATTGATCTGTGTGTCTATTTTTATAGCAATACCATGCCAGCTCCTTATAATAAATCCTGTCTCTGTCCATTCTATTGGTTTTGTTTCTCTGCAGAACCCTGACTAAAACCAATATGCTACACTGTGAAATTTGAAGACAGAGGATGGGGCCATGAGCCAAGGAATGCTGGTATTCTTAAGAAGCTGGAAAAGGCAGGGAAACAAGTTCTCCCCTAAGCCTCCAGAAGAACAAGTGGTGCTAACACTTCGACTTTAGCCCAGTGAAACTTATTTCAGACTTCTGACTTCAGAATATAATAAATCTGTGTTTTCCTAAAAGACATTATATTTGTGGCAATTTGTTACTATGGCAATAGGAAACTAATACACAAACCAGGTTCACTCTTGGTACCTTTCTACAATATTGTGTCAGTCAACATTTGAAGCTCACAAATGGATAAATAAAATGTGGTATATCCATGCTGTGGAAAATTACTTGGCAATAAAAAGACATGCAGAACTGATATATCTGATATTAAGGGTAAATCTTGAAAACACTATGCTAAGTGAAAGAAGCCAATTATGAAGGATCATGAATTATAATGATTCAATTTTAGTCAAATGACTACAATAGGCAAATCTGTAGAGACAGAAAATGGATTTGTGGCTGTCTATGGCTTGGGAGGTGATGGCTTAGAAGTGTGAGGTTTTCTTTTTGGGGTAACAGAAATGTTTTAAAACTGACTGTGGCAATGGATGCACACCTCTGTGGATATACCAAAAGCCATTAGATTGTACACTTTCAACATGTGAATTTTATGATATGTGTATTTACCTCCACAAAGTTGTTAAACAATTATACATTTATAAAAACATTAATGAAGCAGAATAAAAGTACACAAAAATTCTAGGAAAAAAAGAGCACCAATAAGATATAACATATTTCTATAGTCAAGAATATATGCAACTTATTTAAATAGATATTGTGTTCATTATATAGTAGCCTTACAAAACGCGTTCCTCACACTCACAAGTGTTTTAATGTTCATAGATGAAACTCAGTTTAATTTATCCTGTTTTGCAGTTATAATATACAGTGTAGCCATCATCTAAACAGTGATAGATGTTTTAATACATCTATAAACACAATAAATACAATCCAAACAGCTATTTCATTACATTCTTTAGCTACCTGTCAGATTAATGCATAATGGGTCAAGTCAACTATGCTCACCTTCCCCACAACCACCCCCATTAAAATTGTTTTCTGTGCTCCTTAGAGAGTCAAGAGAAGAATGAATGTGCTATTTTTGAAATGTATCTTTAAAAAAATTCATGTGCTTGGAATAATTCATGGAAGAATAACTGTTTCTGAATCTTCAAAAAACAAAATGTCCTCAAATAAGTATTCTTAAGTTTGTACATGAAAACCCAAAGCTTGTATAATTTTCTTGAATCACACATATATTTAATTAGAATTTATGGTGTAATATTTATTCTGAAGGAATGAAAACATTTGAAAAACTGAAGCTATCATGTTATAGAAACTTACATAGAACAACATCAGAATTACTCTACACATGTCAAGTATTATTGTTATTATGGTGGTATTATACATATTAGTTTTCTTCCACCATTCCTGGCTCAAAACTCCCATAGCCCTCGTTACAGTCTTTTGTTGTAATGTTGGGTGTGTTAGGCCTCAGAGGCAGGCCTCTGACCTTCTCCTGCACTCCGTTCACGCTAATGTTCCTTTCTGATCCTGGGTCTTAAGACACTCCCATGAGAGAGTCCCACCCTATACCCTGGGGGAAGAATGCTGATGCAATGAAGCTTCCATAAAAACCCAAAAGGAAAGGGTTCAGTAAACATCCGAGCTGAACAAGTGGAGATTGCTGGAGGGGGTTGTGCCCAGGGAGGGCTTAGAAGCTCTGAGCCCCTGCCCCGTACCTCACCCTATGCCTCTCTTCATCTATATCTTTTATAATAAACCTGTCAATATAAGTAAGTGCTTCTCTGAGTTCTGTAAGCCACTCCAGCAAATTAACTCATACCAAAGGAGGGGGTCATGGGAACCCCAACCTGACGCTGGTTGGACAGAAATTTCAGAGGCCTGGGCTTGCAACTAGTGTGTATGTGGCAGTGGTCTTGGGGATTGAGCCCTTAACCTGTTGGATCTGACACTATCTCCAGGAGTGTTGGAACTGAATTAGAGGACACCCAGCTGGTGTCTGCTGCTTTGTGTGTGGGGACAAAAACTCCACACATATGGTCACCCAAGTCTTCTATGTTAGTAACTATTGTGGTGTGAGAGTAGAGGAAAAACATAGGCAGAGAGAGTTTTTCCTACACAATTATATTACATAAGAGCTGTAGAAAACAGTAGTAGTCAATTCAAAGAATTTTGTAAACACGCGTTATAATAATATTGCTTATAATTCTTTCATGTACCCTCTGCCTCTGATCATCTGTGCCTTGGCAAGTGTTGCTCTCCCTGAAACTCACCCCCACACTTACCCACTGCTAAATTATTTGTAATTCCTTTGACACTCAGTGTAAGTACCACTTTCTCCCAAAAGCCTTTCCTGACACTCCTCCACATGGCAGACTACAAAGGGAAGGAGCTCAGTATAGGGAGATGGAAGTAACATCACTGCTTGGGGCAAGTTGGGTTCCCTGGGAAGGAGATCTGAGATGGAAACAGGACAGCAGTAAATATATTACATTGAACTCTACATAGGTAGAGGGAGAATTTAGACTGTGATGCAGTCTTAACAAAGGCCTCAATCTATCCCACAGGAAGCTCTGAAGTTGGGATGGCCATTCCAAATTGTCCTCCATTATGGGTGCAGAGGCTGGGACTTTAACTGCCCCGTCAATTATATGATATGATAAAGGAGGCATATCACTAGAAAAAGTGGCCTTCTTTGTTAAAGATAATTGCCAGAGGCTGGGCGCGGTGGCTCACACCTGTAATCCCAACACTCTGGGAGGCCGAGGTGGGTGGATCACCTGAGTTCAGCAGTTCTAGACCAGCCTGGCCAACATGGTGAAACCCCATCTCTACTAAAAATACAAAAATTAGCTGGGCATGGTGGCGGGTGCCTGTAATCACACCTACTTGGGAGGCTGAGGCAGGAGAATCACTTGAACCCGGGAGGCAGAGGTTGTGGTGAGCCAAGATCATACCATTGCACTCCAGCCTGGGCGACAAGAGTGAAACCCTGCCTCAAAAAAAAAAAAAGATAATTGCCAGAGAGTGTTAATAGCAAATGGCTGTCAGATGGCAGCCTTCTCAGCAGCCCAGGAAATAGGTCCTTAAGTCCTAAAGAGAGATCTGGGTAGCACCACATTGCTTATATACTATGTGCTAGGTGCTGAGCTTTGATACATTATACAGTTTAATTCCTCCAGTCTTATGAGGTATGGATTACTATCCCTATTGTATTCATGAGATAGGCAAGGCTGAGAGAGGTTAAAAAACTCACTGAACATCTCACATTTAATATGTGGTAAACTTACAAAATCTATATTCTTTCACTTAATCACAACTTCCTCTCAGGTAGTTCACATTCAAGGAATGTTAAGATAATAAATTTGTTCAAAAGTTTGGCTTTTTGAGGCAAGCAAGACCTACATCAATTGCTAGCTGCATTTGTAAGATAAAGCTGAAGATCAGATGTATCAGAGCTAATGCAAGGACACTTGGTTAAGAAATGATGCTGCAACTAGACCCGAAGACCATTCTAACTCTGTACACCATACAGAGAAATGCTGTCCAGAATAACGTTGTGTTAACAGAAATGTTCTCTATTTAAATATATATATATTTACATATAATTTTTTCTTAAATTAGAGGTGGGGATCTTGCTCTATTGCCCGGACTGGTCTTGAACTCTTGGCTTTAAGTGATTCTCATGCCCTGGCCTCCCAAAGGGGGATTACAAGCGTGAGCCACCAAGCCCAGCTGCTGCAAGACCAACTGCTCTATTTTTTTTTCTTTCTTTCTGAGGCAGGGGCTTGTTCTGTCACCCAGGCAGGAGTGCAGTGGCACAAACACAGCTCACTGCAGCCTTGACCTCCTGGGCTCAAGCGATCCTCCTGCCTTAACCTCCTGAGTAGCTGGGACCACAGGCACCTGCCACTATGTCTGGCTATTATAAAATTTTTTTTTGTAGAGACAGGGCCTCACTATGTTATCCAGGCTGGTCTTGAACTCCTGGGCTCAAGCAATTCCCTCACCTCAGCCTCCCAAAGTGCTGTGACTACAGGTGTGTGCCACCATACCAGGGTTGTCTGTTTTTGATTCTGGCCATCCTAGTGAGTGTGAAGTGGTATCTAATTGTGGTTTTGTTTTGAATTTCACGAATGACTAATGATGTTAAGCAAATTTTTATGTGCCTTTTTATCCTATGCATATCTTCTTTGGAAAAATGTCTATTCACAGTTTAAGGTGAAAAGTGAGCATTAACCTCTTCTGTTAGAAAGCATGGCAAGAATAAATATCTCAATTTACTCAATTATCTTCTGCCTTATACAGTGTTATCCACATATAAGAACTTCAACTGCTGACATTACTTTCTCCAGGAAGTCTTCCTAGTTGCATCCTGTAGACTAGGAGAAATGGTCCTGCTGTACATTTTTATTTTTATTTTTTTGAGAAAGAGTCTATTAACCAACCCTTGGCGTTCACCTATTCCACAATAACCTCTATCTTAAGTAACAACTATTCTACTCTCTACTTCTGAGATAAACTATTTTAGCTTCCACATGAATGAGAATGTGGTTATTCACCTTTCTGTACTTGGATTATTTCACTTAATATAAAGTCCTCCAAGCTCATCATGCTGTTATGAATGACAACATTTCCACTCTTAATGGCTAAATATTTTCCACTGTGTTTATATACCACATTGCAAAAATCAATTCATCTCTTGATGAATAGTTAGGTTCATTTAATATCTTGGTTATTGTGAACAGAGCTGCAATAAACATGGGGGTACAGGTATCCTTTTGATTTCCTTTCCTTGGGATACTCAGTGGCAGGACTGCTGGAACGTATGGCAGGTATGATAGTTCTATTTTTTATATTTTTTGAGCAACCTCCACCCTGTTTTCCGTAATGGCTGTACTAATTTACTTTCCCACCATCAATGTATAAGAGTTTCCCATTCTCTGCATCCTCAACAGCATTTACTTTTGGTTTTCTTTTTTTTTTGAGACAAAGTCTCGCTCTGTCGCTTAGACCAAAGGCCAAGGTAGGAAGATTACTTGAGCTCAGGAGTTCGAGACTAGCCTGGTTAACATGGTGAAACCCCGTCTCCACCAGAAACACAAAAACTAGCCAGCGTGGTGGTGCACACCTGTAGTCCCAGCTACTTGGGGCTGAGGCACGAGAATCGCTTGAACCCAAGAAGTGGAGGTTGCAGCGAGTCGAGATTGCACCACTGCACTCCAGCCTGGGTAACAGTGCGAGACTCTTAAAAAAGGTGAAGTAAAATGGGTATCCTTGTCTCCTTCCAAATCTTACAGGAAAAGCTTCCAACTTTTCCTCGTGTAGTATAATGTTGGCAGTAGGTTTGTCATATATATCCTTTACTATGTTGAGGTATATTCCTTCTGTACCTAAATTATTGAGAGTTTTTACGATGAAGGATGCTGAATTTTATCACATCCTCTTTCGATATTTATTGAGATGACCAAAGAGTTTTTGTCTTTCATTTTGTTAATGTGGTGTATCACATTTATTGAATTGTATAGTTTAGCCATCCTTATATTCCTGGGATAAATTCACTTTGAACATGGTAAATGCTCTTTCTAATGTGCTGCTGAATTCAGTTTGTGAGTATTTAGCTCAGGACTTCTGCATCTCAACTAACCTGACATATTAAACTGTACTATTCTTTTTCTGTTGCATCCTTGTCTTGTTTTGGTATCAGGGTAATGGTGACCTTGTATAATGAGTATGCAAGAATTTCCACCTCCTAAATTTTCTGAAATACCTTAAGAATTGATATTAGTTCTTTATTTAATGTTTTATAGAATTCAGTACTGAAGCTACTGGGTCCTGGGCTTTTCTTTAATGGGGGACATTTTATTCAGGATTAAATCTCATTACTTCTAATTGGTCTGTTCAGGTATTCTGTTTCTTCTTGGTTCAATCTTGGTGGATTGTATGTGTACATGAATTCATCCATTTACACTAGATTTTCTAATTTGTTGGCATATAGTTGTTTGTAATAGTCTCTAATGGTCCTTGTATTTCTGTGATATCAATTTTAATGTCTCCCTTTCCTTTTTGATTTTATTTATTGGGGCCTTTCCTCTTTTTTTTATCTAGATGAGTCTAGCTATTGGTAAATT